>NC_000005.10:116776473-117079503 GCF_000001405.40 Homo sapiens
CACAGACACTAAATCACTCACTGCACTTCTCAATCAGTAATTTAAAGCTATTTCTGCCCATGGATACTCTACCATTACATAAAAGACTGCTAAGATAAGCTTTACATTTTTCTTCCAAGTTGAGTTTTGTTGATAAATTATTTTCTTTTTGATTATTTGTTTTCAATCTACAAGCAAGGTAAATGCTTTGGAGTCCACAGTTATTTACTTACACAGGGGTGGAAAGGTGTTACCTTGTCTTCATCCATCTTAAGGATCATAGCCTACACTCCAATAACAAAACAAAAGACAGGTCAACAAGAGAAAAGCTCAAACAATCTATTTAATCAAAGTTGTATGTGACAGGGGTGACTTCAGAAATGAAGAGCCAAAGACCCAGGGAAAACTGCCGATTTTTATGCTCAGGTTGAATGAGAAATGAACAGCTCTGTAGAAATGTGATTGGACAAATGGGTATGATCTAATTAATGGTAATAGACTGAGAGGGGAAACCCAACAATGGCCTATTTAGATTCTTCTTGGCATCTCTGTGTGGCATTCGTTTCCTTCTGGACATAAGACCGGACACCTGTCACATGAGGCTCTTCAAAGGAGAAGGGAGAAAGTCAAAGAATGTCCTTTCTAGGCTTTATGGCTTGCTTTGGGGAAGAGGAGTTCTAGTTTCTGTGACCTGCCTTGGCGAAGAGGAATTCTGGTTTCTACAAATTATTTCGAGGGGAGATAGAGGGGTGAAAGACAGGAGGATGAGAGAAGGTCCGAAAGACTTTGCTTCTGAGGCCCTTCCATTCTCCTCCAGTTCAAAATATTCAGCACACAGGGTACTGTATTTTGAAGTATTGTGTTCTGGAGCCTAACACTTTTTTTCCTGTTTGTTGGAGTTGCAGGGAAAAGATTTCTTTACTCACCTATTTTTAGGTTCATAGTTGAGGTGCCTATAACTAAAGGTAGATTAACAAGAGAAAAGCATAACAAATGTATGTAATGTAAGTTTTATGTGAGGCCAGGCACGATGGATCATGCTTGTAATCTGAGCTCTTTGGGAAGCCAAGGCAGGTGGATCACTTGAGGTCAGAAGTTCGAAACCAGCCTGGCCAACACGAAACCAGCCTGGCCAACATGGTGAAACCCCATCTCTACTGAAAATCCAAAAAGTTAGCTGGGAATGGTGGAGGCACCTGTAATCTCAGCTACTCTGGAGGCTGAGGCAGGAGAATTGCTTGAACCTGGGAGGGGGGCATTGTGACAGAGTGAGAATCCATTTGAAAAAAAAAAAAAAGGAAGTCACGTCCAATCAGGCTCATGATCAGGGGGCTTCAGGTAGAACTTCTCCTTAGCCTTCCAAACTCTTCCCCCAAAGTTATTCTAGGGGCTCTATTTGAGAGAATATGATGATGATTTATTTTAAATCAAGAGTTCTGAGAAGTACACAGAAACCAGAAAATGCACCCAGAAATTAGAGATTATCAAATTATCCTGAATGTAGGGAATTCCAATGACACTGATTCTCATTCTTCATTCCATTTTGAATGGTTCAAGATGAAGGGGAGCTACTGACTGCTGAATAGAGACGAGGAAATCTCCATTTCCATGCTTGCTTCCGGGCTCTGTGACTCGCTGTTGCAGCTGACTGGCTGTAACAGTGTGAGGTCTCAGGCGCTTGGAGGGAGACGTGCATCTGGGTAGAAGCTGTGCCATAAGGACAGAACTCCCACAGCCAGCCGGGTCACTCCTTCCTACCCTCTGGGAGCGTTCCCACCAACTCTTGTGATCTCAGAGGCACTGCCTGCCAGAGTAAGGACCCTCCTCAGAGACCCACAGGCATCGCAGTGCAGTCTGTGAGGCACTTGTTAGCTATGCACAGTGGGCTGTCTGTCACTGCTTGGAGCCTACCTGCTGCTGGGAGAGACGGCTCTCTAAGCACAAAGTAGCCTGTGTGAAACCTCGGGCATGGTTGATAGAATCTATTGCCAATGGTGGGTCTATACATCACAAGGGGTGAAGACAGCCTTAGAATCCTAGGCACAGAGCAAAGAAAACCCCTTTGAGACCAACCCCACCTAATAAAACGGGGCACACCATGTGGCTGGTAAACATGCCTTCATCAGATAGCAAAGGGAAGCAAAGATTGTTGAAAACGTTGACAAAATGTTCAAGTTCAATGGCCCTGGGTCACGTCCAAGTAGAGCAAATGGTAATAGTAAGGGATTCTAATTAAGAATTCCTGTTTTTATTTGAGTCAGCTTGGTGAAAAGCGGGAGAGGTTTCTTGACATTTCTTGATTTGATTGTTCTCAGCTTATAAAACAAATTCTATTTTCCCCTACAATTGTGTTAAATTACTGTCTCCAAAGAAACATTTTGCATATGGATGCCCTCTGGTCTCCCTTCCCCTGATGTGTCTTTTATGCAGCCTGGGAGGGTCATTTGCAGTACAGCAAGGGTTGTTTGGCCCAGGCACACAGACAACTGGAGAGTTTTAAAGAGTATAATCTGACTGTATCCTGTAAGTAGCTACTTTGATCTCTTATACCAATAATTATGCTTCTCAGAAAATAGAGGGTGGGGGGAGGAATCACTGCAAGCCAAAACTTTTGCTGAAAGATAAGATGTTATGATTTTCTGCTAATTATCTTACTGCAATTAAGAAGTTGAGACTGATGGCTTAAAGCTTCCAATACATAAAAATCAGCAGCCATTTTAGTTGAAATGCAACATCCTGCAACCTGTTTTTAATTGACTTCCCTCCTCATCACTCTTCAAAGTATGGCTTTGCCAAAGCCACCAGATTCTGACTTTGAAGCGCTGTTGGAAAAGAGTAAAAACAAAGGCCAGAAGTCAAGGGCTTTCAACTACATATGTTTTAGGCCAAATTTACAAATGTCTTTTTTTTTTTTTTTTTTTTTTTTTTTTAGTTTCTCAAAAGGTTACTTTTAGTGAGCTTTTTGATCTGAAAAAACAAAAACAGAAACCAAGACACCCCATATTGATCATGTTTAAAAAGAAAATGTTATTTAACAATTGGTCTAGTCACAAATGTCTGCTTTCCTAATTTTTTTCTGAAGATTGAAGTTTCACATTTCTGATAGGTACAAAATTGCAGATCAAGTTTTTCCCTTTGAAATGTGTCATATAATGCAACTGTCACATAAGGGCCAATGGCTGGTTTAGGCTACAGAAGACATCATGGAACAAGAACTTGGTGAATCCTATGGACAAGATCTGTGGCTCAGTTATAGGGTCCATGGTCTGTGCTCAGGGAACGCATCCTTATTTATAACCATCTTAAATTATAACATTTGCATTATGAAAATAGAAGTTCAATAATTTGGTATTTAAATGAATTATTTGCCAAGTTCAGACACACATCAAGAATGTTTGCAAATTTATGAAGGAAAACAAAGTATCCCAGCCAATTTCACAAAGAATAGTTTTATAACAGATTCAGATAAATGCGAAAACCTTAAAGAAAAAGTGCTCCTTGAAAGTGCCAACAAGACATGCAAAGTGTTAGTTTTTACAGGGCTAGAATACAATACAGCCCATTTAGTGTGGTGCCCATTCATGACTCTTCAAGTCAAGGCTGATGTGTGTTTCTATCTTGGCATGACCTTCTCATTCCGACAATGTAGAGTGTCTAAGGATCTGTATAGAACAACGGCTCACATTTGGATTGTAAACGAGGAAAAATTTTCTTTTTCTTTTTTTTGAGATGGAATCTCGCTCTGACGCCCAGGCTGGAGTGCAGTGGCACCATCTTGGCTCACTGCCACCTCTGCCTCCCAGGTTCAAGAAATTCTCCTGCCTCAGGCTCCTGAGTAGCTAGGATTACAAGCGTGCACCACCACACCCAGCCAAATTTTTTTTGTATTTTTAGTAGAGATGGGGTTTCACTATGTTGGCCAGGCTGGTCTCGAACTCCTGACCTCAAGTGATCCACCCATCTCAGCCTCACAAAATGTTGGGATTACAGGCATGAGCCACCACGCCCAGCTTCTTCTTCTTTTTTTTTAATTTGAGATAGAGTCTCACGCTGTTGCCCTGGCTGGAGGGCAGTGGTATGATCTTTGCTCACTGCAACCTCCGCCTCCTGGATTCAAGCCATTCTCATGCTTCAGCCACCTGAGTAGCTGAGATTACAAGTGTGTGCCATCATGCCCAGCTAGTTTTTGTATTTTTAGTAGAGACAGGGTTTCACCATGTTGCCCAGGCTGGTCTCAAACTCATGGTCTCAACTGATCTGCCCACCTCAACCTCCCAAAGTGCTGGGATTATGAGCATGAGCCACTGTGCCTGGCACATATATATATATAACTCATCATAGGCTGGGATTCTGTAAACTAGACTGATAAAAGAAAATTAACAGGAGAAACTGCCTGGGCATGGTGGCTCACTCTTATAATCCCAGCACTTTGGGAGGCCGAGGCAGGCAGATCACGAGGTCAGGAGTTCGAGATCAGCCTGACCAACATGGTGAAACCATGTCTTTACTAAAAATACAAAAATTAGCTGGGCATGGTGGCGCACCCCTGTAATCCCAGCTACTCAGGAGGCTGAGGCGGGAGAATTGCTTGAACCTGCCAGTTGGAGGTGAACCTGGGAGCTGGAGGTTGCAGTGAGCCGAGATCACACCATTGCACTCCAGCCTGGGTGACAGAGCTAGACTCCGTCTCAAAAAAAAATTAACAAGAGAACCTGAAGTTTATTAACAAACACATGCATCACATTTGTATATGGGAGAACTCAGTGATGATTAAGTAAAAATGTGACTAGAGGCCAGGCACAGTAGTTCATGCCTGTAATCCCAGCAATTTGGGAAGCCACGGTGGGAGAACTGCTTGAAGCTAGGAGCTCAAAACCAGGTTAGACAACAAAGAGAGACCCTGTCTCTACCAAAAAAAAAAGTGGTTAGAATTTGCACTTATATAGCATCTTTACAAAAGAAAATTATATTTGACAGCAGTAACAAGACAAAGGAAAAAGATTTTGAGCTTCTAGGGAGGCAAATTGTGGGAAGGCAGCCAGGTGCGGTGGCTCATGCCTGTAATCCCAGCACTTTGGGAGGCCGAGGTGGGAGGATCACCTGAGGTCAGGGGTTCGAGCCCAGCCTGGCCAACATAGTGAAACCCCATCTCTACTAAAAATATAAGAATTACCGGGGCATGGTGTTGGGCATCTGTAACCCCAGCTGCTCGGGAGGCTGAGGCAGGAGAATCACTTGAACCTGGGAGGCAGAGGTTGCAGTGAGCTGAGATTGCACCACTGCACTCCAGCCTAGGCAACAGAGCAAGACTCCATCTCAAAAAAAAAAAAAAAAAATTGTGGGAAGGCAAATATGTGGGAAAACTAGTAGTAGATAAGAGCTTTTTAGTAAGGTTTGTCATGTAGATTTCATTGGTTCCATCTGTTTATTTATTTTTTATTTTTTTTGAGACGGAGTCTCGCTCTGTCACCCAGGCTGGAGTGCAGTGACGCAGTCTTGGCTCACTGCAAGCTCCATCTCCGGGTTCACGCCATTCTCCTGCCTCAGCCTCCCGAGTAGCTGAGACTACAGGCGCCCGCCACCTCGCCCAGCTAATTTTTTGTATTTTTAGTAGAGACCGGGCTTCACCATATTAGCCAGGATGGTCTTGATCTCCTGACCTCATGATCCGCCTGCCTCGGCCTCCCTAAAATCTGGGATTACAGGCGTGAGCCACCATGCCCGGCCGGTTCCATCTGTTTAGAGTTGTCACCAGTGATTAACTGATTAACTTCTATCCCTCTTAGTAGAGAGGGGAGGAAGGACACCTTTACAAATTTATAACCTACTTTTAGGCACACCAGGGTACACAGAGAGCTTTTCTTGTATCTCCTTCTTCTCAATTGCCTATGATTCAAAATAATCCTTATGCAAAAGTGGCATATTTTGAAGCAGCATATTCTGCTGTATTAGTCTGTTCTCATGCTGCTAATAAAGACCTACCCAAGACTGGGTCATTTATAAAGGAAAGAGGTTTAATTGGCTCACAGTTCCACATGGTTGGGGAGCCCTCACAATCATGGTGGAAGGTGAATGAGGAACAGAGTTACATCTTACATGGTGGCAGTCAAGAAAAGCTTGTGCAGGGGAACTCCCTTTTATAAAACCATCAGATCCCATGAGACTTATTCACTATCATGAGAACAGCATGGGAAAGACCTGCCCCCATGATTCAATTACTTCCCATCGGGTACCTCCCATGACACGTGGGAATTATGGAAGCTACAATTCAAGATGAGATTTGGGTGGGGACAAATCTATATATAGCCAAACCATATAGAGCTTCTAGGTCGGCAAATTGTGGGAAGGCAGCTGGGTGTGGTGGCTCATGCCTGTAATACCAGCACTTTGGGAGGCCAAGATGGGAGGATCACCTGAGGTCATATATTTATGGTTACATATTTAACCAAATATATAGCCAAACCATATAATCTGCTATCCTTGATGCCCTTGCATTAAGAAACCTCCTTACCCCACTTTTTCTTTTTTGAGGCAGAGTTTTGCTCTTGTTGTCCAGGCTGGAGTGCACTGGCATGATTTCAGCTCACTGCAACCTCCGCCTCCTGGGTTTAAGTGATTCTCCCGCCTCATCCTCCCAAGTAGCTGGGATTACAGGCACCTACCTCCATGCCCAGCTAATTTTTGTGTTTTTAGTAGGTACAAGGTTTCACCCTGTTGACCAGGCTTGTCTCGAACTCCTGACCTCAGGTGACCCACCCACCTTGGCCTCCAAAAGAGCTGGGATTACAAGCGTGAGCCACCGTGCCTGGCCCTCCTCACCCCACTTTTAAGCTATTCCATTCCTGTGAGGTAAGCACTATTGCTTTCTTTTTTTCATATATATATATATATATATATATATATATATATATATATATATATGAAAAATGTTGGCTTGCTGCACCCATTAACTCGTAATTTACATTAGGTGTATCTCCTAATGCTATCCCTCTCCCCTCCGCTGACCCCACAATAGGCCCCGGTGTGTGATGTTCCCCTTCCTGTGGCCAAGTGTTCTCATTATTCAATTCCCACCTATGAGTGAGAACATGCGGTGTTTGGTTTTTTGTCCTTGTGATAGTTTGCTGAGAATGATGGCTTCCAGTTTCATCCATGTCCCTACAAAGGATATGAACTCATCAATTTTTATGGCTGCATAGTATTCCATCGTGTATATGTGCCACATTTTCTTAATCCAGTCTATCATTGTTGGACATTTGGGTTGGTTCCAAGTCTTTGCTATTGTGAATAGTGCCGCAATAAACATAGTGTGCATGTGTCTTTATAGAAGCATGATTCATAATCCTTTGGGTATATACCCAGTAATGGGATGGGGTAAGCACTATTGCTTTCTCTATTTTATGGATGTGCATGCTGAGGTTCACAGGGATTTTGTTACGTTTAGTTAGTAGGTGAGCCAAGATGAGACTTGCACTCTTTATTCCAGGAATAACTATCATTTCTGATAGTTATAAGGGTTCTATAGAAAGTGGAGCAAGGGATTTTGTGGGGAGTGGTGGTGTGGTGGTTGGAAGGAGGATGGCTAGAAGGTGGAGATTTAGGTGGTGTGGGAGGTAGTATTTTTAGTAGAGGGCCACTGTTAACCTGTCTAAAAACATTCAAATTCATGTGTTTTCTTTCTTTCCTTCCTTCTTTCCCTCTCTTTCTTTCTTTCTTTCTTTCTTTCTTTCTTTCTTTCTTTCTTTCTTTCTTTTTCTTTCTTCCTTTCCTTTCCTTTCCTTTCCTTTCCTTTCCTTTCCTTCTTTCTTTCCTTTTTCTTTTTTTTGGAGTTGGAGTCTCACTCTGTTGCCCAGGCTAGAGTGCAATGGTGTGATCTCTGCTCACTGCAAGCTCCACCTCCCGGGTTCATGCCATTCTCCTGCCTCAGCCTCTGGAGTAGCTGGGACTACAGGCACACGCCACCACGCCCAGCTAATTTTTTTTGTATTTTTAGTAGAGATTGGATTTCACCGCGTTAGCCAGGATGGTCTCGATCTCCTGACCTCGTGATCCGCCTGCCTCGGCCTCCCAAAGTGCTGGGCTTACAGGCTTGAGCCACTGTGCCAAGCCTCATGTGTTATATTTCTGCTCTGGTCATCATATAGATTCAGCCTGTGCATTTCATGGGATCTTTTGTTGGAAATATTTTTTATTTTACAGATGGAAAACAAACAAAGACCCTAAAACAAAGAGAGGTCACAGGACTTGGTCAGTGTCACACAGCTCAGCTGATTTGTGCAAAGTTGGGGCCAGGATCTAGGTTTCCTGACTTCCAGAACTGAGCTCCTTCTACCACACTACACAGAGTCTCTACCCATGAGCCAGGCATCCTTGATGTGGCAGCAAGCCGGCCCTTCCTGCCTTATGCCGAAGGCCAGGGAACTCAAGCAGGGAGACAGACATCATGTTCTTGAGAGCTCTGAGCCATGTTCCCTGCCAGCACTCTTACCCTAACCATGCAAATAAGGATGAAGCTTATCACAAACTTACAGATTATTTAGGAGGAATCAAGCAGATTTTAGCCTTTGCTGTAAAAGCAGCACACGTGTGTGTGTGTGTGTGTGTGTGTGTTGCGTGTGTGGCAATTAGGCATGGATTTTCCAGGCCTCTAAGGACCTGTGTGTTGTGATGATTCTTTGTGGAGAATGATATACAAAAGGTTTGGCAAGGCCAGTGGTTCTCGGGCCGCATGTGCCATGCAATTCCAGACAGGTCACCTTAGACCAAAACAGTTCTTTTGTCCAGTTCCCAAAAGTTCATCTCTCGGTCTCTATGACAGAGACCTGGAAACACAAACTGGCTTCAAACAAAGCCACTCTACCATGTGTGCTAAACCCTGGCCATTCACATAAGCTGTTGTTTCAGCTCATTTCATCATCTTTGGCTCAATCCTTGGAAAAGTACTTTCATATAATTGAAAAAGCAAAACATTGTATTTTTTCACTATATAAAGAATCACGTTCATTGCAGAAAGTTTACAAATTACTGATGTACACAAAGGAGAAATTTAAATTGCTCTAATCTGACAATAATTATTGGTAAGTTGTAAGTGTAGCCTGGTCTATTTTTTATGCCTGAAGATACTTTTTTAAAATAAAAAAAATTGGATCATACTATAAATAGCTTTGTGACTGGCTAATTTTTATTTTTTTTCCTCCTAATACAATAATAATATCGGAATTTTTGTTGAGTGCTTCTACATCTCAGCTACAAAAATTTTGTAAAACAGCTACTACAATTGCTAGTTTACAGCTGAAGAGACAGAGGCTCTGAGATTAGTTATTCTTCCTCTTCATTCTCTCATTAGATAATCTCATTCTAGGCCATGCCTCACAGTTAATTTATAAATTCTAGCTCAAAAGTTTACTGTCAGCCCTGACTTCCCTTCTCAGCTTTAGACTTATATATCCAACTGCCTCCCTACTTAGTATCTTAATTTGGATCTCAAAAGTGCCTAGGACTCAACTCATCCAAAATTGTGCGTGAGTATTTTGCAGTGGGCAACACAGGAACCTGCCCTAAGCTCCGATCTTAGTCTCTTGGAATCCACGCTTGACTTTCTTGAATTTATTCTTTTTTTTTTTTTTGAGATGGAATTCTGCTCTTGTTGCCCAGGCTGGAGTGCAATGGTATGATCTCGGCTCACTGCAACCTCCGCCTCCTGGGTTCAAGCGATTCTCCTGCCTCAGCCTCCCGAGTAGCTGGGATTAAATGTGCCCACCACCACGCCAGGCTAATTTTTGTATTTTTAGTAGAGATGGGGTTTCACCATGTTCACCAGTCTAGTCTTGAACTCCTGACCTAGTGATCTGCCCGACTCAGCCTCCCAAAGTGCTGAGATTACAGGCGTGAGCCACCACACCCGGCCTTGAATTTCTTCTTTACACAGCAGCCAAAGGATCTGGTCAAAATACGAATTTGGTTACGCTACCATCAATTTATAACACTTAAGTGACTTTCCTCTGCTTTTCAGGGAAAGACCAGAATCTTTAACATGGTCCACAAAGCCAGTTGTAATTGGTCTGCCTCTCTCGCCTCAGTTCACATGGTCTTCTCATGCTCTTCACCCCAACATCCCTGACATGCTTAGTTTATTTAACTAAACTGCAATAAAATTTTGCACTTGCTGTTCCTTCTAACTGGAACGCCCTTCCTGCCACCCTGTTTGTTCTTTGCCTGGATGACTCCTACTTTCTTTTCAGATGTCAGTTCAGCCACCACGTCTGTAGATAAGGTTTCCCTGTGCCTCTTGACCAGGGCAGTTCCCCTGTATTAGTCACTGTTTTAGCACTGTGGGGGCCAAGGCCCATGGACACCTAAAGTTTTGCTAAAAAAATCACTTACATCAGGCAGATCGATTAATGATTCTGTTACATGGAACACATTTTAGATTTCTGGCTGGCTTTGGGAAAGGATGTTCTGGTTTGCATGACACACCTTGGGGAAGAGGGATTCTAGTTTCTGTGGCCAGCCTTGGGGGAGAATGGGACTGAGAGACAGGAGAACAGGGGAAGGTAGGATGAAAACTTTTGCTTCTGAGGCTGCTGCTGAGGCCTTCATTTGGTGGTATTGTTTTCTGAGCCCTGACAGCACCCTGCTATTCTTTTTTGTAGCACTTATCACAGATGTAAACTTATACCTACTTGTGTGATTCTTTAATTGAAGACTATAATTTCATTTAGACTGCAAGCTCCACAAGGGCGCGAACCACACCTGTTTTTATCTACCATTATATCTTTACTGACTAGAGCATTGGTCAGCACATATTTTTTAATAAATAATATATGTTAGATGAACTAGTTGAATGACTTTCCCCAGATAAAATGGCTGAGCCAAAATGGAAGCTAATGTTCTTTCTATTATATATGATAAAATCAGGCAGGTGTAAAGCAATAAATACATGTATATGAGGTATTTACCTAAGAGTTGACCAGGCGCAGTGGCTCAAGCCTGTAATCACAACACTTTGAAAGCCTGAGATAGAGCTCAGGAGTTTGAGACCAGACTTTGTCTCTAAAATAATAATAATAATAATAAAATTAAGAATATACTTTAGCATTCCTATTTCCCAGATTTTCCCAGATTTCTGTCTGAACCCACCTCTGTGAACTCCAACCCTTTCTACACACATAAAAGCAAGGATTTTCATTGCCTGCTGGGGAGAATTTGCTAATGTATCATGGTTTTGATTCATACTTCTTGCAGTAAATATATCCTTTGACTAACACCTAAGCCTTGGGTCAGACACAAGAGAAAAAATGAAAAAGAAAGCATGGTTCTAGACCGCAACGTGGAGAGGTATGAGATCAGAAGCAAAGTGACAGTGAGAGCAAGGGCAAGTTGGAGGTGGTGTGGACAAACAGTGGATAGAAACCAGAGAATATTTAAACTGTAAGGGACTCTAGAAATTATCTAATTTAAAATTCTTATTTTACAGAGAAATAAAATTCTCATTTTATAAAATTCTCATTTATATCACAGCCGAAGTCACACATTTAGTTATTGAAAGCTCCAGGACTAAACCTTATATACCTCCCTTGCAGAGGGTGAAATTCCCAAATACTTATGTTAGCCCATTGACAAGTTCTAATTGAAATGTGTACTATATAGTCCACAAATATTTAGTATGGAAAGTGTAGGAAAAGTAATTTGAAAGCTAGTAAACTCGTAACAACAACAATAATAACAGCAGCAGTAGTAGCAGCAGCATTTTGTGTTTACACAATGTTTTCTTGTTTGAAAAATATTTTTCGGTACTTCCTGTCATGCAATCCTTACAAAACCATTGAGGTAGACAGGGCAGGATTCTTCCTCATATGCTACATATATAGGAGGAAATATACACCCAAGAAGATAACTTGTCCAAAGCCAGCGGCTACTGAATGGTAGATCTCAGCCTCAGATTCAGATTCCTGGACTCCAAGTTTATTGCTGTCATCATTGCCTCTTGCTGCCTGAAGAGGCTTTGTTAAATGTAAAACCTTACACAGCAATTCTCCAAAATCTCCGTGAACTTTCCCACATAGGTGGAGGCTCACCTTCCAAGTTTAAGAGTATATTATGTGGAACCCATATGTAGTGACCCTGATCTTTCCTAGGCTCAGCCCTTCCCTTTCTCAGTATCAGGAAGCCAAATCTCATGGAGCTGTGATTTTGTGCCAAGTTCATCAGGGAGCACTGGATTAAGATTCTCATGTTGACAGCAACTTTGTCTTGTGAAGGTGCACAAAGCCTGCCTTATGCATTCCCTTCACACCTGGGAAGACTGGAGTATATTTCTATTTGTAAACATATATGCCTCAATACATGTAACAAACAAACAGAAATGTAGTTTCTTTGAAAATAATCTACTGTTACCCTTCCATTTCAATCATATGGTGAGTTTTGAATATATTTTTCTTTCCAGAGCCCATGAAAAGGTGTTTATTCTCCCCTTCTCTTTTAACCAGCTGGGTGCCAACATTTTCTTTCCTTCTCTTGATCTGACGTAAGTTCAGTTTTGGCTTCTGTCTGCTATTCCAGCTGGTAACCTGCAGGTAGTTGGATGAAAGAAGCTTTTTCTCAACTCAGGCAATGCACCAAGTCCCAGACACATACACACATATATACACACACACACACACAAACACTGTGGAGTACAATAGTTTGACGTACAGGATGCTCTGCAGAAAGAGGTCAGTTCGCTTCTACCCACAGTCCTCTGTTGGCCAGCTCAAGGCATTAAAACTGGCTGCTATCAGTGCAAATCAGCATCCTGGAAAAGGAAGGTCTAGGTCAAGAGGAAGGAATATCCCATCCTGAGGAAGATAGATTAGATTTGTTTGGTATGATTGCTTGGGGACAGCTTCAAAATTTACAATGCTCTGCAACTCTTAATTTAGCCTGCTATCGGTTTAAGATTACTAACCTGTATTTAGAAGAAAGACACATTCATTATTGTTATTAAGCAATCTAATTTTAGAATTATTACTAGACTAAAACTCAGGAATATAATAATTTTGAGCTAGAAATGTGACTAATAAAGCTGCCCATGTTTCTACATTTGCATATTAAAGTCTGTAATTAAAAGTAAATAGTGAAACAGGAAAACTTCTTTTGGGTAATATGGTAAAGGATGAATTGCTTTTAGCAAATATTGTTTTGATGAATGAGCTACTCAAATGGCAGATTGCCTTTTCAGATGTAATTATATTTCATTTAGATTAGAGACTGACTGTACAGCATGTTCTTTTTATTTAGGCTGGCTAGAGACCAGGGATCACCCCTAGTTATCACAAAGCATGTGCATGGCTGCTTTGGTACAGGTCAACTAGGGATCACCTCAGACTCTGCAAATGTAGAGTCGGAGACAAATGAGATGTTGAAATTAGGTAGCCTCAGGTGACTTCAGTCTACACAAATCTGGTATATAATCATACAGTTTCTTAACATGGCAAATTCTATACCTCCCTGCTTCTTATATGCATACCTCTTTTTTTTTTTTTATTCGCTGTTGTTTTGTTTTCTTGCCTACTTGCTTTGGCTAATACTTCCAAAACAGTGTTAATTAAGGATCATGATTGTAGTAATTTGTGTCTTATTCTTGACTTTGATGAGGAAACTCCTGATTTGCTTTTACTCATTCTGATGGCTGAATGTTTTAAGTTTGTATACACTATTTCTGAAAGTAGCAGCACTTATTGGTAGTCCCTGAAGTGACTTTTTCAGCATTTTATGCCCTACATGGCTTAAGACCTCTGTGGTTCTCAGTCATTGTGGTCTTACCTTCACCAATGTCTAATTAGCTTCGTCTAAGACTCTAGGGCTAGTTTCTAACTTACGTCTGGAGGAACATTTGGGAGTCTGATGTGTGGATTTCTGCCTTATTTCCAAGCCTTACGTTGTACCAAGTTCTGGTAAGTTAATCTCTGTGCTATGGTGACTGTGAACAAGAGGAATTAGGTTCAAATCCTGTTTATTCTACTCACCAGCTATTTGACCTTGGCAAGTTATTTAATTTCTATGTGCTTCCACAAATTAGGATCATAGCAGTACTTGTCTCATAAGGTTATTATGAGCTTTAAATTAAATTATGCATGTAAAAACCTTAGGAGAAAGCTTACCTGCTATCAGTTTAAGATTAGTAAGATACTCCCTAAAGGTTTGTGGTTATTACTACTATTGGAAAATATAGTAGTAATATTTTTATCATCGTTACTAGGGCGCTGCCACCAGTTATTGGGCTCATTTTAGTGGGACACGCCATTACAACATATTGACCTTTGGGATGAAGAATGTTGTTCTTTTTTTTTTTTTTTTTTGAGATGGTGTCTCGCTCTGTTGCCCAGGCTGGAGTGCAGTGGTGCAATCTCAGCTCACTGCAAGCTCCACCTCCTGGGTTCACACCATTCTCCCACCTCAGCCTCCCGAGTAGCTGGGACTACAGGCACCCGCCACCACACCCGGCTAATTTTTTTTTTTTTTAGTAGAGACAGGGTTTCACTGTGTTAGCCAGGATGGTCTTGATCTCCTGACCTTGTGATCCGCCCACCTCGGCCTCCCAAAGTGCTGGGATTACAGGCGTGAGTGCCCGGCGAAGAGTGTTCTTAAATTATCTATTGCCTGACCTCAGGTATCAGTATTCTATCTGCTGGCTAAAACTTTCTTTAAAGACTCAGTTCAGGGTTAAATTCTACTGACCAACTTCTACTTCACTTCTTGTGAGCCTATTCCCATCTAAAACATTTAACTAGAATATTCATAGCTTTTTTTTGTACTTCTTTTTTTCTTTTACAGCACTAATGCACTTATATATTAGTGCTTTTCCAAAAGTGACACTGATTAGTGATAAGGGATATTATCCCAGCTCTGCAAAATCACTGAAACAGAGTTCAAAAACATAAAATTATGTTAATCAATTTGTTCACTTAGCAAATATTCATTTAACTTAGATTCTAGGATTAACACTGTGCCAAGGCATAAAATAAATATATAATAATGTAAGATTTGATCACTACCCTTGAAGAACTTATAGTTTAGTTGAATAAGACAATGACCGTGGTTGTCCAAGGCAAAGCTGTGGAAGTGAAGGTGTGGATGAACAGCTTAGTAGGGAAGTGAGATTTGAGTTGAATCATGCAACTTTTAAAGAGAGTACAATGAGTTTTGAATGAATTTTTCGAGTCCATGAAAAAGCATTAGCTCCTTTCAATTAGTGAATGTCAACATTTTCTTCATCTTTCTCTTGAACTGAAGAAAGAGAAGGGCATTCCTGTTGGGGTACCAAGACTGGCAGTAGATTCCAATTTGGTGATATTAATTATAATTAATGCAATTAACTCAATTGATTTATTCAGCTACCCTTGCTCTACTTTCATGATTTTCCCGTTTCTGCATATTACCTGCATTATTACTTACTTAATAATTTTCTTTAAATCCCTGTTTTGTGTTTAAGTAAACTTATTTTTTGTTATTATTATCTTAAGTAGAAACATAGTATATCTTGCTAGTAAAAAGAGATAACAACAAAGTATATACATGACTGTTTAATTTAAATTCTAAAACGTTTATCTATAAACCATTTAGAATTGTCTCACATACCACTGGTGGGGAACCCTGACCTTGCCATTCTACTGTCCCTATGGGAAGGAGCACTGAATGGTTGATGGAAGTTTATTTTTTACTTTTTATTTTTATTTTTTTGAGACGGAGTCTTGCTCTGTCGCCCAGGCTGGAGTGCAGTGGCGCGATCTCGGCTCACTGCAAGCTCCGCCTCCCGGGTTCATGCCATTCTCCTGCTTCAGCCTCCCCAGCAGCTGGGACTACAGGTGCCCACCACCACGCCTGGCTAATTTTTTTTTTTGTATTTTTAGTAGAGACGGGGTTTCACTGTGTTAGCCAGGATGATCTTGATCTCCTGACCTCATGATCTGCCTGCCTCAGCCTCCCAAAGTGCTGGGATTACAGGCATGAGCCACCGCACCCGGCCAGAAGTTTGTTTTTTAATACTGCTTGACATTTCCACACTCCTCTAATTCTACTTACCTACCATCACTCTATCTTTTACTTTGTCTTATTTTCTTCATAGCATGTTTCATTTCCTAAAATCATATTATTTATTTATTTCCTTTGCTTATCTGTTTTTTATGACTAGAATATAGATTCCATGTGGGCAAGGATTTTGTCTTGATTACCTCCATTCCCCAGGGCCTGACATATATTAGGCACTCAATTTCAGGAGTTCCATGGCAATATGGTGAGAAACTGCTGTGATGCAAAAATCTGGGTTGGACCAAATAACTCTGTTTGCTAACTTAATACTTTATTACCGGATTTTTTTTTTCTTTCATGTCTTTTATTGTTTACTATGACTTTGGGCTTTGTTTATCCAACTGGGTTCCTGGACCTTTTTACTTCTCTGAGCCTATCGATTTTCAGAACTTTGGGCTCTACTTTCTTGCATTCATTTACTTCTCTATTTATTTATTTATTTTTTGAGATGGAGTCTCGCTCTGCTGCCAGGCTGGAATGCAGTAGCGCAATCTTGGCTCGCTGCAACCCCTGCCTCCCAGGTTCAAGCGATTCTCCTGCCTCAGCCTCCCAAGAAGCTGGGACTACAGGTGTGCACCACCACGCCCAGCTAATTTTTGTATTTTTAGTAGAGAGGGGGTTTCACCATGTTGGCCAGGATGGTCTCAATCTCTTGACCTCATGATCCGCCCACCTCGGCCTCAGAAAGTGCTGGGATTACAGGCATGAGCCACTGCCCATGGCCTACTTCTTCTTTTAGAAGCCAACGACTCTCCCCAAATTTTTTCTATTTAGACTTACTTCATAAGGTACTCACTGGATTCTTCTGTTCAGTAGCCATAGCATTTGTCCAAGAAGGGTGGCTATAACAATTAAATCATCCTGGATGCTGTGCTCTAATATTTAAAAGATAAACAATGGGACAATGGCACATACATTTGTCCGTCTGTACCAAGAGTAGGCTGAGGTAAAAGCTAAGATATAACTCTCAATATTAGTTCTTAAATACTGTTTGTAGTTTTCATTGTTAAGGCAATGGATGTATAATCATTAGGAATGTCCTCTCAATTTTTGCACTTTCCTTAGGCAAATAGGTTAAGAATTTGAATAAATTTATTTTTATCATTGGTTTTCAAATGTTTTATATGATACTCATATATTGTAGACTATATCAGTCTGAATCTTTTCTTTTTCTTTTTTTTGAGACAGAATCTCACTCTGTCACCCAGGCTGGAGTGCAGTGGCATGATCTTGGCTCACTGTCACCTCTGCCTCCCAGGTTCAAGTGATTCTCCTGCCTCTGCCTTCTGAGTAGCTGGGATTACAGGTGCCCACCACCACGCCCAGCTAATTTTTGTATTTTTAGTAGAGACGGGGTTTCTCCATGTTGGCCAGGCTGGTCTCAAACTCCTAATATCAGGCAATCTGCCCACCTTAGCCTCCAAAAGTGCTGGGATTACTAGTGTGAGCCACCGCATCCATCCTCAATCAGAATCATTTAAAGAGACAATATGACCTAAATCTTATATAAAGAAATGTTGCCTAGGCGCGGTGGCTCAAACCTGTAATCCCAGCACTTTGGGAGGCCGAGGCAGGTGGATCACGAGGTCAGGAGATCGAGACCATCCTGGCTAATGCAGTGAAACCCCATGTCTACTAAAAATACAAAAAATTAGCCGGGTGTGGTGGCGGGCGCCTGTAGTCCCAGCTACTTGGGAGGCTGAGGCAGGAGAATGGCGTGAACCCAGGAGGCGGAGCTTGCAGTGAGCCGAAATTGCACTACTGCACTCCAGCCTGGGCGACAGAGCGAGACTGTCTCAAAAAAAAAAAAAAGTTATTTGGAATATTTCTGTCTAGCTTTTTACTTTTTGAAGAATTTGTCTTTTTCCTACCTCATTAGATAATGGTAAGTCAAAGGGAAGAAAGTCCGTACCTACTTCCTGTGATGAATCCAATGCTTATTCAGGCTGGTTGATCACATAAGCCATACTTCTTGGTGATAAATGACTCAGAGTCCACGATAAGGCTTACACATTTCCAATGAAATCTTTCATGTCATGGAAGAGGAAATAAGATTGCAAGTTTGAAAGTAGATGATAATGATTAGTTTGGGATGCTATTTATAATCAGTGACATAGGAAGTTAATTAGTTGTTTTCGATGGAGTGACTAAGCTGATCCCAATAGAAAACTACTGCATACGATTTTCTAAATAAAAAATATTTTTTAAAGGGCTGAGAATTTTCATGATTATGGTAAGGTTGGGAGAAAGGATGCTTAGTGTTTAAAAATGGCACAGATGTAATTACAGACCAGTCCTCTCATTTTTGTTTAGAGCAAACTTTGTATTTATCGAATGTTTTAATTAATTTGATTTGTGTTGCTTAGTTATCGATCTCAAAAGATTCAGCCACATTAATACAAAAAATCTTTTCCGTAAAGTTTGTTTGGCTCAGAAGTTCTCTCTAAACCACCATTATAAATATGTAGTTCTAAGGCGATAGGACACAGTCATTAAACCTACATATTATGGTCTATTGCTAGATTTAAAACCGTTTTTTTATTAGCCAGGCATGATGGTGCCTGTAATCTCAGCTATTTATGAGGCTGAGGCAGGAGGATCCCTTGAGCCAGGAGTTGGAGGCTGGAGTGAGCTATGATTGCACCACTGCGCTCCAGCCTACCCAGGGAGACCCTGTCTCAAAAAAACAAAACAAAACCAAAAAAACCTAAAAACCTAAACAAATCCTGTTTTATAGATTTCTCGTTTCTATCTTCCTTAAAGTGTCCTCCTTTCTGAACCTTATGGGCCTTCCTGCCCTTTGTTCCCCTCCTACTTCAATGAATGTATTCTTCCTATTTCACTAGAGGCAGGAAATCAGTCACATGGATTGTGCAATTAATGGCAATTGTGTGCTTAAGGCTAGGTGTTTCTGAAATCAGGTTTTATTTTTTATTTGAATTTTTCTTTCAGAAATAACAAGTTGTTGATAACTGACAAATTTGATCACAGACAAGGATGATTATTCTGAATTTAATTTATTTTTTATTTTTATTTATTTATTTTTTTGAGACGGAGTCTTGCTCTGTCACCCAGGCTAGAGTGCAGTGGTGCGATCTCAGCTCACTGCAACCTCTGCCTCCTGGGTTCAAGTGATTCCCCTGCCTCAGCCTCCCAAGCAGCTGGGATTACAGGCATGTGCCACCATGCCTGGCTAATTTTTGTATTTTAGTAGAGACGGGGCTTCACGATGTTGGCCAAGATGGTCTCAATCTTCTGAACTTGTGATCCACCCGCCTTGGCCTCCCAAAGTGCTGGGATTACAGGCATGAACCACTGTGCCTGGCCCTGAATTTAAGTTATTTTAATAAAATAAGTAACATACTGTAATGGAAGAAAGCTGGGCATGCATTTGTAGAAAAGGGAACTTTTCTAACTCGGTACTGATTATCAATGGTATAAAATAATGCTGTATTTTCCAAATATACAAATTATTTACTCTGTAGGAATAAGTATGAAATGTGATGGTAACTGACCCAAGCTACAAAGACACTCTTTAGTTCACTGTGGAAATATTTTATTAGTGAATACCAGTGTGGTCTGGAAGAGTTGATGTAGTTTGCAAAAGGACCTAACTTGTTCCCAGCGAGTCATTTACAAACTGGCAGGACTTGGCTGATTATGGAAAGGAATAGTCCTCTTGACAAAAGTGCAAATTGTAAGTGCTGCTGATAAAGAGGCCCAAGGTCAAGAGAATCATCTGATTCTAACAGACAAACTGTCAGGGCAGTAATCAGAAGCATCACCTAGACGGTACCCTGGAGTCAAGATAAAGCAATTTACATAGTACTTTGTGTACTTATTTTCTTTTATTCTTACCTATTAACAGGTTTAAAATGTTTAAGTGATTTGACCAGATAACTAATAATAGTATTTAAATATCGACATCCTATAATGTGCCAGACACTATGCTGCCTGCTTTACATGCATTATCCGACTTGATTCTTACAGAAGCCCTTGAAAAGTGCTTTTATTATTGCCATTTTTAAAAGGAGGAAACTAAATCTGGGAGAGAGGTTCCAAAACATGTCCATGGTAGCACAGCAGGGATGTGATAGAGTCAAGACTAAAGCTTGGGTGTGCCCACTTCAGAGGCTAAGATATTGGTCCCCCAGTACTGCTAAGGCACGTCTTCAAGTTTAGTTCAAGTACACAGTTCTTTCTCTCCACTTGCCCTCCGCTCCTACATTTCCTCCAATAGACAAGTAGGTCTTCAGCATTTTGGGGTTCTGCCTTTTTTTTGAGACCGAGTCTCGCTCTGTCGCCCAGGCTGGAGTGCTGTGGCGCGATCTCAGCTCAAGGCAACCTCCGCCTCCTGGGTTCAAGCAATTCTCCTGCCTCAGCCTCCCAAGTATTACAGGTGTGTGCCACTATGCCCAGTTAATTTTTGTATTTTTAATAGAGATGGGGTTTCCCCACGTTGGCCAGGCTTGTCTCGAACTCCTGACCTCAAGTGATCCACCCACCTCGCCCTCCCAAAGTGCAGGGATTACAGGCGTAAGCCACTGCACCCGGCCTGGGGTTCTGCCATTTTTAAAAATTGTGTGTTTGTGTGTGTTCTGTAATAGACTGCATTATTTAGCACCATTTTATTTGTACAGAAAATTGAGCAGAAGGTGCAATTTTCGTATACATTTCCCCTTTCTCCCCACCCTCAGTTTCCCCTATTATTAACATCTTGCATTAGTGTGGTACACCTGTTACAATGGATGAGCCAGTACTATACATTATTATTAGCTGAAGTCCATAGTTTGCATTAGGGCTCACTAATGTTCTAAACACACAGGAGTTTTGTCAAGTATTTAATGTCGCAGATCCACTATTACAAAATTATACAAAACAGTTTTACTGTCCTAAAAATCCCTTTTACTCCACCTATTATCTCTCCCTCTCTCCTCCCAAGGCCCTGGCAACCACTGATCTTTTTACCATCTCTATAGTTTTGCCTTCTCCAGAATGTTATATTATTAGAATCATACAGGATGTAGCCTTTTCAGACTGGCTTCTTTCACTTAGCAACATGCATCACTTCATGTCTTTTTTGGCTTGCTAGCTCATTAAAAAAAAATAGATGAATGATATTCCTTTGTATGGATGTACTACAGCTTTTTAAAAAAGTCTCTTCATCTACTGAAGGACACTTTGGTTGCCTTAAAAATTGGCAATTATGAATAAAACTAGTATAAACCTTTGTATGTGGGTTTTTGTATGGACATAAGTTTTCAACTACTTTGATTAAATACCCAGGAGCATAATATCTGTATCGTATAGTAAGAATATGTTTAGGTTTGTGAGAAATTGTACCATTTGCATTCCCACCAGCAATGAATGAGAATTCATATTACTCCACATCCTCACCAGATCTTGGTGTCGGTGTATAGTGGTATCTCATTGTTGTTTTAATTTGCAGTTTCTTAATGATACATGAAGTTGAGCATGTTTTCATATGTGTGTCATTTGTATATCACCATTGGTGAGGTGTCTATTTAGATCTTTTGCCCATTTGTGTTGTTCATTTTCTTATTGTTTAGGTTTTTTTTGTTGTTTTTTTTTTTGGTTTTTTTTTTGAGACGGAGTCTTGCTCTTGTCGCCCAGGCTGGAGTGCAATGGCACAATCTTGGTTCACTGCAACCTTTGCCTCCCGGGTTCAAGTGATTCTCCTGCCTCAGCCTCCCGAGTAGCTGGGATTACAGGCACCCGCCACCACACCCAGCAAATTTTTGTATTTTTAGTAGAGACGAGGTTTCACCATGTTGGTCAGGTTGGTCTCGAACTCCTGACCTCGTGATCCACACCCCTTGGCCTCCCAAAGTGCTGGGATTACAGGCGTGAGCCACCACAACTGGCCTCCTATTGTATAGTTTTAAGGGTTTTTTGCATATTTTAAGTAACAGTGCTTATATGTCTTTTGCGAATATTTTCTCCTAGATTTCTGTGTTTTTTAGTAGTCAGTGATTCAACTTACCTGTGTTCTAAATTCTGAGAAAGTAAAAGGACTAATTCATGAGGTCATAACAAATGGAAGCATCAGTTATTAATTCATCATTTTAAGAGAAATGAACAGCCAATATAGATAGCAAAATAATGTTATTTCTAGCACGATGTTTTTCAAAGTAAATTTCACAAAACATTAGTTCTGTGAAGATTTGAAAGTTACCTGGTGTAAAATAAGTTTGTGAAGAGTCAGATTAAAAATAACTGAACCGGCTTCTTTGCTGTGGGTCTTCTTAGAGCCTTCATGCTGATGTTCATTATGATGGGGGAGGGTGAGAGTACACCTCTTTTTCCAAAGTTGTTTAACTACAGAACTCTTATTTAAGGTGTGTCAAAGAGCAATGAACATCTGTTTGGACAAGGCACCTTGAATCTTGTGAGTCCTATCAATAGGCTCCTGAAAAGTAAGATGGCAAAGGTAAAGTGAGTTTATAGGGTCTTGCTCTGAACCCCTCTTTTCCTCCACCCTTCTTGCCCTATACTATTTTTATTCAGCAACTTTTTTTTGAAAGTTTATTATGGAGAAGGCTTGGCATTAAGTCCTTTAAGTGATATAACAATGAAAAATGCTCAGTTTTGCTGTTTCTAGAGATAACCAGATCCAAACTTTTCTTGTACTAGGATTATACCAATTACAATAACATACAAGCAGGATTTGACAAATAGGATTAATCATTCATTTAGTCACCCGTTATTTATTGATTAGCTCCCACATGCCAGACTCTGTATGGGCATTGGAGATAGAACGGTGACCAAGATGTCCATTTTAACATCATAGAGTTTACAGTCTAGGGAAGGCTAAGAGACAATAAACAAGAAAACAAATAAATAAGCAAGATAATCTCATACAGTGTTAGCAGTGAAGAAGGAGGAAGAGGAGAAGACAGATAAACAGGGTGACAGAGATGGCAGTGCTTGGCAATGTTTTTCTATTAAAGCCACATAGTAAATATTTTAGGCTTTACAAGCCATAGAGTCTCTGTCACAACTATTCAACCCATAGTTGCAACATGAATGCAGCCACAGACAGTGTGTAAACAAAAGGGTATGGCTGTGCTCCAATAAAACTTTATTTACACAAAGAGTCCAGGGACAGATTTCACTTGCTGGCTCTAGTTTGCTGACTATGGGGATAGATAATGATTTGATGGGAGTTGGGATTACTTTAGATTGAGTTTCAAGAAAAACTCTTTAAGAGCAGGTACAGGCCGGGTGCGGCGGCTCATGCCTGTAATCCCAGCACTTTGGGAGGCCGAGGCGGGCAGATCACCTGAGATCGGGAGTTCGAGACCAGCCTGACCAACATGGAGAAACCCCGTCTCTACTAAAAATACAAAATTAGCTGGGTGTGGTGGCATATGCTTGTAATCCCAGCTACTAGGGAGGCTGAGGCAGGAGAATCGCTTGAATCTGGGAGGCGGAGGTTGCAGTGAGCGGAGATCACGCCATTGCACTCTAGCCTGGGCAACAAAAGCGAAGCTCCGTCTCAAAAAAAAAAAAAAAAAAAAAAAAAAAAAAAAGCAGGTACCATTTGAGCTGAGATCATAATTATAAGAAGGAAGCAGCCATAGAAATGTTCTGGAGGATGAATTCTATTAGAGAAACTATTAGGTTGGTGCAAACATGATTGTAGTTTTTGAGCGTCTTTTCATATGCTTGTCATTTTGTATATCACCTTTGGTGAGGTGTCTGTTCAGATCTTTTGCCCATTTGTGTTGTTCATTTTCTTATTGTTAATTTTAAGGGGTTTTTTTCGCATATTTTGAGAAACTTTACAGTGCTTTACAGATAAGTCTTTTGCAAATATTTTCTCCTAGAGTTCTGTGTTTTTTAATAGTCAGTGATTCAACTTACCTGTGTTCTAAATTCTGTGAAAATAAAAGGACTAATTCAGGAGGTCATAACAAATGGAAGCACCAGTTATTGAGTCATCATTTCGAGAGTAATGAACGCCAATATAGATAGCAAAATGTTATTTCTTTTTTTTTTTTTTTTTTTTTGAGACGGAGTCTTGCTCCGCCAGGCTGGAGTGCAGTGGCGCGATCTTGACTCACTGCGAGCTCCGCCTCCCAGGTTCACATCATTTTCCTTCCTCAGCCTCCCAAGCAGCTGGGACTACAGGCGCCTGCCACCATGCCTGGCTAATTTTTTGTATTTTTAGTGGAGATGGGGTTTCACCGTGTTAGCCAGAATGGTCTCGATCTCCTGACCTCGTGATCCACCTACCTCGGCCTCCCAAAGTGCTGGGATTACAGGCGTGAGCCACCGCGCCCGGCCCCAGTAATGTTATTTCTACATTACTTTTAAAACCAATGGCATTACTTTTAAATGGCAAACAGCCCAATTACGTTTGCCCCAACCTGATAGCAACTGCAAAAATCTTGTGAGAAGAACAAGCTTGACCTGGTCAAATATCAGCAAGAAAGCCTTGAACCTAGATCACAGTGAGCAAGGTGGCATCTGCAAAATGAGAATGTGAAGAAATAGGCAGGGCCCAACACATGCTAATTTGGATTTTAGTCTAACTTCAATATGAAGCCGTTGCAGGTTTTTATGAAAGGGGCTAAGAAACCTGAATGCCATTTTAAAAAGATGACTGCCTGTTAGGTAAAGAAGGGAAGGAAGAATGGAAGCAGTTAGGACACTGTCGTAATGAACCAGAATAGAGGAACTATGAGCATGGGCTAGGGTTGTTGTTGTGAACATGGGAAGTTGTGAATAGATTCGGAATAGGAAGTGGAAGCAAAACCAGTGGGAGAATGAAAATTAGATGTGAGCAGTGAAGGAAACGTTGAATCAAAGATGACTCTGAGGGACTTGAACAACTGGGTAGATGGAGATGTTATTTAGAGAGATGGCAAATCTTAGGGTGGAGCTTATCTTGGGAGTGAAAAATCAAGAGCTCTATTTTGGAGGGATGTTGAGTTTGAGAGATCTTTTAGACATCTGAGTGGAGATACTATGCAATCAGTCATTTGGTTATATAAGTTTGGAGTTCATTAGAAGGTAAAGTTCAAGAATCAGCTGTAAGGGCCAGGCGCCGTGGCTCACATCTGTAATCCTAGCACTTTGGGAGGCCGAGGTGGGCAGATCACCTGAGGCCAGGAGTTCAAGACCAGCCTGGTCAACAAGGTGAAAGCCATCTCTATTAAAAATACAAAAATTAGCGAGGCATGGTGATGCATGCCTCTAATCCCAGCTACTCGGAAGGCTGAGGCAGCAGAATCTCTTGAGCCCAGGAGGCGGACGTTGCAGTGAGCCGAAATCGTGCCATTGCACTCCAGCCTGGGTAAAAAGAGTGAAACTGCTTCTCACAAAAAAAAAAAAAAAAAAGAAGGAAAGAAAGGAAAGAATCATCTATTTGGAAAGACGCAAGACTGAAAGAGACCAGTTGAGGAGGGAATTTCTTTATTATAACACTTACCATATTCTGGTATAGTTATCTCTTTCTTTACTGATTTACATTGTAGCTTGTGAGTACCTGAGGGGCAGAATAAGGATCTTACTCAGTTTGTTCTTCCTATACCTAGTACAGTGTCTACCAGTTAGGAAGTTTTAAATAAATATCTGTTGAATTTTTTAAGACTACTGACTCCATATTCTTAGCTCTCTTTTACTCCTGTGGCCTCATTATTTATTTCCATTTGACAAATAAAATGGATAAAAACTACAAGGTGAGAAAAAGGACCCCTAGTTAAAGGCACTTGAACATTTTACCTTTTCGCCTTGGCTGAACACAGAGGCTGGAATGGAACATGCACAGTTAGCCAGAGTGTCATAGTCACCTTAATGATCCACACAGCTAGTGGTATAATTTATTAGCCTGCTGGGAACATTATTGATCATGGAGATGACCAAAATAATTGAAGCAGCCAAATTGTGGTTCTGTGCCCATTTGAAAAGTGATCTTGTAATTTGGTGATTTTTCTTTGTTTCCAAATTGCAGTGTTGGAAAAGGTCTTAGAGATTATCTGGCACAATATTATTATTTTATAGTTCAGAGAAGTTAAGTGCCTTGATCCAGGACACATGGCTACTGGTGGAAACACTGGTCCCAAGGCTCCTAATCCCTTATCCTTTCAACAACACTCTAGTGTGGGAGAGTAATGTGAGCAGGAAATAGCTTCTGTTTTTATATATCATTATATGTCACTGAATTTTTTTTTTTTTCTGTAGCAGCAAAGTAACCTAGCTCAGGCTGCTTGATCCTGTGTATGAATAGCTTTATAAATAAAGTTCTGTACACATGTAGATCCCTTTGTAGGAAAGAGGTGACAGTAGCACTCAAACTTCTTTCCATATGATCAGTTGTTGGCTGTCCACTATTTCAGAGATTCCTAGGGTAAGAGTGTGTGTGTGAGTGTGGGTGTATATGTATGTATTATTGTTGTCATTGTGTTATATTTATTTATTTATTTATTTTGAGATGGAGTTTCACTCTCCTTGCCCAGGCTGCAGTGCAATGGCACAATCTCGGCTCACTGCAAACTCCACCTCCCGGGTCCAAGAGATTCCCCTGCCTCAGCCTCCCAAGTAGCTGGGATTACAGGCATGCGCCACCATGCCTGGTTAATTTTGTATTTTAGTAGAGACAGGGTTTCTCTATGTTGGTCAGGCTGGTCTCGAACTCCTGACCTCAGGTGATCCGCCCACCTCGACCTCCCAAAGTGCTGGGATTACAGGCGTGAGCCACCGCACCTGGCCATTGTGTTATATTTAAATTTTATGAATATTATATATCTTTCCTGAGAGTTAGGGCTCTTGTCTGGGGAATTTGTGGTCTGAAAATCTATTTTCTTGGAGAGTAGTTGATATAATCAAGGAAAATAGAGCTAGAAATCTCAATTACAAATTATTTTTTTGTGTGACAGAGTTTTACCCAGGCTGGAGTGGAATGGCATGATCTCTGCTCAACTCTGCCTCCCAGGTTCAAGTGATTCTTGTGCTTCATTCTCCTAGTAGCTGGGACTACTGGCGTGCGCCACCACACCCAGCTAATTTTTGTATTTCTGGTAGAGACAGGGTTTTACCATGTTGGCCAGGCTGGTTTCGAACTCCTGGCCTCAAGTGATCCACCCACCTCGGCCTCCCAAAATGCTGGGATTACAGGCGTGAGCCACCACGCCCGGCTTCAGCTACCAATTCTAAATTATGAACCATATGTTGGGTTAGCAAAAACAGAGTAGATGGAATTATTCAACAACCTTTTATTTCTTCACCTTTTTTTTTTTTTAAGAGTTGGGGTCTTGCTGTATTGGGCAGGCTGGAGCGCAGTGGCTATTCACCAATGTGATTATATGCACAGCCTTAAAATTCTGGGATCAAGAGATCTTTTTGTTTCAGCCTTCCCTGTAACTGGGACTACTGGTGTGCCCACTGTACTCAGATCTCATTTTCCTTTTTGATGATTAAAGGTAATATATATGAATCTTAACCCACTGAAAAAATTTAATTTAAAAACTTAAAGGTGGCTTTCGCAAAATAGAAGGAAAACTGACAGTATTTGAATGGAACTTTCAGCTAGTAAGCTGATCCATCTTATCTACATCCCTTACCTCAAAGCTCTTAGGTGTAGACCTAAGTGTGCAAAGGGCGGCCAGAGAGCTGGCTTATACCATCAAAGTGGTTGAACCTGGATCCAACCAGGGAAAGACCTGTTCTAATTCAGATCCTGTTCTCAAGATGCAATAGAAATGGTGTCTGATGACAGTGGTTGGACCAACATCCAGTGTCCAGCTGGACACCTTTTCTACCAAATCAGGTCTGCAGGAAACAGACACTTGGACAAAAGGTAGGATTTTATTGTTGTATGTTCTTAGGCTTCCCAGAAACAATGGCATTTTCTGAAAAGCTTAGTAACACTTTTGGAAGTTCCAGTAATTATTTCAGACTCTGTAGACTCTGCTAACAATATTGCAGACTTTGGAAATGTCCCAGAAGCTATATGTTAAGCAGAAACCCTCTTTGCACCTTATGATTCATATTAACTATTCCCCTTTCTGAATTCTACAGGCACTTCTCTATCCCCTTCTACTCATCCTCCTCCCATGGGCTGCATGTCCATTATTTTCTTCTCTGTTTCATCCTGCAAATTTGAATTTCAAAATTCTCCTACTTTCATGATTAATTCCCCCTAAAAAAGTTAAATCCATGTTTACCTTATAACACAGCAATTCCACTTTTCGGTATTTACTCAATGGAAATGAACACATATATCTACAAAAAGACTTGTACAAGAATGTTCACAGTAGCTTTGCTCATAATAGCAAGTTTGAAAACTGCAAATAACCGAGATGTCCATCAACATAATCTGGATAAACAGGCTATGGTATATTCATACAATGGAATACTACTCAACAAAAAAAGGGAACCAACAACTGGTCTTCAGAAGACATGGATATATTGTGTTGCATGAAAGATGTCAGAAGCAAGATGCCTATGAAATATATGTATTTATATAAAATTGAAGGACATAGGCAATGCTAATCTGTGGTGACAAATATCAGTAGTACAGTGATGGCCTTTGGCCAGGAGGGGCCATGGAGATTGACTGGAAAGGGCTGGAGGAAGCTCTATGGGATGATGGAAATGTTTTGTGACTTGACAGCAGTGTGTGCTATATGAGTGTTTGCACTCGGGAAAACATCAAACTGTAACATTTAAGATCTGTGCATTTCACTGCATGTAAATTAAAACTCAATTTAAAATAAAAACATGAAAGGAAGCACATTCTTTTTCTAGCCCTCAGTTTTGCTTATTTCCTATCACTTAGGCATTATGCTTTTATAATACAATCACCTCCCCTCAAACTTACTGTCAGAAAGACAATGTAGTATCTGTCCATTACACATCTTTGTGTTTATTTAGATCAATGGTTTACATCTCCCAGTTTTCAAGTCTAGCAGTAGGCTTAAAGTACTGTGTTTGTTTTCAGTTTAAAGTATTCTAGACATTAGACAGAAGACAAGAAGTCTATTTCAAGGAATTGCCGAGCTCCTTCTAGTGCTTCTAATATCACGGCCAGTGCTTTAGTCACCTATGAAAGTTATTCCTGATACGTATGTATTTACTTACTTATTTATTTGAGAGAGTGTCTTGCTCTGTTGCCCAGGCTGGAGTGCAATGGTGTGATCATAGCTCACTACAGCCTCAAACTCCTGGGCTCAAGAGATCCTCCCACCTCAACATCCTGAGTAACTGGGACTAGAGGCGTGCACCACCACACTCGGCTAATTTTTAAATTTTTAATAGAGACGACGTCTCACTATGTTGCTGAGGCTAGTCTCAAGCTCTTAGGCTCAAGCCGTCCTCCTGTCTCAGCCTTCCAAAGTTCTGGGATTACAAGTATGAGCCATTGCGCCCAGCTTGTAGTTATTTTTTTTTTGAGACGGCTTTCTGCCTTTCTTTTCCATCTTCTCTCACTCACTTCTACATGCAGGATTGTGTGGGTGTGTATGTAAACACATATAATCTTTTTTAAAAATTCATCTCAGAAATATCTGAGTCTCTTTCTCTCATGGAATTTTCTTTTTCTTTCTTTTTTTTTTTTTTTTTGAGATGGAGTCTTGCTCTGTCACCCAGGCTGGAGTGCAGTGTGGTGATCTTGGCTCACTGCAAGCTCCGCCTCCCAGGTTCACGTCATTCTCCTGCCTCAGCCTCCCGAGTAGCTGGGACTACAGGTGCCCACCACCACGCCCGGCTAATTTTTTCTTGTATTTTTAGTAGATACGGGGTTTCACTGTTTTAGGCAGGATGGTCTCTAACTCCTGACCTTGTGATCCGCCCACCTATGCCTCCCAAAGTGCTGGGATCACAGGCATGAGCCACCGCACCCAGTGGAATTTTCAAGCTAATTTAATATTTCCCTTGACATGTCTCTCTCCCCCACTAAACTTGGGGCTCTCTTACAGGTGGTAAGTATCTAATTCATTTTGCTTTCCTAGTGCCCAGCACAGAATGTGCACAAATACAGACATGCAATAATGATCATTGAATAAATTAACAAATGACCCTTTTTTTTCTTATGTGTCTGATGAAGTGAAAAAGAACTATACTGAGAGGCAAGAACTTTTGACTAAGTGTTGTTTGCAGTTATAACTGTCCCCTCAAATCCACCACTCTTCTCTGTACTCCTATCTTTACTTCCTTCTATCACTATTTTATAGCAACACCAGGGTAGTATAAGTGTTCCTACAACTTCATACTATAGAAGTCTTTGGGAAAAAAAATGACATTATAATGACATTACAAAATGAAAGCAATTTGTGCCAAAAAAGGGATTACAGAGTTTTGCACCTTGAACTTTTACTTTATTGAAGTCAATGTTTTTTTCAACAGGCTTCCCAAAACAAAGAATGTTCAGATTGGACTGGCCTTAAAATGCAGTATTTAAAACAGCAACATGTCTGACAGATCCGAGAAATGAAATACGTCCATTTCTTTTGGCAAGGAGCAGAAGGCAACATAAAGCAGCTGCAAGAATTAATTCATGGAGATAGTTGACATTTTCGAGCTGACTGCCTCTTAGAGAAAATGATGTCATTCTCCAGCAGCCTAATGACAGTCATCAGCCTGAGAGGACACATGCTAATAAGGTTCATTGCTCACCTAGTTTTCTTCCTTTTTGTCTAGCCAGAGTGTCCTTGGATGCCCATAATTTGGCATTGTGCTCCTAGAATCATTTTTAAGAGAGACTAGAGTATGAAACTTAGGAAATAGTGCTTTTTTTTTTCCTAATCAGAAAATTGGATTAATGTTTCTAACTTCTTCCAGTAACTCAAAGTCATGCTCCCAGTTTATTCATAAGTATCCAAATTATTTATTTTATTTTTTTTTGAGACGGAATTTCACTCTTTTTGCCCAGGCTGGAGTGCAATGACGCGATATCGGCTCACCACAACCTCCGCCTCCCAGGTTCAAGCAATTCTCCTGCCTCAGCCTCCTGAGTAGCTGGGATTACAGGCATATACCACCACCCCGGCTAATTTTGTATTTTTAGTAGAGACGGGGTTTCTCTATGTTGGCTGTCTTGAACTCCCGACCTCAGGTGATCCACCCGCCTCGGCCTCCCAAAGTGCTGGGATTACAGGCATGAGCCACCGTGCCCAGCATAGGTATCCAAATTCTAATTGAACTTTCTAAGGTGTTGGATCCATTGTTTAAATTGTGAAAGACCATTGATTCAAGATGCTGAGACAGCTCCGATGATGAAAAACTATGATGCAGTAAAAATCTAAAATTGCGTTCTCAACCACAAAGAACATTGAGTCTGAAATGTCTAGAATACTCAGTATAGGTATCCTGGAGTTGACTTTACTCCTGGACAAAATTATGACTTTCAAAGGAGTTTTAAGATAAATTTTCATCTTTATCCAAATATGCAAAAGGGAACAAGCAATATCAGCTTAAAGGAAAGAAAGAGCAATATCAGCTCACCCACACCTTTAGACCATGGCTTTTGATGCTACTGTCAGAACTCATCTCAAGAAGCAAAACACCTGTTACATTTCCCAAGCCTTTCTGTTTTTGTCTCTCCCCTAATAGACTATCACCAGCAAAGAATTTTCTGAGCAAATGTGTACTGGAGACCTTCTGAGGAACCCACTAGAGCCTGCACATCCCCTTTTCCTAGCAAGGTCAACTGGAAAACAGGTAAAATGTGTGGGCTAGCAAACAAATAAAGGAGGCGAGCCGTGGATTTTGGAAGAAATTGATATGTTGCAAGCATAGAAGACCTGTAATTCAGAATGGTATTTATGGCTAAGGAGTTTCACCTTGTCCTAGCTTTGGCCACCTACTCTTGATGGAAATGAACTTCTGGAAAAAGAAACTCATACTACTGGATTTGGAGGAAGAGAACTAGAGTTTCAGCTCTGATTTTGATCATCTAATGCTTGATTATTAGATGGTTAGACCCAACTGATAGTAGAAAAACAATTTTCTTTCTTTCTTTCTTTCTTTTTTTTTTGAGATGGAGTCTAGCTCTGTTGCCCAGGCTAGAGTACAGTGGCATGATCTTGGCTGACTGCAACCTCTGCCTCATGGGTTCAAGCTGTTCTCCTGTCTCAGCCTCCCATGTAGCTAGGATTACAGGCACCCAACACCATGCCAATTTTTTCCGTTTAGTAAAGACAGGGTTTCATGGTGTTGGCCAGGCTGCTCTTGAACTTCTGACCTGGTGATCCGCCTGCCTTGGCCTCCCAAAATGCTGGGATTACAAGTATGAGCCACCGCGCTCAGCAGAAAAACAATTTTCTTAGCAGCTCAAGTGCTCTAATTGGTCCAAGGGTTTTCTACACCAGAGGGCAGAGCAGTCAGGTTACCAAATCAAGAATCAATGGTGTTTTGTTGATATTATAATGAAAAAGTAGATACAAGTTGAATCTGCAGAAGGACTGATTTTAAAAAATTAATAAATTAGATCATCTATAACCTTGGGATAAAATGTCTGATGTCCTGATGTATGTGGAATTAATTCAGTTAATGCTTATTTAGCACTGACTCTGTAAAAGTTCTCTTCAAGGCTCTGGGCAAAGGACAAAATAAGAGATACTGCTCTTACCTTCAAGGTCATTCAATCCAAATGGTATATTAGCCTGTGTACACAAATTACTTTCATTTTGTAAGGCACAAGTCACGTACACTTAACCCTCACAATAGTCCTGCTAGTTGGGTATTATTATTATTTATATAATTTTGCCTTTGTGTAAGCCTTTTCTTTTGTCCATGGCTGTTTGTTGTTTATAAAATGAGTATGTTAGATTAATACAAATAATAGTTAACATTTATTAATTACTTACTGTTTGCCAACTGTTTTGAAAGTATTAGCTAATTTAAGCCTTATAACAACCCTGTTATATCTATCTTTCAGAAATTCAGCAAGGTTAAGTGACTTGCCCAAAATCAGAGCTGAAACTCTATTTCTCTTCCTCCAAATCCAGTGTTCTTTCCAAGATAACGTGCAACTTTCCTTTGGAATGATCAGCAGAATGTCAAATAAGGAAAGGACATGTAGAGTTCATGGGAGGAGACATTACTTCTGGCTGCAGAATTATGGAGGCTTTATGGGAGACGCCGTATATTTTATCTGTGCGCCTTGATCACGTGTCTGACCATGGACAGAGAAACCAGCCTAATGAGCCTTCTTTACAGGTGACCCTCTAGCCCTTGGTGAACATCTTGTTTTTATTCTTTCTTAATTCCAACACTTATTCTTGACAACTTTACAAATGAACAAATCTTATTTACTAAATTGTTGATGTAGTTTTTGTCTAACACAGGGCTGATTTTACCCTTGAGAGACGGACACAAGGCTTCATTTAGGGGAGGATTAGGTTTGATGTTTATTCACTGCACGAGGCAGATTGGTTTTAGAGACATGGGTTACAGTCTTGGCTTTTCCTGTTACTGCTTTTGGGTCTTTAGATGAACATTTTGCTTTCTCTAGACTCCTTCTTTATATATAAAACAACTACATCTTTGGACCTATAATAACTGTTGGTGGTCTCCAATGAGACAAGGATATGAGGGTGCTTTGTGAATGGCTACCCAAATGTAAAATATTATTATTATTATTATCATTCAGTATTATAAAATATTGATAAAAATATTGTCTAGATTTTTCAGACATCTTAGAAGTCTTCTTTTTCTTCAGGGAAAAAGAGAACCCTAAATATCAATTATAATCAGAATTTCACAGCAAGTAAAAATACCTGTGTGTTAATGAAATTAATCCTTAATGAACCAGATGACAATGACTATTTGATATCTGACCTTAATTTTTTAAACCAGGCATCAAAACACTTAGAAGTGGGTAGGCAGGGTGAGTACAGAAGAGGAGTGGTGGAATTCCCTTTACTGTAGGTTAGTTGGAAAGAGAGAATCAAGATTCATATGACTCTCAGGCAAAAAGAGTGGGAAGAGATAGACTGAAATCTCCATATTCACAGGTAAGAACAGACATTTCTTGGCCCAAATGATAAAGCAATGTTCAGCTCTTCTAGTCAAGTCGCCCATACTGTGGAATTCCAAGGAAACAGTCTTCACTCCTGTTAAGTGATATTCCTGGCCATTGTCAATGCGCAAGTCCCACAACAAGGCAGAGACATTCATGCTCTTCATTAACATTCCCCTAAGGTCTCAGTTTGCATCTCTCTATCCATCTCCTAGCTCTGAAAGGAAGTTTCCTGGGAAACCTTTTCTATGAATGGAATGGATGAGGTTTGTCCCATGAGGGAAGAATTAAAAAAAAAAAAAACAAAAAACACACAGACACACACAACAACAACACAGTACAACAAAAAAACTTCTTTCCCACTGCAGCCAGGAGCAGATTACGCCTATCTTTTTTCAAGGACAGGTGGAAATTCTGACCATGTGGTATTCAGTCATACTAGGAATGTTGCTCTCTCAATTTAACAGGAGAGCTTCCTTTCTTACTGATTAAAAAAGTCAAAAGGGGTTTAAAATTGCTTAGGTAAAAAGAACTATGGTTGAGTTTTCTCAGCCACAGATAAACATTGGCTCTTTCTGATCTGCTCTGTTGTCAGCTATGTAATGACTCAGTTTGTGCATTGTTCTCCTTGTTCAGAACAGAAGGGAGAGTAAACCTTATCCACAGGCTCCTGTTACAAGTAGACCTTCCCCTTCCATCAGAGGTGGGCTTTGTGCGACACAGTCAGGACATTCACAAATTAAAAGATGAAGAACAGCCCACATTTTCACCAGCTATTGATATTCCCTATCCCAGTAAACCATGGGTTTTCGTCTGAGTATTTTTTTCCAACTTAAAGAGAGAGAGAGAAAGAGAGAATATGTAGGCTAACCAGCTCTATTGCTAACAAAAGAAATAGTTAAGAGAGGAAAACAACCAGGGATGAAAATCAGGCTTTTATTTGAATCTTCTTGCTTCTTTTCAGCACCAGCTTCCTGGCTAACTTGAGCATCCTATTCCTGAGCTGGTTGAAATATGCCTTTTTTAAAAAAACAACTTTAATGAGATATAATTTACATACCATAAAATTCATCTGTTTAAAGTATGGGACTCAATGGACCCAGTGGTTTTTAGTATATTTATAGATTTGTTCAACCATTACCATAATCAATTTTATAACATTTTCATCAATCCAAAAGGAAGCCCAGTACCCATTTGCTGACACTCCCCATTCTCCCCACTCCACCACCAGCCCTAAGCAGCCACGAATCTACCTTCTGTCTCTAGAGATTTGTCTATTGGATCTTTCATACAGAAGCATGCAATAATGTGATTTGTTTGTTTGTTTTGTTTTTCTCATGTTTTTTATTTCTTTATTTTTTTTATTATACTTTAAGTTTTAAGGTACATGTGCACACGTGCAGGTTAGTTACATATGTATACATGTGCCATGTTGGTGTGCTGCACCCATTAACTCGTCATTTAACATTAGGTATATCTCCTAATGCTATCCCTCCCCCCTCCCCCCACCGCACAACAGGCCCCGGTGTGTGATGTTCCCCTTCCTGTGTCCATGTGTTCTCATTGTTCAGTTCCCACCTATGAGTGAGAACATGCGGTGTTTGGTTTTTTGTCCTTTAGATAGTTTGCTAAGAATGATGGTTTCCAGCTTAAATGTGATCTTTTATGACTGGTTTCTTTCACACAGAATAATGTTTTCAAGGTTCATCCAGGCTGTAGCAGCACTTCATTTCTTTGTATTGCCAAATACTATTCCATTGTGTGACTATAACACATTTTATGTACCCTTTCATCTTTTGATTGACATTTGGGTTGTTCCCACTTTTTGACACTTATGAATAATGATGTTGTGAATATTCGTGTATAAACTTTTGTGTGGACATATATTTTCATTTCTCTTTGGTATTGACCTAATAGTGGGATTGCAAGGTTGTGTGTTTAACACTATGTTAAATATTTTTAGGAAGCCCCAAGCTGTTTTCCAAAGTGGTTGTACCATTTTACATTCTCACCAGCAATGTACCAGGGTAAGACTTATTTGCAATTTTCTCCTGCTTATAGAATTCTAAAGCTATGTAAAAGGTTAGAAATGTAACAGGTGGGTCATTTTGATACTTATTTAGAAAGCCTACTTTTTCTTTCCAAACTACAAACATTTCTGTTGTCTAATGAGCAGATGCTACCAGCTAATGAAGCAGGAATACTAATTTCTTATTTGATTCATAATAATATTCAGTAATTACAGAGGAATCTTTACTTATCTAGCTTTCTGTGTATATGTGTTCTACAGTACTAATTTTTCTTTCTTTTCTTTTAAAAATTCACCTTCCTTACTGCTTTGTTATTTAATGATTTGTTCTGATTATAGACCATTAATGCCTGTTTAAAAAAAAAGTCCACATGTGCATTTCAATACCTCTTTTATTTTATACTGATTCAAAGCAATTCAATTCTTCATTCCTAAAAACATTTAGGCTGAGGCATAAAATAGCCAATTTAAACGAAGTAACATTTAGTCTTTGAAATTGCCGTATATGTATTCTTCATTTATGCCTACCTGAAAATGTCAGGTATGAAATGAATTTTAGTGACTCAATTGTTATTCTATAGGCAAATCCTTATCTTATAAACATACTAGATAACTTTATAAGATAAATCTGTTTCTAAGACAAAATTTGTCCATAATTCTGAATTTCTTTCTTTCTTTATTTACTTAATGAAAAGGATGTTTCATGAACCTTCTAATTCTTTCCTACTGTGGATGTTAGTTGGCATTTTGTATTGAATTTCAACATTTGAGAATAAGTCATGGGTCCAGCTAATCTGCATAGACCAATTTGGAGCAGCATCCTTAATGAGTGGTGAACTTTCTCTGTTCTCCAGACAATATCAACTCTGCCACTTGAAACCAAGGCTTCTAATGACATGAACTGAAGGAAAAGTCTTGATTTCAGATTTTTGTTTGGCCTGTTTCATCTCCATTTGCCGACCCTGGATTACGCAGATAGTGCACTGCTTTTAGTAATCTAGGCCCTTGTGCCAGACCTTGACTGTCATACTGCATTATAACTGATGGTTCAAATGCTTCTTTTACATAAGGAGTATTTTCTTCCCAGAGATACCTCTAAGATATTCATGGCTAACTAAAAATACTCCTGAATGCTGTTCTCAAGTAGAGTTTCAAGGTCAACATGAAAATTGTTATCACTCTCTTATGTGACATAAAAAAATCTGTTTTATCTTTGTAACAATGCTTTCATTAAAAAAAAAAAAAAGCTTTGCAATTCCTCTGCTACACTAGTGTTTTCTCAGATACCAAACAGGCTATGCCTTGATGGCAAGAAGAACAAGTTATGATTATTTATATGCCAGTGTGCACTTGTTTCCATCTAGAGTTATAAACAATTAGTTTATGATAATCAATTGTGACAGCAAAAAGGATTTCTACTCCACTAGCTTATATTTCTAATAACAGAGAAACAGAAGTAATTTTGATAATGTCTTACGTGTCCAGTGAAGTAATTTCCCTGTTACTGGCTTTTAGCAAGAATTTATAATTAAATCAGAGAGAAAAAAACACTGGCAGCCAACATTGTGTCACATTTATTTCAAGTGTAATGTCAAAAATTTCATGGATGGTCACTTGGACATTGAAAGAGCAAAAAGATTAGAGAGCAGAATGGGATGATGAGAGGTTCTGTTCATTTTCCTGCCTTCCCAAAGTAAGAAGGGCAAATCAAGTATAAATAAAACTATTGCCTTAATGAGGCTCTTGAGTTTCTGCCTAAACCAACAACGGGAATAATGGAAATCCGCCCCAAAAGTAATTCTTTTATATCTGTTATTTAAAAGAAGTTGTCTACACACACACACACACACACACACACACACACATTCACTCATTAAGAATTTGAAAAAAATATTTATCTACCTCCTTCTTTCCTATGTCTGCATATGCATTTTTCTTTTGAAAAAGGCTGTAGATGAAAAAGAAAAACATTTACAGCGTAACAAGATTAAAACTATGTTTTATGGCAAATGGTTTAAAACTTCAGGAAACCACCTTTAAAGGCCGCAAACGAATGCTTGCTTTTTACTTAGACCTGTGGTGATCTCCCCATCGCCTGGAAATATGGAGCGGTACTGTAGAGTGTGTATACACTAGTGTGTACTCCTGTACTCATTATAATGTGGCCTGGAGCTTGGAGCTAAACATTTCTCTAGAACATAATGAGCTGTGTACTGTAATGAAGGGGTTTGAAATTGATTTGACTGTTATTTAGTATAAAAACTCCCAGATCAAAGGCTCTGGCAAGGCTACAGACACTCAGGCACTCCCAGACAAAGGACACTGTATGATGGCGGGAGGCAAGTGGAGAGGTGTGGTGGCTTATGCAGAGCCAAGGAATTTATCGAGCCATTATCTGTTTGTTTTTATTTCAAGTCACTATACATCACTCACAAACTGCCATCTGGCAGTAGATGATTTTGAGGATTATTTTGAAGAATATTACAAAACCCGATTTAATTTCCCTCTCGATTCCTAGTATTTCCGTATTGCTCCTTCATCACAGTCATGGACGCCCTCCCAAGCTAATTTGTAAAATGAATTTTACTGAATGCCATTTAATCTTATTGCCATAGTTACAAACCAAGAAATCGAAAATTGCTAGGCTGAGCTGAAAATAGCTGACTTGGTACAAGGAAGAGGACTAATTCTTATGCAAAGCTCTACGCTCACATACAATCTCTGATTCAAAGAACAATAGAAAGTTTGATCCTTGAAAACCTGACCTTCTGATGCCTTTTCACTCTCCAACCCAGAACCACCATAGGTTTGAATGAAATGTGTAAAAACTAAAGATAAGGTTTGCTTTGCAACCTGCTGTTTTAGCTTCTGTGTTACTGTTGCAATGAGGTCACAGCCTTGATATTTTCACAGGCAATACTGGGGATTTTATAACTGTGTGAAAATTATAAAAGCAAGAACCCATGTAACGGCTGAAATTTAAGAAAGGTTTAAATAATTCCTGAGCATTATTATTTATAATTGACAACTCTATCTATCTAATCATTCTATAATTCTATTATCATAAAGCATACCCATCATCTGGGTGAACATATGTATTCCATGAGAGACGAATAGGATAGGTTATATGAAAAGAAATTAAGGTGCTGAACATCCAAAGGCCTGTCTTTATAGGTATATATGTACCTAGATTTTACATACCTATATATGTATGTATCTCTCTTAGGGAGAGAGATAAAGAGAATGCAGTGATAAGATGTAATTAGAATAAATATATTTTAAGGAGAGTTGTTTAACCCATATAAGCAATCATTTTAAGATTTTTGCCAAAGTCAATGCCCCTTTAATCTAATATTTAATGTATTGAAAACTCTTTCTATGTGCTAATAATTTGTCGTCATCAAGTTTGCATTATTCTTGGTCCTTAAAAACAATGAAATCAATTTCTTTGGACAGTTATTTCATTTCTTTGGTCCTTCATTGTCTTACCTGTACAAAGAGAGGATTAGAACTTTGAGATCTTTAACAGGCAGAAAAGTATGATTTAATTATTTTTTAATTTTCACTTATTCAACTTGCAATTTATCTGATTTCATTTAGATTATTATGGCTTTGGCATATTTGAATATAATTTTAACATATTTGATTGACAATTCAAAAACAAACAGAGCCACTTAAATATTCAGAGTAAGTAAAATATATGCCATGTATGTAACAACTCAGCACAAAGAGCCCCTCTGTACTCACAGGGCAGGAAGTCAATCAGCTGAGGCTGTATGGCTGCTGCTGTGTAGTGCCCGCCAGCTGCTGCTCAGCTTCTAGACATTTGCTTTTGTATGCGAAAATCTCAGGAGGACTTTGGGAGTTCTAGGGAACTGCTTGTTGAATGTGGGAGGAAAAGAGCATACCGTGGTATTCTCATTCTAAAACAACCCCACAGAGGGGCTGTGTGTACAGACTGGCCTCAAATGAGTAGGATAGGAGATTCTAAGTGTTGTGCAAAGTACGTTTTAAGGATTTTCTTTTATTTTTTAAAATAAATGAGAAATGCTGGGTTAACTAAGGAAAACAAGCTTCCTTATTGCAGGACTTCTCTAGGCCTTTAAAATGCCAGCCTTGCAGGGCGCAGTGGCTCATGCCTGTAATCCCAGCACTTTGGGAGGCAGAGGTGGGCGGATCACCTGAGGTTGGGAGTTCAAGACCAGCCTGACCAACATGGAGAAACCCCGTCTCTACTAAAAATACAAAATTAGCCGGACATGGTGGCTCATGCCTGTAATCCCAGCTACTTGGGAGGCTGAGGCAAGAGAATCGCTTGAACTTGGGAGGCAGAGGTTGCGTTGAGCCGAGATCATGCCATTGCACTTCAGCCAGGGCAACAAGAGCAAAACTCCATCTCAAAATAAATAAATAAATAAAATGCTGGCCTCCAAAAATGTAAGTCCCCAAAAGTGGGATGGAAGACACAACATTGTTCACTTTTCTTTTTTTCTGTTTTTTTTTTTTTTTTCTTTTTTAGACAGGGTCTTGCTCTGGGCTGGAGGGCAGTGGTGCAATAGTAGCTCACTGCAGCCTCGAACTCCTGGGAGCAATCATTCCTGGCATCTCAGCCTCCTGAGTAGCTGGGACTACAGGTGTGCGCCACTACACCTCACCAACTTTTGTATATTTTGTAGACGGGGTTTTGCCATGTTGCCCAGGCTAGTCTCGAATTCCTGAGCTCAAGCCATCTGCCCACCTTGGCCTACTAAATTGTTGGAATTACAGGCATGAGCCACAGCACCTGGCCTGTTTATGTCTCTTGATAACACGACCTTTCCTCTTCTGATCCTCCAGTCTTTTGTGGAATAAGTATGTCATCAAATGCAATTAGGCAGGGTGGCAAATAGGTTTCATTTTGAGTGCCACATTTGGTCAGTTGGTAGAGACTACCTGCAGGCATTTTATAAAGGACTTTGAGTGGTGGTTCTGATTACAAGGAAAGAGAAGGTCTAATGATGATTGGTATACCATGGCTTTGCCATCCCCGCCCTTGTTTTCCACCCATCCTGAGTCTTTCAATCATTACTCGATTATCTTCCACGTACTACCTTATCAGGAAATCTCAGAGATAAAATTACAATTCGCCTGAATCTCAGTTTACTTTTGATTTCACATAAGTTGGAAGTTCAAACACTTGCAACCAAACATGCAAAAACTGGGAATACACCACAATGCACATTTTCTAGGTCTAACATTTTACTTACAGAAGTTCAGTTCGATAAACCATACACACACACAAGAGCATGTTCATCCTTTTATTATGAGAGAGGAATTATGTTTTGGGTTATCTTTTTCTAAAACACCTGTTAGATAAAACCTTATTAGCTATTTACTTGCAGCAAATAACATGTATTATGTACTATGTAAACTATAAAACATTTATTAAACTTCACTGAAAATGCAGTTACCACTACTTGCATTCTTATGAATATACAATATTACATTGTATTCAGACCAATTGAGCTGCAGGCAAATATAACCACCTGTGATCCAACAAAGTTCTGGTTATGGTCTACGGCCATACCACCCTGAACGCGCCCGATCTCGTCTGATTATGTTAAGATCAGACATACTGAGTTATTGTTTAAGCCATTTTCTACAATTCAGCATCAAAAATGTGGTAGTCAGGGCCTGTTAGAGGCAATGTAGACACATTTTAAATGTAAATGACCTACAGTCAGTGACAAATGATAAAAACTGAAGGTTACATTAATCCCAAAATATCTATGAAAAGAACAGAATAGTCCTATTGTAGTGGCTCATATCTGTAATCTCAGCACTTTGGGAGGCCAAAGTGGGAAGATTGCTTGAGCCCAGGAGTTTGAGACCAGCCTGGGCAACATGATGAGACCCCCATCTCTACAAAAAATACAAAAATTAGCCAGGCGTGGTGGCGCGTGCCTGTGGTCCCAATTACTTGGGAGACTGCACAGGAAGGATGGCTTGACCCCAAGAGGTTGAGGCTGCAGTGAGTAATCTTCGTGCCACTGAACTCTAACCTGGGCAACAGAGTAAAATGCTTTCCAATAAACAAACAAACAAATAAATAAATAAATGGCATTTACACATACACTAAAAAAAAAAAAAAAAAAAAAAAGCAGAATATGGTAAGAGCAGACGATTTGAACCAGACTTGGAAGAGCAGACTTGCATGGGACCCAGAGTCTTATAGTCTTCAGAGTAAATCCATACAGGATTTTTGCCTGTTAGTAAATCCATATTGGGCAAAGGCAGAGACATTGTCACTGTTCTAGGATGTTTAGCACAACTAAAAATATAAAGGAGATGCTTGCTTCTCCCTATGAGGTTTTTTTGTTGTTGTAGTTTTTGTTTGTTTTTTTTAAAACCCAGAAGTGTTTTTATGGTTTATGGAAATCAGTTACCAAAATATTGCTAATTTAATTTATTTGATTAACATATTATTATTGGAAGAGTTAAGTAATATGGAAACTTTAATACTTTCAGAAGACCAATTTATTTAGAACTAATGGGAGTCTATGTTACTTATGTTGGAATTCATGTGTTTCGATTTCATACATTATTAGACTGGAGCTTCTCATAAATAAAAACATGTTATATTTTTCTATCTCTATCTCTAATGATCAACTATCTAGCTATTTATCTATTTTCTACCATAGTGGAGCTGATCTACTTCTTCGGCAAAAGAAAAATTGCTTAAGATAAAAGCAAACACTATGCATGCAACACTCAAAATATAAACCAATATTTGAAGGAGAAAAATACATTATACTTAACAAGGTTACCAGCATTTAAGAATATGGAATATGGCCGGGCATGGTGGCTCATGCCTGTAATACCAGCACTTTGGGAGGCCGAGGCGGGCAGATCATGAGGTCAGGCGATCAAGACCATCGTGGCTAACATGGTGAAACACCGTCTCTGCTAAAAATACAAAAAGTTAGCGTGGTGGTGGGCGCCTGTAGTCCCAGCTACTTGGGAGGCTGAGGCAGGAGAATGGGGTGAACCCAGGAGGCAGAGCTTGCAGTGAGTCAATATCGCGCCACTGCACTCCAGCCTGGGCGACAGAGCGAGACTCCGTCTCAAAAAAAAAAAAAAAAAAGAATATGGAATATAAGAAGTCAATCAAAATCATGATTGTGAGCCGGGTGCAGTGGCTCACACCTGTAATCCCAGATCTTTGGAAGGCTGAGGCAGGAGGATCTCTTGAGGCCAGGAGTTTGAGACCAGCCTGGGCAACATAGTGAGACCCCCATCTCTACAAAAAATAAAATAAACTATTTGGACGTAGTGGCACTTGCCTGTAGTCTCAGGTACTAGGACTGGAGTGGGAGGATTGCTTGAACCCAGGAGTTCGGGGTTATAATGAGCTATATGTTTCTGTCACTGCACTCCAGTTTTGGTGACAGAGTGAGATCCTGTCTCAAAAAAAACCAAACCAAACAACAACAACAACATAGCTGTGAAAGAATGTGTGAATAAATATGGCTAAATCAGGCCTTCTCTTTTCAGCCTGCTTTTTGTTTGTTTGTTTGTTTTTGTTTTCTTGATAGAAATTAAGGCAGAGATAGAGCTCAGATATATGATTTTGAGAATCACCATCCAAATGTTTTTGGAAGATGTACTTATAACTCTTAGGCCTGGCTCATAGTAATTATTAATGAAATAGTTTTTGAGCAGTGAATGATTAGAAGAAGGTAGATGGAAGGGAGATACATATTAAGGATCTTTGCAGGCTTTTCTGAACCGTTAACTTCAGGGCCTTTAGCTCAGCTCTGAACATTTATTAGGTATATAATAGATCTCACCGTATTTTGGAAAAAGGCAAACTTCATAATGAGGTAAAAAGCTGATTTTAATGAATTCAGTTATTTAATCTTTATCAAAGCCTTTACTACTGCGTTTTTCTTCCTTTTAGAGCAAACCTTGAAATGGTGCAATTTTACAAACAATTTATATGATGCTATGGCATGGAATTTCCTAAAATATTCCCCATTAAGGAACGTTGAAAGAGTTATTTCTCATAAAAAAAATCAATATAACTATATGGAACATTTTTTAAAAGATGACTAATGAGCAAAACCAAATCTTTACCTCTTACTAAGTAATAAAAATGTTAAAAATATATGATGTGTTACCAAATGCTAGATCCAGACATGCCCTGTATTGATATTTTGGCATGTTTTGATATAAAATGGCTAAAAATTTTTAAAACATCTCTAAATGGCTCAATCTAATGAACAAGTGATTTAAAGTGAGGCCAGGAAAAATAATGCCCCAAGAGGAAGATGACAGTGGAAGAAAATAATATTTGATTTTTGTCCCTTAACATGACGCCACCTGAGAATGGCAAAACCCCTGGATCAGTCATTTGGGAAAAGCAAAGACCATTCCTATTAGCCTTCACTAAGGCTTCTCCTAGCACACTACCATCCCACCACCCTACCTACCCTTCCCCAGAAGCCAAGCAGATTCCAGCATCATGTTTTCTGTATTGTTTGCAGAGCCGTGAGCTAATTAAACCTCTTTTTTAAAAAAGTAAATTACTCAGTCTCTGGTATTTCTTTCTTCCTTTTCTTTTCTGTGGGGAAAAGCAAGAGAGATCAGATTGTTACTGTGTCTGTGTAGAAAGAAGTAGACATAGGAGACTCCATTTTGTTATGTACTAAGAAAAATTCTTCTGCCTTGAGATTCTGTGACCTTACCCCCAACCCCGTGCTCTCTGAAACATGTGCTGTGTCAACTCAGAGTTAAATGGATTAAGGGCGGTGCAAGATGTGCTTTGTTAAACAGATGCTTGAAGGCAGCATGCTCCTTAAGAGTCATCACCACTCCCTAATCTCAAGTACCCAGGGACACAAAAACTGCGGAAGGCCGCAGGGACCTCTGCCTAGGAAAGCCAGGTATTGTCCAAGGCTTCTCCCCATGTGATAGTCTGAAATATGGCCTCGTGGGAAGGGAAAGACCTGACCGTCCCCCAGCCCGACACCCGTAAAGGGTCTGTGCTGAGGAGGATTAGTAAAAGAGGAAGGAATGCCTCTTGCAGTTGAGACAAGAGGAAGGCATCTGTCTCCTGCCCGTCCCTGGGCAATGGAATGTCTCGGTATAAAACCCGATTGTATGCTCCATCTACTGAGATAGGGAAAAACCGCCTTAGGGCTGGAGGTGGGAACTGCGGGCAGCAATACTGCTTTGTAAAGCATTGAGATGTTTATGTGTATGCATATCTAAAAGCACAGCACTTAATCCTTTACATTGTCTATGATGCAAAGACCTTTGTTCACGTGTTTGTCTGCTGACCCTCTCCCCACAATTGTCTTGTGACCCTGACACATCCCCCTCTTTGAGAAACACCCACAAATGATGAATAAATACTAAGGGAACTCAGAGGCTGGCGGGATCCTCCATATGCTGAACGCTTGTTCCCCGGGTCCCCTTATTTCTTTCTCTATACTTTGTCTCTGTGCCTTTTTCTTTCCTAAGTCTCTCGTTCCACCTTACGAGAAACACCCACAGGTGTGGAGGGGCAACCCACCCCTACATTTTCTTTCTTTCTTTCTTTTTTTTTTTTTTTTTGAGATGGAGTCTCACTCTTTTGCCCAGGCTGAAGTGCAATGGCGCTATCTCAGCTCACCACAACCTCCACCTCCCGCGTTTAAGCGATTCTCCTGCCTCAGCCTCCCAAGTAGCTGGTGTCAGGCCTCTGAGCCCAACATAAGCCATCATATCCCCTGTGACCCACATGTATACATCCAGATGGCCTGTTCCTGCCTTAACTGATGACATTACACCACAAAAGAAGTGAAAATGGCCTGTTCCTGCCTTAACTGATGACATTACCTTGTGAAATTCCTTCTCCTTGCTCAGCCTGGCTCAAAAAGCTCCCCCCCTGAGCACCTTGTGACCCCCACGCCTGCCCGCCAGAGAACAACCCCCTTTGACTGTAATTTTCCTTTACCTACCCAAATCAGATAAAACAGCCCCACCCCTATCTCCCTTCACTGACTCCCTTTTCGGACTCAGCCCGCCTGCACCCAGGTGAAATAAAGAGCCTCATTGCTCACTCAAAGCCTGTTTGATGGTCTCTTCACACGGACGGACGCGAGTGAAAGCTGGGATTACAGGTGCCTGCCACTGCGCCTGGCTGATTTGCTATTTTTAGTAGACATGGAGGTTTTGCCGTGTTAGCCAGGCTCGTCTTGAACTCCTGACCTCAGATGATTCACCTGCCTCGGCCTCCCAAACAGTTGGGATTACAGGCGTGAGCGACCGCATCTGGCCTGGTATTTCTTTATAGCAATGCTAGAACAGACTAACATAAAAACCTTGACTTAGTGGCTGCAACTCTTTGATATTTCCAACTATACTATATTTTGCTAGGCTAACCTTGGTTTCAGAATACCTGTTCTGGCAATGGTCTTCATGGTATGTTTGAATTGATTATTTTCTCAATTGACCATTTTAGGCCATAATAATGACTAGTTACAAAGGCAATCAATGGAATGTGGATAGTGCGTTTGATTTAGTAGGATTAGAGTAATTGTATTTGTGACATTTCAAACACTCAGTTGAATTAAACATGTGGCAATTCCATCTGTTGGAAGTAGGATATGTGATATATAGGTGCTATGACCAAAATACCTAAATTGACAAACTAGAAATAGATTTCCTTATACAGGTCAGACATAGTCACTGATAAGCAGATCATGTTAGTAGAAAAAGTTTCACATCAATAACATTAAAATGTAAGGTATTTTGGAGATAGAATATGTTTGTTGAAGAGTGAAAGAAAGTAAAAAAAATGCAACATTTCTTTGGACTTTTGGTAATTTAGAACCTTAAACATGAAGCATTTCATCAATCATTAATCTTAAAGTTTTTTTTTTTTTTTGGTAGATGTTACTGGGAACTTTAAAAAGTAATAATGGAGTCTTCAATAAACAAGAAATTAGAAATTCAAACACTGAAAATATTCACACTTAGGGAAATAGGATGAAATACAGCTTTTATATCATATCAGTGGCAGGAAAAATAATCATTCATTACAATACCTGGTTATTTTATTATGTAAAAATAGTGATAACATCTTTCAAATAATTTGACTTCCCACTGGTCCTCTGAAGGAATCTCTGTCAGTAGGACAAAGATCAACACTTGGTCACAAGTTAAAACAAATGTCTGTGAACATCTTTATAGGTGTCACCTTATGAATTAAAATTTGACCGTATCATTATTGTTGGGGGCTTCAGTTAGTTCATTGTATCTTGGAACAATATAATATGGATCTGCCAGAAGTCAGAGAATTAACATTTTCTATTTGGTGTTGGTGGCACATCTTTATGTTGTAGACATAATTACTTCCACTTTTTACACAGATTCCTTATTGTTGCCAGTTGTAAAGTTTTTTGGTCCTATATTTTGATTGCATGTATAATTAGGAGCATGCCCATTTGGGAATAAGCTTCATTAAGACAGCATAACGCAAGACGCGGGCTGTTGAACCTAAGTTTGCCAGACTAGGAGTCAACATTATTAATAATTTTAAGGGAAGGTCCATTGTGTCCAGATATCTATAGTTAGCAACTCCAACGTGGGATCTTTTATTTGAAGGTATATAAAAATGTAAAAATAATTGGTTGAAAAATTATCAAACTTCTCTTTTGAAATAATAATTGATAACATTCATTGAGTGCTTAATGCATGGTAAGCTTTATAAACACTACTTCATCAAAACTTTAGTTTACCTGAGATAGGTAGTGTTTTTAATCTTGTTAAAAATAATTTTTGAAAAGATTAAATCATGACTATTTTACAGATATAAAAATAAACACATGCTTAAGACTTTATTTATTAATCAAAGAGGGAACCAGACAGAGGTTACAGCTGATTCAAAAACAGTCCAAAGGACAAACCCACTTGTAGATCAGAAATATTAAAATGAATGTACAAATGAAAGCAAAATATTTCTTTGAATAATGTGGTAAAGGAAGTCAATCAAACTTCTACTTAACTGGAAAAAAATGCGTATGTCTACCGACAAGAAATATTTTGTATTGCTTTCAATTATTTACAACTTACAGAGTTGTAAGATGGTTCCCATGGAATCAAAATTAGATAATCTGGGGTGATATCCTCTAGAAAATACATAGTTATTCACTTAAACATAATTTCCACAATTTCCCCCATACCCTCACTTTATAATGATGAAATCAAGGTTCAGAGAGGACAGATTTTTTGAATGGGGATATTAACTAGTAGAAAAGTTCACTGCCTTATGGAAAGGAATGGATACCAGAGTTAGATAATAGAAGTAGGATATGTGAAATGAGTGAATGAAGTCACCAAGGGTATACGTATCTCCAAGGCTTTGTGAAGAAACTCACAAAACAAAGGATGGAGAGGATTCCAACATGTTCACGTGTTTAAAACTTTACTCTGACAATGGGAACCCCTCTACAATGCATGCCATTCTAATGAGAAAAAATATGCACAATCTGTACAAACGGTATTAGAGCCACATTGTATTCCCCTTAGTGTCACCTCATAGGAAAGCCTGGGGAAGAATTTGAAAGGGGTTTGTGATGCAAAGAATGAACTATCAAAGGATTACCTTGAGCCTGTAGGCTAGAGAGATTATTGGTATGGTGCAGGTTTCTACTTGCTCATCTGACTTTAAGGTAAGTCCAGTTAGATAACAAGCTATATGGTAACACCTTGTTATGTCATCACTGCCTGGAAGGAAGCTGGATAGGAGTATGACAGAGGCTCATTTTTCTGGTGTCCTGGTAGGTTGTGTCAAGCATGAGTAGTTTCTTAGATGGCTTTCTCTCATCCCTGCCACTTAGCAGAATCTAGAGAGGTTGAGCCTACTCAGAGTGGGTAGTGAGAATAAAATAGAAAATTAGAATAAATAACATGCTGGTGGATATGTAGCTAAAAAGTGACAGAGCCCATATTCAAAATCAAATTCACCTGATTCCAGATCCAGATGCCTAACTTCTTCACTACATGGTTTATCATGTTTTGTTTGAAAAGCTGGATGCAAGAGGTACATGGGGACTTCCTCACTGTCTCCAGTGTCTCTTCATTGAGTCATTTGGTGGGATTGGCATTGACTCTGATTGGTGGCAGTGTCTGCTGTGTGCTATGACTCTAGGAGAGGAAGCTTCCACACACCTTTAGCAGCAGAGTGACTTGTAGAGTGTAAACTGAAAGCAGATTCCACTGTATGAGGCCTGGAAACATGCAGGATGGTATCATCAGACGCTGTCAGCAGTTTCTTGTTTCCTACTACTTACTCACTTCATCTTTAGCATCCTATGGGAAATGCACAGGATCGAATATAAGCAAGAGCTATGAGTCGAAAGTCTTGGATATTGTCCCAGACCTGAAACATCATTAGCTTTTCTATATGTCCATTTTTCTCATTAATAAAACAAGGATAACTGCATTTGATCTATATAGCATCTGTGCAATTATTTCCATGAGAGAATGTAAAATGGGAAAAATATTTTATATATAAAAACTGATGCAGATCAGGCCAGGCGCGGTGGCTCACGCCTGCAATCCCAGCACTTTGGGAGGCCGAGGCGGGTGGATCACTTGAGGTCAGGAGTTCGAGGCCAGCCTGGCCAACATAGAAAACCCCATCTCTACTAAAAATACAAAAATTAGCTTGGTATGGTGGTGGGTGCCTGTAATCCCAGCTACTCAGGAGGCTGAGGCAGGAGAATCACTTGAACCTGGAAGGCAGAGGTTACAGTGAGCTGATATTGCGCCACTGCACTCCAGCCTGGGAGACAGAGCAAGACTCCATCTCAAAAAAATAAAAATAAAAAGAAGTAATGCAGATCAACCTCATTTCTGCTCAATCCCAGAAATGTGGATTTAGACAATGTCTCTAACAAGCAGAGAAGTAGAATAATTTGGATATTAGATTATTTAGAATCACTCTTCAAAGAGCTCCTATGTCCACATGTGTTAACTGTACATTGTTTCTGATTATTTCTATTGCAAGTGACAAAAAACCAATTCAAATGGATTCAAGCAAAAAGGACCTTTTTTGTGTGTGTTGGAGGGGGTGGATATCTGAAAAATCTAACTGTAGATGTGGCTTCAGGTGTGACTGAATCTGGTGATTTAAATGTCACTATCAGGACCTGGTTCTCTCCTCCCCTGCCCCACTTTCTTTCTCTCTTCATTTCTAGACTTTGCTTTCCTTTTCATTTGTTTCATTCTCAAGCGGGTTTCTCAGACCACATAGCAAAATGGCTGCTACTCACTTTGGACTTATGTTGGAGAGATAATGCCTTTCTATTACTCCTCTGAAATCTCTGTGATTTATATAGTTGGCTCTACTTGGCTACTCAGGCCAGTTTTTGTTTCCTGACCCAACCTTGGGGCCATGGTTGAAGTCAGCCTCATGAATGCCATGTGAATTGAGACAGTGGAAGAGTAGACCCACAAAGTACAGGGTACTTTTACCAGAAGAAGAAGAAATGTTGGTAATGCAGAAGTGAAAACCTTTTGGAGGTATTTGTGATGGAAAAATGATTAAATTATTCTTATTAACTAGCTATGAGATCAAAACTGTAAAATATGAAAAGTGCATCAGTTAAAATGCCATTCTGGGCATGGTGGCTCATACCTGTAATACCAGTGCTTTGGGAGGCTGAGGCAGGAGGATTGCTTGAGGCCAGGAATTTGAGGCCAGCATGAGCACTTTAGTGAGATCCTATCTCTACAAAATGATAAAAATCTTAGCCCAGCATGGTGGCACATGCTTGTAGTTCCAGATACTCAGGAGGCTGAGGTGGGAGGATCACTTGAGCCTAGGAGTTGGAGGTTGAAGTGAGCCAAGATTGCACCACTGCTCTCCAGCCTGGGAAACACAATGAGACCCTGTCTCTAAGAAAACCTTACAAAATATCATTCTTATTTTGCTATGGAGACATTAGGGAGTTTGGGGTCTTAGAGAACAAATTACTTGAAATTAGAATAACAATTCTATCAGAAATATTTCGAGTGGTTATTAAATAAATATTTATTTGTTGAATTTTTTTTTTTTTTTTGAGACTAAGTCTTGCTCTGTTTCCCAGGCTGAAGTGCGGTAGCACGATCTCGGCTCACCGCAACCTCCACCCATTTGGTTCAAGTGATTATCCTTCCTCAGCCTCCTGAATAGCTGGGACTACAGGGGTGTGCCACCATGCCCAGCTAATTTTTGTGTTTTTAGTAGAGACACGGTTTCACCATGTTGACCAGGCTGGTCTCAAACTCCTGACCTTAAGTGATCCACCCGCCTCGGCCTCCCAAAGTGCCGGGATTACAGACGTGAGCCACCGTGCCTGGCCAACATTTATTTAGTTGAATTCTTAAAATTTATTTTTCTAATAGAATAAGGGAGAGCATTAGAAGTAGTTTTCATAAGACACAATAAATATAAACCTGTCATTTACCTGTCTAGCCCTGATATTCTGAAATCTGGAACTTGGGTTTAGAACAAAATGGATTCAGTTAATCCTTTTTTTTTTTTAGAGAGAGAGATTTGTATGATGCTGGCTGGTTTATTCATTCATTCAATAATTATTTATGGATATTAATGTACAAGGCACCCTAATCTTTAAAAAATTCAGTCCTGGTTTTGCTGTATTAGTGTGTGTTTTTCTGATCTTAAAAAATTATATGAATGATATAAATGGTCAATTCGCAAAAGATAAAATTCAGCAGATATATGAAAAGCTGCTTAACCTCAATAGTAATAGGGAGATATAAATTAAAATAAGATTCCTTTTTTGAATCATCAGATTGCCAAAAAAAAAAAAAAAAACTTTGATAATATCAGTGGGAGGCAATGGTGAATATGAATTTTATAGTCATCATAGAGGGAAATTTTACAATCTGTTAAAACTTAAAATATACACAATAACTTACGTAAAAGAATGTTTATTATGGTATTGTTTATAATAGAGGAAAAATTATAAATAACATAAGATTATAGCAAGGGAAGAATGGTCAAATGGGCTACCAAAAAATGCATACTTAGGAATGTCACACAGTTACGAAAAACAATGTGTGTGTGTGTTTGTGAATACAAGCGTATTAGGAACAATAAAATATCCTCTAATCCAAACATGGATACATAGATTATATTACATTTTTATGCAAATATATTTCTAAATACATAAAAAAACTTAACCTATAATAATGTTTTTCCTTCTTTAGGATGTGGGGAATGAGCCTGGCTAATGGGATGTTTATCTGCATTGTTTGAAAGGGTTTACAAGAACGTTCTCACTACTTGTTTAATTAAAAATTCAATTACTTTTTAAATTTGAAACATGCATATGAGTGTAATACATATTGAATTCCTACAACAACCAATATTTACTCTATCTATATAAAGAGCCTTACGTTTTGATATAATGTTATCCTTTTCATAAATGTATTTAATTAAATATAATTTTTATATTTTTGGAAGACTACTTGAAAAACAAAGACCTGTGTCAAATAGGTTTGAAAAAATTCATGCTCTCCAATGCAGTAACTATATGTAACTGTTTAATTTAATTTTACATTAATTAAAATTATATAAAATTAAACATTCTTTGGTTGCAGTAGCCACATTTTAAGTGCTTAATAGCCACATGTGACTAGGATCTTCCACATTGGACAACATAGATATAGAACATTTTTTATCATCACGAAAAGGTAGTTACTGTTAGACAGAGCTGATCAAAATCATTTTATCTTTCAGGTTCTCCTGCCTATCTTTTGAAAATATAAAATGTATTAATTATAACCAATGAAAGGCAAAAAAATCAAACACTTATATCTGTCATCATGTAGCATTTCTACAGTTAACTGGTGCCAAATAAATTTTTTCCTGAGCCCTTGAATAATTTACTGTTTGGAAACATTCAGATTTCCCGTGTTTCAGTAAAACTTTTCCTTGAAGTTTTCCAAGACTTGTACATGAGAGAACTCTGAAGTGTGGGATGTGAGGGATGAGGCATAATATTAGAGTCCACTTTGCACTAGGATAGAGTTAGCTAATTTTCTTAAACATTTATAAATCAGGGAAACAATCAGACCCCGGTGCAAGAGATTTGCCACCTTTGCTCTTATGGCTGAAACCAGGGAGCCTGTGAATTTTCAATGAGTTGATTCACTGCATGCTTTCCCACAGGAGCTGTGGGGTTTGTGGATTTTTATTAAGCATTTTCTAGGAGATTCTGTCTTTTCTGGGTTGTAATTCTCATGGGTTCAGAGTGCAAATGTCTAGGTTAATACCTCCAGCTCCAAGAGGGTCTGCAGGATAATGGTGTAACTGTGACAAATACGGTCATGCCAAAAAACAGAAGCCACTTCACATTCAGGGAGGAAGAGAATTAACACCGAGAAGAGGCTTACACAACCATTGCAAGGATACGAGAGGGAAAGGGGTATAGATTAGAAAGATTGCTTTTGGGAAATCTCAGGAAAGCTACCATCAGAAATCCTTGGTATCTTCAGACTCTGAAAATTGCTGAGAAACCCCCATGTCACCCCTCTGCGCATGTCACATACCTGCCAGAATCTGCTGCTGCTGGAGAAATATGGCTTCTTCTTTTTCTCATCCCTCCAAATTGTACATGACTGCTTGACACTGATGAAATCTAGCTAGAGCCCTGCTGTCATGGAAGCCTGGGAAATGTAGTTTCCAATTTTTCTGCTCTTGAGGGACAGGCAAGAGCTATGGATGCAAGAAAGACACACAGTGGCACAAACCTTAACCCTGTCCAGCAGGCACTGTCCTACCCTCTGTCCTAGAGCATTGCCGCCACATGTCCACGTGTGTGAAAGTGGGAGTGAGGCAGTTTCTTCCGACCTTTGCATTGGAACATGTGCATTTCTAAGATCTGTTCAGTAACTTGGAATAATTAAGATGAGCATTTAGATAACTGACCCTCAAACTTGTTGCCCGTAAGTGTCACTGAGAAGTGATCTAAAAACAGATTCTTGAGCCCCCTTCAGAACTACTGCACCAGAATAGTGGTTGGAGATTGGCCTGGGGAGCGGTAGTCCTGGGAATCACCAGCTGCCTGCAGTGCCGATGAGGCATCACCTCTCAGACCAGTGTTAGAAAGAAGAATGGATTTTCCCCCTGGGTTTCTGGAAGGTCAAGCCAATTTTGCCCTAAATTTATAAATTTAGGTTTTAGAATGAAAAAGCCATATCAGATGCTGGTAAATGGTCATATTTTTGGGGATTGCAATGACTGCGATTCATGATGTCAAATCATTAACCTGATCATAGTCCCTGAGACTATGAAGAAACTCCAGAAGTGAAATGTGGATAAAACCCCAAGTGTTGGCAGAGTTTCATTTTGTAAGGAGAAGAGAAATAAAATATGTTGAAACTGTATATATATTAATGAATATATTTTTTCTCCATTGTTAAAAGGTCCACTGTAGATATATATTTACTGTATTTACTGCTGCCTGTGCAAATAAAAGACACACAAAGCACATACTGGGCTGATTACACTATTTTTTATTATGAAAATATAATTTAAGCTAAGGCCAATTCTGAGACGCAACTGACATCTGTGAAGGTTATTCAGGGAACTTAGGAGCAAGCAGGTACTAGTTGCAATGCTATGACGGGCACATTAAAAATCCTTTTATTTGTGTGATTAATTGGATGTTCTCTGGAAGCATGAAATATGAACTGATTTCTAGTTTTTGTAAGGACGCTAGTTAATTTATAAGGTGCTTAGAATATATGATTTTCAGTATATCATTTTTTTCCCCTATAACTAAATGGGGAGGAGGAGTGACTTCGTAAAGAAAACAAGAGACTGGCTTTGTATATATTATACATACTGTTTTGCAGCCTAAATAAGTTTGCAGAGTATATGTATGCTGGGTGGGATATCTTGTACTCTCACCTTTGCCAAAGTTTATTAAGAAATGAATTTGTGCCAGAAGAATAAAATCATGTGAAAGTTACTCAGTCAGGTAAATTCTGAAAGCAGACTTGCTGGAGCAATAAACTTGATGAATGATGCTGTTTACAATTCAAGAAATTTCCTTTTATGAATCTGTATTAAAAATGGAAAATCTGTGAATTTTAAAATACATAGAAACTTGCTGATTTTTAGCATAGGCTTTGAGCTATTGGACTTTGAGGATTTAAAAATATTCATTTCCGGCTGGGCACGGTGGTTCACGCCTGTAATCCCAGCACTTTGGGAGGCTGAGCCACGTGGATCACCTGAGGTAAGGAGTTCGAGACCAGCCTGAGCAACATGGTGAAACCCTGTCTCTACTAAAAATACAAAAATTAGCCAGGCATAGTGGCGGGCACCTGTAATCCCAGCTACTTGGGAGGCTGAGGCATGAGAATTGCTGGAACCCGGGAAGCAGAAGTTGCAGTGAGCCAAGATGGCGCCACTGCACTCCAGCCTGGTTGACAAAGCAAGACTCTGTCTCAAAAAATAATAATAATAAATAAAAAATTAAAATACTCATTTCCTCTGGTGTCAAATGTAAGAAAATTCTTTGTTGTTGTTGTTGTTGTTTTTGTTTGTTTGTTTTTGTTGTTTGAGACAGGTCTTGCTCTTTCGCCCACGCTGGAGTGCAGTGGCATAATCTTAGCTCACTGCAACCTCCGCCTCCCAGATTCAAGCAATTCTTCTGCCTCAGCCTCCTGAGTAGCTGAGACTACAGGCGCGTGCCATCACGCCTGGCTAATTTTTTGTATTTTTAGTAGAGGCTTGGTTTCACCATGTTGGCCAGACTGGTCTCGAACTCCTGACCTCGTGATCTGCCCACCTTGGCCTCCCAAAGTGCTGAGATTACAGGCGTGAGCCACTGCACCCGGTCAATATAAGAAAATTCTAGATGGTGATATAAACATGGGTACATGAAGGGAAAGAGTCTGAACTCTTGACACCAGGAAGAAACTGTGAGCAGTTAAGTGAAATCTAAGAGGATGAAAAGTACTGGAAGATTAAACTGGCAAATTTATCTGATTCCACTTTCAGATTTCCACATTCAAATCTGCCAAATATCGTATTTTTACTTTCAGGTCTTACTGCCTATTAGAGCAAAGGAAGAGGAAATCTTTGGCTAACCGGTCAGAGAAAACAACTGGATTAAACAAGATACTCTTCATGACTGTGGTTGCAAAAATGCAACACAACTTTTAAAAATCTTAGTACTAATTTTTAAAAATGGCTTTTAATTTGGGGGAGACTCGATAACAGAACCCGAAAATCTGATGAATTGTATGAACATTTTGTTCAGAAAAATAAACATATATTACCAGAAAATTTCATATGTGATTCAAGAAGTCCACAGAAGTTCCATGTTGTAAGTAATTAGAAAATAAGAATTCTGAATTGTTAAAATAAAATTTAATGTTCAACATCATTCATCCAGGAAGTGGAATTTTCCCTCTGTTAATCATAGAAAGAAATGCTCTCAAATTTAGGTGGAAATAAAATATTTGTTGTTGGAAATGTATATACTTCTGCTGCTTTTAAAATTCCAGGCTTCATCCATATTCAAAATGCAAAATATTATTAAAATAATCAGAGCTTTGACTTTGGAAAAGTCTGAAATTGCACCTTGGCAACACTGGATCTACTCCTGTCACTCCCCAAGTGGTGGTCCTTAAGTGTTAGTGTGCTTGAGAATTAACTACAGAGATTGTCTAAAATTACCAGTTTCTAGGATGAGCCCACCAATCTGTGTTTTAACAGGAGCTCCAGAAAATTCTCTGTTCTTCTGACCATATTTTGAATATTGATATGAAACTACTGATGAACCTCTTGGTTCATGGTTTTTTCCTATACTACTCTCTATCTTTTAATTTGCCTCTAGCACTCTATTTATTTCTTTTCTATTTAAACGTGTCTCCAAATCTCTGAGAGTGTAATTTTTCTGTTTTCTTATGCTTTCTTTTCTTTCTTCCTTTTTTTTTTTTTTTGAGACGGAGTCTCGCTCTGTTGCCCAGGCTGGGGTATAGTGGCGCGATCTTGGCTCACTGCAACCTCTGCCTCCCAGGTTCACGCCATTCTCCTGCCTCAGCCTCCCAGGTAGCTGGAACTACAGGCGCCCACCACCACGCCTGGCTAATTTTTTGTATTTTTAGTGGAGACGGGGTTTCACCGTGTTAGCCGGGATGGTCTCGATCTCCTGACCTCGTGATCCGCCTGCCTCAGCATCCCAAAGTGCTGGGATTACAGGGCGTGAGCCACTGCACCCGGCCTCTTATGCTTTATTTTCTATTTCTAGTAATATAATCCTTCTTCCATTGTGTTATTTTCTCTGACTTTCTCCCCTCCCTCTTCTTCCTTTTAAAAGTTCAATGAACTTTTTAAAATTTAAAACACAAATGGGTGAAGAATTTTACATTTCTCTTTCTTTAAAAGTGACAAAAGTTAGGTTACTTTTTCACTGATGCATTCATTTATTTTTTGTTTTTCTACTCTCTTATTTATATATCCCTAGTTCAGGGATTACTGAAAAAAGAAAACAAAGAAGAGTTCAAGATGCCTGTAGATCAGGAAAAAGACAAGGTTATAGTCTTTTATAATTTGCTCCAGAGGAAGCTGTGAACATCTACTGAAAACTGACAGATTTCACTCCTTTTTCTTATCAGAGAAAAATAAAAGCAAAGTAGATTTGTTTCTTTAGGAAGATTTGTAATTTTTATTCTGGGAAATCAGAATGCAGTCTTGCAAAATAATAATAATAATAATAATAATAATAATAATAATAATAATAATAACAACAGTCAGTTGACTCTACTCTGCCTGCAAAAAATTAAAATATAAATTACCTGGCTCTGTATTTGGCATATAACAGACTTCTAATAAATATTGGATGAAAAACTTCTGGTAAATTATTATTTCTGGTGTTTTCAAATGTATGCCAAACATTAGCCATGCCTGGCTAATTTTTATATGTTTTGTAGAGACAGGTTTAACCGTGTTGCCCAGGCAGGTCTCAAACTCCTGGGTTTAAGTGATCTTCCCACCTTGGCCTCCCAAAGTGCTGGGAGAACAGGCATGAACCATCACGCCCAACATAGTTCTTTTTTGTTAAACTAGTTAAACACAATAACGTCATTAAAGCAAGCGCCCGTTAAAGGCTAGTTTTCCTTTCATTTATTGTAAAAGTTTATAAGATCATAATCAGGCTTAAAAGGAATTAGTAACACTATGGCTTCCTCATTATACAGGTATGGAAACTGAGGCACAAACATGATTTGAATGGCATGTCCAGTGTCATTCTTCTAGAAGAAGAGTCAAACTCATGCCCAAGCACTCCACCTACTACGTTTCATGACACAAATAGCTAAGGTCTATGTGTGTCATATGTGTGTGTGGTGGTGATGGTTGTGGGAGAAGACAGTGACTTGCATTTTTAAAACTATTTGGAATTTTGTTTACATGCCTGCCCACATGCATTTCAAGCTTTTGAACACAGATGGAATGCTTCGTTTGGGATTAATTGCCTCTCTATTTTTCTTGGTGAGATTAGCTAGTGGTTTGAGCCTATTATCTTGCAGGGAAATACTCCATGGAAATATGTTTAGTATTTTCTGTATATAAATGGAATCAGTTATGAGCTTTAGAATTTCTGATGACTTAATAAAAATAGGCACCATACATTGAGTAATTTCAGTGATCAGAATCAGGATCAGAAAAATCAAGAAGTTTCTTTTGTCACTATTTCAAGGTTTCCAAACATTGGAGGCAAATTCCATAAGAGAGAATTCTGTTTACCATGAAACCAAAGAATATAAACAAGTTGAGAAGCACACATTCTTTAGGATTAAAGATGCTCAGCTTTCTTGCAGTTTGAAAGTGCTAGGCCTGAAAATTTTTCTGGCTATATAGAACTTCAACATTTGTTTTATTACTTTATTCTCTAGAGTAAAATTGAGGAACAATGGTGACACCCTAATGATAGGGCAACATGGTTCTGCTTTAGTAAGTCTGAGAGCTGCAGCTGTGAAAAGGGTCCTGACTCCATTCAGGTAATGTCCAATTTATTTCAGAAATGCTTTCCTCAGTGACCTCTTCAACTTGCCTTGACCTTTAAAGTTGTATTCTTTTGTTGAATTAAATTGAATTCCAAAAATATTTATTGAACATTTATTAAAGGGACAGTGTCATTAATGATTGGGGATTGGCTAATGTTTTATAGCAATGAATAATATCCATTCTCCACCTTCAAAATATGAACAACCCAAAAGTTCCCTTAATTATGTCAATTATAGTTGCTGATTCAAATTTTTTTATGAAAGTGGTCCTCAAACTTGGGTGCATATTAGAACCACCTGGGGAGCTTTAAAAACTTTATGTCCCAGGCTGTACCTCAGACAAATTAAATCAGGGGGTGATAGCCAAGCATCTTTTTTTTTTTTTTTTTTTTTTAGATGCAGTCTCATTCTATTGCCAGGCTGGAGTGCAGTGGTGCGATCTGCAACCTCCGCCTCCCGGGTTCAAGCGATTCTCCCGCCTCAGCCTCCCAAGTAGCTGGGACGACAGGCACCCGCCATCATGCCCGGCTAATTTTTGTATTTTTAGTAGAGATGGGGTTTCACCATGTTGGCCGGGATGGTCTTGATCTCTTGACCTCGTGATCCGCCCACCTCAGCCTCCTAAAGTGCTGAGATTACAGACGTGAGCCACTGCGCCCAGCCGCAAGCATCAACTTGTAATGCTGTCCATGTGATTTCAATGGGAGCCAATTAGTAAGCTTTGAATGGGTTACAGCTGTGTCCAGTTAAGCCTTGTTAACTCCTCGAGCACTTGGGCAAGACCAAAGCAGGTAAAGCCTGCAGTCTTCACCTCTTGCCACAAGTGGACTCCACCAATGAGCTGCGGAAAGAACATTTCCTACGTACCATGCCATGAAGAAAGTTGGGGAGCACTGAAGTGCCTGATTTCAATCTTATAATAATACTGTAAGGTAAGTATTTGTTTTTCATATTTTATAGATGAAGTATTTGAAGCTTTGAGAATTGATAATTGGCTTTACTCAAATCACACATAATTCAAAGAGCTGATATTTGAACCATGCTTTTCTTACATTGCAATTTTCATACTATAAAGTAGAATGTGAAAAGTACTATAGAATGGAACAAATAAAATATGGGAACTCGGAGATATAGACATTTATCTTGGTCTAGTGTGATTAGGGAAGGCTTCCTAGAGAATTTGTCACTTGAGCTGAACCTTTAAGAATATGTGAATTTCAAGAGGTAAAAATGTGATGTTATTCTAGGTTTATATATTAAATAGTGATCTTTTCTGGCTGTAAGATAAAATATTAGACCTTATCTTATGAAAATTCAGGATTCTTCCAGTGTTAGGTACCTGAATGGAAGGTCACAGCTCTTCTGCTAGGAAGTTTATTTATTCTGGTTGCACAGTAGAGTCATCTGGGAAGCACACTGATGCCAGAGTGCTACCCTAAATCATTACATCAGGATATTGGAATAGAGCCCATGGGGGTAGTGTTGAAGGAAGCAGCAGGAAATAAACTGGTTTGGGTTAGACTGCAACGAACATAGAATGTAAAGGTCACGAGATGTTATTATTCAGGTAATGGTGAGCCAGGGAAGGGTTTTAAGTAGGGCAGCGGTAAAGATCAAGTATTCCCAATGGGAATGGTTTGAAATCCAGGAGCACATCAGGATTCCCTGGGAAGGCTTTTCTTTTATGTCCTCTTTCTCTGGTTCTGGGACTATGCCAGAATCTTGGGGTAGCCTAGATAGTTTCAGAAACTGTATTTAAAGCCAGTGCCTTCTCTGCCCTATCCCAATTTTAATATATCTAATCAGGGGACATAGGATATAAAGTTGGGGAATCATCTATAACATATTGTCTTAGTCTGTTTGGTCTTCTATGACAAACTACCATAAACTGAGTAGCTTACAAATAATAAAAATTGATTTCTCATGGTTCTAAAAGCCTGGAAGGCCAAGATCAAATATTCATTGCCTGGTGAGGGTCCTCTTCCAGGTTTGTAGACTGTTCTCGCTGTAAACTCACATGGTAGAAGTGGCAAGTGAGCTTTCCCACTCATGAGGCCTCCACTCTCTTGACCTAATCACCTACAATGATTCCACATCCTAAAGCATTACACTGGAGGTTAGGATTTAAACATATGAATTTTTAGAAACACAAATATTCAGTCTATACAAACCACCCTCACTTCGAAGATCAATTTCAAATTTGGGGATCCCCAGGACCACCTTTGATTTTGCTAGAAAGACTCACAGAACTGTTGTACTTACAGTTATGGTTTGTTTATTACAGTTAAAGGATATAGATCGTCATCAGCCAAAGTGGGAGATACATGAGACTGAGTCCAGGAGAGTTTCAAACGCAGAGCTTTCAGTTGCTCTTTCCCAGTGGAACTCTTTGGCTTCATTAGGGTGGGGCTAATAACTGTTAATTTTTTTTCTCTGTTTATCTTCTTGCTGCTTGACCCTGGATATGGCACAGTCACAAGAAATGCAGAGCAGAGTAAACAAAGCCCCAGTTTTATTATTGCAAAGATCCAAAAGGGCAGTGAAACAGACTATTGGAGAAATCTCAGAGAGGGATGAGCTTGGAAAACTGACCCCATAGTATTGTTGGTGAACTCCTGGAATCATGGCCAAGCCACACATGCATATATCTCACCCTAAACAGGAAACTGTAGATTTTGATAACTGGATTATAAGGTAGACCTCTGGCCAGATCCCAGACTGGCCACTGGGTAACAGATATGTGAGACAGATCCAAACAAAACAAGCGCTTTTAACGTTTCCCATATAATTTAAGTAAGACTTAGCAACTCATAATATAATAGTCAAAATGTACTGGATACAATTCAAAATTACTTGGCATAGAGACAGCTAGGAAAATTTTAATTCACATGGAAAAAGACAATCAACAGATGCCAATGCCAAGATAACACAGATGTTGGAATTATCTAACACAGACTTTGAAGCAGCTGTTATAAAAGTGTTCCGACAAGTAAGGGCAAATAGCCTCAAAAAGAATGAAAATGTAGAAAGTCTAAGCAATTAAATAAAAGACAGAAATAAGAACCAAATAAAGATTTTAGAACTAAAAATACATTAACCAAAATTGAAAACTTACCTGATGGCACAATAGCAGAATAGAGATGACAGAGAAAGTGAACTTGAAGATAGATACAATTCTTCAATCTGAACAGATAAAAATATTATTAAACACAGAAAAAGAGCAAAGCCTCAGAGAACTGTAGTTGAAAAAAATCATACTACCCAATTTTAAGACTTATTCTAGAGTTTCAGCATAAAGACAATGTAGTATTTATGAAGGAATAGGCCAATTAAACAGAATAGAGAATTTAGAAATAGACACACACACATGAACATAGCTTATTTGTCCTTGACAAAGATGTGAAGGAAAATCATTGGAAAAAGCATGGTCTCTTGGTGTGGGACATCCATATGAAAGAAAGACCTTAGATCTAAAACTCATATATAATTCAAAAATTAACTCAAAATAGATAATACATCTAATAAGTGTAAAACATAAATCAATATAAACTTTTGAAAGAAGTTATGAGAAATCTCTATGTCCTAGGCTTAGGCAAAGCGCTCTTATACATGATACCAAACACAGATCCATTTAAAAAACTGACAAATTAGGATTCATAAAAATTAAAAACCTTTGCTCTGAGAAAAAGTTAAAAGAATAAAAAGACAAGCTACAAACTGGGAGAAAATATTTGCAAATTACATATCCAATAAATGGCTTTTGTCAAGAATATATAAAGAACTCTCAAAACTCAACAGTAAGAAAACAAGGCCAGGTGCAGTGGGTCATGCCTGTAATCCCAGCACTTTGGGAGGCTGAGGTGGGTGGATGGCTTGAGCATAGGAGTTCAAGACCAGCTTGAGCAATGTGGTGAAACCCTGTCTGTACAAAAAATTGCAGGGTGTGGTGGTGTGCACCTGTAGTCCTAGCTACTCAGGAGGCTGAGGTGGGAGGATCACATGAGCCCAGGAGGTCAAGGCTGCACTGAGCCCTGATTGCACCATTGCACTCCTTCCTGGGTGACAGAGTAAGACCCTGCTTAAAACAAAACAAAACAAACAAACAAACAAACAAAATTAAAAGTGGGCCCAAGAATTGAACAGACATTTTGTGAAAGAAAAAAATGTGGATGGTAAATAAGCATATGAAAATATATTTAACATCACTGGCCATCAGGGAGGGAAATGCATATTAAATCATGGCATATCTGTTACAAAGACTAAAATAAAATGAATAAAAACCGACAATATCAAGTGCACTGAGGTTGTAGAGAAACTGGAATACAAAATGGTACAGGTACTCTGGAAAACTGTTTAGTAATTCCTTATTAAGTTAAACTTACAATATGACCCAGCAATCCCACTCTTAGGTAACTGCCCAAGTTAACCGAAAACTTATGTTTACTCAAATACATGTACATGAATATTTATGGAGGTATTGTTTGTAATCAGCAATAACTGGAAACAACCCAAATGTTCTTCAATGAGTGAATGGATAAATAAATCGTGATACATTTATATATATCTCTAAAATGAAAAGGAAAAGAAAATGAATGCACACAACAACGTGGGTGAATTTCAGAGGCATTGTGCTTAGTGAAAAAAAGCCAATCTTAAAAGGCTACATACTGAGTAATTTCATTTATGTGACATTCTCAAAAAGTAAACGGCCGGGTGCAGTGGCTCACATCTGTAATCCCAGCACTTTGAGAGGCTAAGGTGGGCAGTTCACGAGATCAGGAGTTTGAGGCCAGCCTGGCCAACATGGTAAAACCCCATCTCTACTAAAAACACAAAAATTAGCTGGTCGTGGTGGTGGGCACCTGTAATCCCAGCTATGTGGGAGGCTGAGGCAGGAGAATCATTTGAATCTGGGAGGTGGAGATTGCAGTGAGCCGAGATCACGCCATTGCATTCCAGCCTGGGCAACAAGAGCACAAAGCAAAACTCCATCTTAAAAAACAAAAAAAAAAAAGAAAGAAAGAAAGAAAGAAAACAGTACAGTGAGACAGAACATATCAGTGGTTGCTAGGGATTAGAGGCTGCCCCAGCCTCCTGAGTAGCTGGGATTACAGGCACCCGCCACCACGCCCACTACAGTTAGACAGAACGTATCAGTGTTAGAGGTGGGAGGATGTAACTATGTAAGGAAAATATGGAGAGGTTTTTGGGGTTTTGGGATTTTTCTGTATCCTGTAGTCTTTACTTACTTTCAGCAGTCAGGTTAAGTCAGCTTCTGATAATTCCATAATCAGAGCTTATTATAATAGTGGTAAAACAGAGAGTTTATTTTCTTATCTTCCAAAAATTAAATAAAATAGAGAGAGACTCAGGGGCCCCAAGAAAAATAACCTTTATTGAGTGAATACTGTCAATGATAGCTTAGAACAGTGCCAGCAAACTATAGTCCTCAAGCCAAATCTTGCATACCACCTCTTTTTGTATGGCCAATGAGCTAAAAATGGCTTTTATGCATTCAAAAAGTAGACAAAAATCAAAACAAAAACGTTCTATGACACATGGTAAGTATATGACATTCAAATTTCAGTGTCCATAGATAAAGGTTTACTGGAACATAGCTGTGTTCATTTAGTTTTGTATTATCTATGGCTACTTTTAAGCTATTATGGCAGAGTTGAATAGTTGTGACAGAGACTATATGGCCCACAAAGCCTATACTTCTACTATCTGGTCCTTTATGAAAAAGTTCACCAGCCAGGTGTGGTGTCTCACGCCTGTAATCCCAGCACTTTGGGAGGCCGAGGCAGGAGGATCACCTGAAGTCGGGAGTTCGAGACCAGCCTGACCAATATAGAGAAACCCTGTCTCTACTAAAAATACAAAATTAGCCGGGCATGGTGGTGCATGCCTGTAATCCCAGCTACTCGGGAGGCTGAGGCAGGAGAAGCGCTTGAACCCGGGAGGCAGAGGTTGCAGTGAGCCGAGATCCTGCCATTGCACTCCAGCCTGGGCAACAAGAGTGAACTTGGTCTCAAAAAAAAAAAAAAAAAAAAGAAAAAGAAAAAGTTTGCCAACCCCTGTTTTAATGTTCCTTAGATAACTTGCTTATTTTTATTTATTTAATAATATCAGAACACTAAGTAGATTAAGATTTACCTATGCTTTGGCTGGGTGCAGTGGTGCACACCTATAATCCCAGCACTTTTCGTGGATCACCTGATGTCAGGAGTTTGAGACCGGTCTGACCAACATGGTGAAATTCCGTCTCTACTAAATACAAAAAATTACCCGGGGATAGTGGCGCATGCTGTAATCTCAGCTGCTTAGAGGGCTGAGGCAGGACAATCGCTTGACCCCAGGAGGCGGATGTATCAGTGAGCCGAGATCATGCCATTGCACTACAGCCTGGGCAACAGGAGAGAAGCGAAACTCCGTCTCAGAAAAAAAAAAAAAAAAAAAAAAAAGATTTACCTATGCTTTGACTCCATCAATAACTTTTGACAGATTTTTTTGAAAAATATTTTTTCTTTATAAACGAGTTTTACTTTAACATCGATGGTATTTCAGAAAGTGTCTTTCTTTCAACCCTGTTTAAGATATTGAATCTGGCCGGGCGCGGTGGCTCACGCCTGTAATCCCAGCACTTTAGGGAGGCCGAGGCGGGCGGATCACTAGGTCAAGAGATCGAGAACATCCTGGCTAACAGGGTGAAACCCCGTCTCTACTAAAAATACAAAAAATTAGCCGGGCGAGGTGGCGGGGCGCCTGTAGTCCCAGCTACTCCGGAGACTGAGGCAGGAGAATGGCGTGAACCCCGGAGGGCGGAGCCTGCAGTGAGCCGAGATCGCGCCACTGCACTCCAGCCTGGGCGACAGCGAGACTCCGTCTCAAAAAAAAAAAAAAGAAAAAAAAAAAAAGATATTGAATCTGATATTCAATCAAGGAAAGGAAGTTAAAAAGTGTCCTCTCGGTGACACCAAAAAAAATGGAGAATCTATGACCATTTTCATGATCTGTGGACTGCTTGGGAATCTGTGTATTGAGGGTTAATTATAGCATTTCATTCCTGGGTGATGGGTTGTGAAACCAAAAGTTATCAGAGATAAACACTGAAGATTGTGATTTACTTGTTCATGAGCGTACCATAAAATCCTCAGTTAAATAACATTTTATGACTATGGCCTGCAAGTTTTAAAATATAGCCTTTTGATTACTTCATAGTTGTAAAGGCTGACTTTCTTTTTTGCTATGTGGCAGTGAGTAATTTATAACGTCTGTTAAGTGAACGGTGTTTACCAAGTGCTATCAAACAAGATAAAGATATATTTCACTGTGTCTTTATAGCAATGTAGATAGCTAGAGAAAATATATTCACTACCTATGATTTCACTAGGTGACATTAGATTCCATGAAGTGCAAATCTGAAACCATTTTATTAGTGTCCTACCTCTATTTATTTCTGGCTTAGTGTGTATTATAAGGCCATTTTGGACCTCTTCTTTGAAAGAAAAAAAAGCGATGTCTCAAAACGCGGTTTCCTTTAAGTGCAGCTTAAATGACTGTATTTCATGCATTGTGAAACGTATTTGCCAATCACATGTGATGTATTGAATCATGCCATGGCTAATGTTTACAATGTAAAGGATTATATAAAATAATAACTTGCATAATAACATATATTCATTGGTTTATAAGGAAATGTAATAGTAGATAGGGAATGTATTGCAAAATATAAAAATATCAATTATCATTTATAGTTTCCTAAACATGCTTGTACACATCTCACTTGATTACAACAGCACAATATGAAATATACAAGGCAGGTATAATCATCTTAATCTTGGCCGGGCACTGTGGCTTACGTCTGTAATCCCAGCACTTTGGGAGGCCGAGGCGGGTGGATCATGAGGTCAGGAGTTCAAGACCAGCCTGGACAACATGGTGAAACCCTGTCTCTATTAAAAATACAAAAAACAATTAGCCGGGCATGGTGGCGGGTGCCTGTAATCCCAGCTACTCGTGAGGCTGAGGCAGGAGAATGGCTTGATCCCAGGAGGTGGAGGTTGCGCTGATAGTGCCACTGTACTCCAGCCTGGGCAACAGAGTAAGACTCCGTCTCAAAAAAAAAAAAAAAAAAAAAAAAATCTTAATCTTACAAAGGAGGGAATGAGGTTCCAACAGACTCAGAAGCTTCCCCAATGACAGTTTATAAGTGGTGGGTTGAGGATTAGAACGTGTCCTCTAATTCCCAATTCAGAGATAGTTCTGCTACATTATGTGTGCTACCTTATTCCTTATTAAGAAAAAGATTCTTTTGTCCTGTAAATGGTAATCTTCTTTCTAATCCAACACCTGACTTCTATATATTAAAAGTCAGAAGTGTAAATATTTTACCTAAGTGTTGCTATTCTCTTCATCCCTATTCTACTAGATCTCTAGATCTCAGCTACATAATGGAGTTGACGTATATATAATTTCATGTGTCAATTTGATAGAGGTATTAAAAGTGTTCTATGGAGAGTGAATACATGCATCCACCATTGTGGTATTAGAACAAATTGCTTTGGGAGGTTTTGTTCATGCTGTGTGGTTAGAACTGTTTCTATATTGATCTTTTTTTCAGCAGTGCTACACCTCATACAGCCTAAACACCACTAAAGTTTCGTTTAACACCAGAAGCAGATAGGTTTTCACAACTGACTCATCTAATTAACCTCATAGAATTTTGAAGTGGCGAAATCTAATTTATCACCCCAGATCTGCAAATATAAGATAAATTGGTGGCATTTATAACCTCAGATATATATTACTTTAACATTTGTTTTAAAACATACCAGTTGCACTGTTGGTGCATAAAACCAACCATTATCTCCCTCCACTATTTCCACGAGGCCAAATTTATTTTCTTTTTTTTTTTTTTTGAGACAGTCTCGCTGTGTCACCCAGGCTGGAATGCAGTGGTGTGATCTTGGCTCACTGCAAGCTTCACCTCCCGGGTTCAAGCGATTCTCCTGCCTTGGCCTCCCGAGTAGCTGGGATTACAGGCACGCACCACCACACCCTGCTAATTTTTGTATTTTTAGTAGAGGAGGGGTTTCATCATGTTGGTCAGGCTGGTCTTGAACTCCTGACTCTGTGATCGCCCACCTTGGCCTCCCAAAGTGCTAGGATTATAGGCATAAGCCACCACGCCCAGCCCCATGAGGCCAAATTTCTGATCCTGGGCGTGTTCATCAGTGCCTATGGCTATCAGTGCTCACGGGTGAGGTATGCGTGTTACGGAGAATCTTTATACTCAGAATTCTCTAAAACTATGCTTTCCAAATTCTCTCTCTGTTGGCTTTTGTATTTGTGTTTTTTTCTCATTCTTCTTTCATCTATCTTTCTTTGCTCTGTGGCAGCAGTCCCTAACCTTTTTGGTACGAGGGACCGGTTTAGTGGAAGACAAGTTTTCCACAGACAGAGGGGTTGTGGGGGATGATTTTGGGATGAGACTGTCCTACCTCAGATCATCAGGCATTAGTTAGATTCTCATAAGGAGCACACAGCCTAGATCTCTTGCATGCACAATTCTCAATCCGGTTCCTGCTTCTATGAGAATGTAATGCCATCACTGACCTGATGGGAGGCAGGGCTCAGGTAGTAATGCTCACCCACCTGCCACTCACCTCCTGCTGTGCAGCCCACTTCCTTTCCCCCAGGGGTTGGGGACCCCCGATTTATGGGACCCTGACTACTTCAGTGGACACTCCTCTTTTAATCCAGCTTATTATATGCTTGTTACATGAAGCTCCTACCAAGCATTTAGCAAAGTGGAGAACTTTGTTTTTGGATTTCCCTCTCTTTGTCTCACCATGCTCCATATATCTGGTTCCCACTTTGGCCTTCTCCCTATTATTCTTTGATTTAAACATATGTATTGAGCCTTTAACATGTGCCAGGTATTGTTTTGGGTTCTAGGGATGCATCAAAGGACAAAACAGAGAAAAACAAATGCACCCATTAGTGGAACTTGTATTCTAGTCAGGGATGGGTTTGGCAGAGTATGTTGGAAAGAAGGAGACGATAAATATCAAACAAAATCAGCAAATAAATTACGTAGCATATTAAATGAATTGAAGGGGCAGCCAAGAGCGGGGTGAGCATTCCAGACAGTGAAAACAGGTCCAAGGTCAAAACATGCCTGGCATAAGAGCAAAAAGGAAATTCTCATGGATTAGAGGTCAAACCTGAGAAAAAGAGAGATGCCCTTTGCCCTGAGCAGTTGGAAGAATGGAGTTGCCATCAGCTGGGCTGGGAAAAGCTGTGAGCAGAATAACATTGGTGGAGGGATATAAAAAATTCAGTTTTAGAAATGCAAGGTTTGAATGATCTGTTAGATATTCAAGTGGAGATGTTGAGAGAGCATTTGCATACATGAGTTTTCAGTCCAAGAGAAAGGCCAATTCTGAAAATGTCAGCTTATGTGTTGCATTTAAAGCCATAAGAGTGGTTCATGTCTCTTAGGGAGTACAAATGAAAAAGATGACCCAAAACTGAGCCTTCAGGCACTTCATTGCTAGGAGATTTGGAGGAGGGGAAAAATCAGCAAAGAAGACTGAGAAGGAAAGCTGGGTACTGTGGCTCACACCTGTAATCCCAGCATTTGGGAGACAGAGGCGGGCAGATCATCTGAGGTTGGGAGATCAAGATCAGCCTGATCAACATGGAGAAGCCCTGTCTCTACTAAAAATTCAAAATTAGCCGGGTGTGGTGGCACATGCCTGTAATCCCAGCTACTTGGGAGGCTGAGGCAGGAGAATTGCTTGAACCTGGGAGGTGGAGGTTGCAGTGAGCCGAGATCGCTCCACTGCACTCCAGCTTGGGCAACAGAGCAAGACTCCATCTCAAAAAAAAAAAAAAAAATTAATTAATTAAAAGAGAAGACTGAGAAGGAAAAGAAATGATGTAGTTAAGAGTTTGTAGTTCTTAATGCCAAGAGAAGAAAGTGATCAAATGTATCAAATTCTGCTGATAGATCAATCATAGATCTTTCCTTCTTTAATTTCCTATATGCTAAAGTATGAGTTTTTTATTTAAATTTGACTATATATGAATATGAAATAGCTACACAAAATAGACATTCATGTTTTTAAAATCCATGAGCTATTTAATATTTGAAGACTTCTCAATCATATCTCTATCTAAGTTTATTTTTCCTGTTAGTAAAAACAGAGAAAAAAGTAACTTGGTAAGACTATGTCCACCCTCATGGGAGAACATAAACATGATTGCTATTTATTTGTTTACTTATTTTGAGATGGAGTCTTGCTCTGTTGCCCAGGCTGGAGTGCAGTGGAACAATCTCAGCTCACTGCAACCTCCGCCTCCTGGGTTCAAACAATTCTCCTGCCTCAGCCTCCTGAGTAGCTGGGATTGCAGGTGCCCACGACCACGCCCGGCTAATTTTTGTATTTTTAGTAGAGATGGAGTTTCACCATGTTGGCCAGGCTGGTTTCGAACTCCTGACCTCAGGTGACCCACCTGCCTTGGCCTTCCAAAGTGCTAGGATTACAGGCGTGAACCACCGTGCCTGGCCATGATTGCTATTTATAATAAAATAATATTCTAAGAGACCAAGTTTTCCCCTTCAAATTCCAAGTACCTTTGATTCTGAGCTGCCTTCTCCCTTGAGTTCCTCTTCCCCAATTTAGTCATTGGTGCTCATGCCTAAGGGAAAATATAATACAGTTTTTAAGCTGCAAGAACATGTTTTGGAAACTTTGAAACACTCAGTATATAAAGCTTATGCTATAAAAAATAGATTTCAGATTAGCTGAAAATTCTTGTGACTGTCATAGGGATGGGAAAGTGACGGAAGTAAATCGGAAAGCAAAGAAGGGAAGTACAACTATGGTGGGTCTCAGAAAGGAGCCTAAGCTCTGCCCCATTGTTAGAGTCTAAAAAAGGGGAGATGAAAGGTTTGAGTACTGTTGGAGATGTTTGGATATCCAAAGGCAAAGCCTACCCAGGCTATCCTTTCAAAGGTGCAGTATATGAGGCTATTTGTGGGCATCTAGAAAAAAGGGCCATAGATAGCCCCAGCAGCTTTTCTCCAACTCCTGAATTTATCATGTGGATGAGAGAGGGGCAAGCCAACAGCTGAAAGGAAAAGCTAGACCAGAGAAGCCCCTGTGCACAGGTTGAGAAGGCCCCTCATCCCCTTGCCCATCTAAGTTTATGCAATGATATTGTGCATCTTCCTAAACATCAACCCCATTTTTCAAGTTGCACTGGGCAAAAACTATCCAATGCAATGAAAGGGAGAGAGATTTCATTATTGCTCCCTTTCTCTCACACCCCACATCCAATTCTGGGAAATCTAGTACTGCTCCACCTTTGAAAAGTTTTTAGAATTCAGCTACCTCTTACCAGCTCCATGCTACTGCCTCAGAACAAGTCTCTATCCTCATCCTCTTCCATGCCTTATTGCCATGACCTCCGTATTGCTTCCTCTTTTATTGCCCTGCACATAGCACCCAGAGTGATCCTTCTGAATAGCGCTCCTGTACTCTGAACCCTTCCGTCACGTAACAGCCCACAAGGTGCCATGCATCCATGCATTAAGGCCCCGTACTGTCTTTCTTATCTTCTCTCCTTCCAGCCTCTCCTTCAACCTGTCTCCTCCAGTCAGTCCCGCTGGTTTTCTTCCTGCCTCCGGAACGTGCCACATCTGTGGAGACCTTTCACTTATAGTCCCTCTTCTTGGAATGCTTTTTACCTGTATTTATTCATGACAAGTTTTCTCACTTTACTCACTTTTCTGCTCAAATATGACCTTATAAAAGAGGGCCTTTGGACCCACTTGTTTTTTTTGTTTTTTTTTTTCTCTTTTTAAGACAGAGTTTCACTCTTGTTGCCCAGGCTGGAGTACAGTGGCACTATCTCGGCTCACCGCAACCTCTGCCTCCCAGGTTCAAGCGATTCTCCTGCCTCAGCCTCCCAAGTAGCTGGGATTACAGGCATGTGCCACCAGGCCCGGCTAATTTTGTATTTTTAGTAGATACGGGGTTTCTCCATGTTGGTCAGGCTGGTTTCAAACTCCCGACCTCAGGCAATCCACCTGCCTCAGCCTCCCAAAGTGCTGGGATTACAGGCGTAAGCCACTGCGCCCAACCTTGGCCACAGTCTCTCATCTCTCCCTCTTTCTTTTATTTTGCTTTATTTTTCTTCTTAGCATTCACTGTTTGGATAAGATATATGTACTTATTTATTGTCTGTCTTCTCTTACTAGAATGTAAGTTTGACAAAAGCAGTCTGTTTACTACTATGCCAGTGACACAGTAGCCCTTCAATAAATATTTGTTGAATGACTAAATGAATGAATGAATGAATGAATTTGCATACTTGTCAGGGGCTTTGATACTCTGGCCCCTAGTATTACCTATTCTTAAATAAACTGTGAAATAGTCTTAGTCTGCGTCCTCTCCAAAGCAGAGCCTCAGATAAAGACTATGTGTGGATAACTTACTTAGAATGTGATCTTAGGCGTGGGAGTGAGGGTTGAGGGAATTAAGCAGTGAAAGCCAATCTAAAGGCAATTTAACCATTGCTACAGCAGCATATGGTGCAATCACACAGGATCGTCTAAGTAGGATCCTCTTCTTGGCTAGCCAAGGGTGGTCCTCTGGGGCATTAACTCCTCTGCACTCTGGGTTCATTACATATGAGTGTCAAGAGAGTAACCACTAGAGTGTCACATGATGACAACAGAGAAGTGCTAAGGTCAGAAGCCAAAAGTGCATGTGTAGGCCAAGGTGAGGTGCTGTCAAAATAGAGCACAAAAGTTGCTCAAAGCCTGTGCAGAACTATACTAATGGCTGGAATAAGGCCAAGAGGATTTAAAGTGATGCACAAGAGGCATGCAATGCAGTCCATTCTCTCAGATTTACTCAGAGAGTACATTATGTCCTCTTCAATTGGTGGTTGGCCACAATATCTGCAGAAATTTAACATAAGTGAAACAACTATAGTCTCTGCTCCTTCACTCCCATTCTAGATTTTCTTTATTTTTAACCAGTTCTCTGACTGATCTAAGTTGTTCGTTTGTTGGATTAATGCAGAGCCTCACCCCTGAGGTTTTGAGGACTTAGCTGCCTTGGTCTGGTCAGGCTGTGATTACTAAAGTTGCCCAGGCACTATTGTCACGAGATATATGTCCTATAACAGCATCTTTGCTGCCTTCTACTACATCTTAAAACCAATGCCATACAGTTCAGGTTTTGTTTCATCAACACCCTACTTGTAGGTACCACTTATTATATCACCCAAATTTTGTAACATTTACAGACAACTGCAGATTTTCAGTGGCATGCAGCAACTAGCATTTATTTCTCTCTTTTTTTTTTTTTTTGAGACGGAGTCTCACTCTATCACCCAGGCTAGAGTGCATTGGTGCAATCTCGGCTCACTGCAACCTCCGCCTCCTGGGTTCAAGCGATTCTCCTGCCTCAGCCTCCCAAGTAGCTGGGATTACAGGCACCCACCACCACGCCCAGCTAATTTTTGTATTTTTAGTAGAGATGGGGTTTCACCATGTTGGTCAGGCTGGTCTTGAACTCCTGACCTCATGATCCGCCCCCCTTGGCCTCCCAAAATGCTGGGATTACAGGTGTGAGCCACTGCACATGGCCAACTAGCATTTATTTCTCACTTTCACTTCTTTGGATCCACTGGGGGCAATTCTGCTCCATATGTCTTATTCTGGCTCCTGGGTTGAAAGGATAGCAGTTAAGTGGGGTATGTTTTTTTCTTATGAGAATGGCTGAAGCACAAGAAAGCACCTTTCAAATTTCTGTTTGTCTCATGTGTGCTAATATCCCACTGGCCAAATGGAATCATGGTGTCCTAGTTGAAAATCAAGCATGGGAAAGTATAGTCTTCCTGCTCTGAGGAGCGGGATTGGTGTGGATATACAATTCTATAGAAAGAAAGCAAAGAATTGAGACCAATCCACCACAGGAAGTAAAACAGGAAAGGAGAGAAAGCCAGTATAGAACACAGAAAATCATGTGTTCCTAAATTGGCTACTGTTGAAGCAGCGTCATTTGTCTGAGGTAATACATGAGGTTTGTTTTCCCACATACCAGGAGTGAAGTTAAGAGTAGAGGTTTCACGGGTGAAAGAAAGAGAGAAGCTCTCTGCTGCAGAGAGAGGGGTCCTGAGCAGGTCTTCCGGTCCATGGCAAAGAGCAGGAGGTTTTATAAATGAGCTTGAGGAGGCGGTGTCTGATTTCCACAGGGCAGGAAAGATTGTTAGACCAGGTGTACCATTTGCATAGTGCGTGAAGAACTGGTTAGGACTAGATGTCCCCTTTGCATAGTGTGTGAAGAAGCTGGCCACCCCACTCTAATCTTTTATTATGCATATGGGTTTTCTACCTGGCTGGTACCATGTTGTCTGTTCCTTTACTGTACACATGGTGGCAAAGAAAAGGGAAGATGGGGCTGGGCACAGGGATTCACGTCTGTAATCCCAGCACTTTGTGAAGCCAAGGCAGGTGGGTCACCTGAGGTCAGGAGTTCGAGACCAGCCTGGCCAACATGGCAAAACCCCGTCTCTACTAAAAAAAAAAATACAAAAAATAGCCAGGCATGGTGGCGGGCACCTGTAATCCCACCTACTTGGGAGGCTGAGGCAGGAGAATCACTTGAACCTGGGAGGCGGAGATTGCAGTGAACCGAGATAGTGCCATTGCACTCCAGCCTGGGCATCAACAGCAAAGCTCCATCTCAAAAAAAAAAAAAAAAAGGGAAGATGGAACCTCCATGTTGAACATGCCTGGGCCTCAGGTAGTCCTTTTCTATTGCCACAGCTGCCAGCATTCACCCATGCGAGCTTCCAGCTTGCTTAACTATGTCTGCAGCTAAATCTTTTTCAGGCTGCTCTTTGATAGAAAACAAATGATTTTGGGGGCTGCTCTTCCTTAAGCTGGAAGCTCTGCCGGGACTCTCTTACCCTCACTATCTACCTAAATAATTTCTTTCTGTCTCCTGTATCACTGCTACATGTAACCGATATGAAATTCTGAGGGACTTCCTGAGAAGTTTTAGGAAAGTTGCCTTAGAAGTGTTTGTCTAGGGGAAAGAGGAAACGTCCCTCCATAGTTACTTCTATTCAGCAGTACATATGTGAGTGCTGAGTAGGTTCCTGGGGGTGCTCCATGCTGAAATGTCACAGAAGCCATTGGGCAGGCAGAAAGTCAGAGGCTGGCAGCACACTCCTGAAACAATGCACTGTCAGTTTTCACCGGTGCAATGTGGAAGACAGGGTGGAACTACTCAAGCCAAGAGGATTGGAAATGCACAGGGTACAGCTACTATCACATCTCCCACTTTGGTATTTACTTTAATACTTGCATTCATTCTTCCTGAACCTGCAGTGCCACACACCAGTGGACATTTAATTCTGGCTCTCATTTTAGTAAAATCTCACTCTCAATGATGCCTTAATTTAATATATTTAATATTGATTGATTGAGGCTTTGAATGTTATCACACAGACATTTGTTTTTCAAGAAGGGGAACATTGAGATTTGCACTTCTGACCAAGATAGAATAACAGGAATTGGGATTTATCCTCCTGCATGAAACAACTAAAAAACCAGCCAACGGGAGGCTGAGGCAGGAGAATGGTGTGAACCTGGGAGGCAGAGCTTGCACTCCAGCCTGGGCAACAGAGCAAGACTCTGTCTCAAACAAACAAACAAACAAACAACAACAAAAAAAAACAAAAACCAACAACAAACAAAAAACAAAACAAAAAAACACCAGCCAAATATATCAGACCACATTTTGCAGGACGTTGGACATCCAATAACAGAGAAAAGTGATCTGCTAGAGACAGGAAACAAATGAGAGAAACCTTATAATTGCCCCAGCTCACGGCCTAGAGAGTATACAGGACATAGCATAGGACAGAGGAACGCAGATAGAGCCTGGTAGTCTCAGGGATTTGAAGAGACAGAGCTGGGAGCACAGGGAGGTCAAAGCAGGTAAGAGATTGCAGGTCAGAGTACTTGGGAAAAGAGCACTGCACAGAAAAAGATAGCTCTGGAGATCTGCCTAAGGTCAGTCTTGAGTCTTCAGCTGAGTACAAATCTGTGCACACCAGGGAGAGGACCATCTTGAAAGGATTAGAGAGAACAACCTCTGGTGCTCACAAGGGGCAGGGCATATAATTCTTGTTGCCACCAGCCAGAGCAGAAAATCTCATAATTCATGGGGTTCCATGGTTGAGTATTTAGAACAGTTTTGTCTTAGTGGTGGGGCAAAAATTGACCTGATTTATCTGGTTCTGCCCAACAAATCTTAAAAGCAAAACCTGAAAGGATTAAATTGTTTCTAAGTATTTTAACTGAATCCCAGAACAAAGCTCAAAAATATTTATGGGAATATAAATGTTTTCTAACATCTAAAAGAGTAAAATTTACAATTTATGGTGTCCAATAAAAAAAATCACCAGCCAAGCCGGGCACAGTGGCTCACGCCTTTAATCCCAGCACTTTAGGAGGCTGAGGCAGGCAGATCACCTGAGGTCAGGAGTTCGAGACCAGCCTGGCCAACATGGTGAAACCCTGTCTCTACTAAAAATACAAAAATTAGCCAGGCATGGTGGCGTGTGTCTGCAATCCCAGCTACTTGGGAGGCTGAGGCATGAGAATCACTTGAACCTGGGAGGCGGAGGTTGCAGTGAGCCGAGAACACGCCACTGCAGTCCAGCCTGGGCGACAAGAGTGAAACTCCGTCTCAAAAAAAAAAAAAAAAAAAAAAAAAAAGTCACCAGCCAAGCAAAGAAACAGAAAACTAGAACCAATAATGAAGAAAAAAAAAATCAATGAATCAAAACTGACTCAGACATGACACAGATGATAGACTTAATAGATAAGGGCATTAAAACAGTTGTTATAGCCAGGTGCGGTGGCTCACGCCTGTAATCCCAACACTTTGTGTGGCCAAGGAGGGCAGATCACGAGGTCAGGAGTTCGGGACCAGCCTGGCCAATATGGTGAAACCACATCTCTACTAAAAATACAAAAATTAGCCGGGTATGGTGGTGCACATGTAAACCCAGCTACTTGGGAGGGTGAGGCAGGAGAATCGCTTGAACCTGGAGGGCAGAGGTTGCAATGAGCTGAGATCGTGCCATTGCACTCCAGCCTGGGCAATAGAGCAACTCTGTCTCAAAAATAAATAAATAAATAAATAAATAAATATAATATATAAAACAGTTATTATAGCTATGTTCCCTATGTTCAAAAGTTGTCATAAAAAATTCTAAATTGAAATTCTAGAGATGAAAACTAGAATGTATGAGATCAAAAATATACTGAATCAGATTAATGGAAGATAAATATTGCAGAGGGAAATGTTGGTGTATTTGAACAAATAACGATAAAGATGATTGAAAATGAAACAGGGAAAAAATAATTTTTTAAAAAGAGCCAAACATCGGTGAGTTGTGAAACAATTTAAAGCATCTGGCTCCTGCAGGGTGCATAGCTTCCCCAGTGCCCACCTTCTGCAGTGTAGATGGAGCCTCCTGCAGTGACCTCCTGAAGTGTGGCCAGCTTCTCTAATGGTGTATCTGGCTTCTGCAGTGTGTAGCTGTCAACAGCACTCGGGTGCCAGCAGCTTCTTCCAACTCCCCCTCAGCAGTTTTATAGGGGACTACCTCTACCAAGACAGCTCCCCATCAACAGCTTTCCCTAACAACCTGGAAAGGAGATTTTTAGCAAGTTTTGGATGGTAGATTTCTTTTCTTTCTTTTTTCTTTTTTTGAAACAGAGTCTCTCTTTGTCACCTAGGCTGGAGTGCAGTGGCAAAATCTAGGCTCACTGCAGCCTCAACCTCCTGAACTCAAGCTATCCTCCCATCTCAGCCTCTTAAATAGCTGGCATTAAAGGCGTGCACCACCAGGCGTATACCAGCTAATTTTTTTATTTTTTGTAGAAATGAGGTCTCACTGTGTTGCCCAGGCTGGTCTGGAACTCCCAGGCTTAAGCCATCATAATCTCTCAGCCTCCCAAACTGCTGGGATTACAGACCTGAACCACCGTGCCTAGCCTTGGATGGTAGATTTCTATCAACTTTTGTTGGCATGGTACCACAGTGGCTTTTCTGCCATTGGTAAACCACAACCATGCCCTGTCTAACAAGGTCTGGATCTTAGCTCCACAGTAGTTGTGAATCCTTATAGGAAACAGTTCTGCATTTCCTTTTTTTTTTTTTTTTTTTGACTTATTCACCTTGATCTGTCACCCAGGCTGGAGTGCAGTGCCATGATTTCAGCTCACTGAAACCTCTGCCTCCCAGGCTCAAGCGATCCTCCCACCTCAGCCTCCTGAATATCAGGAGTGCACCACCATGCCCGGTTGGTCGGTTGGTTGTATTTTTAGTACAGATGGGGTTTTACTATATCGGCCAGGATGGTTTTGAACTCCTGGCTTCATGTTATCTGCCTGCCTCGGCGGCCTCCTGGTGTGCTGGGATTACTGGCATGAGTCAGCCCACTGGGCCATTAATTATTCTTTGTGTTAAACTTTCCTGTTCAAATTTATTTGTGTCTCATTAAACTCTGACTAATATACTTCCTAACTCATTCTATGAGACTGTTATTACCCTGATATTAAATAAAATGAAGGCAACATAAGAAAAGTACAAAATTATGTCCTTCATAATTATAGATACAAAAATTATAAATAAAATTTTAAGAAATCAAATGCAATCTGTCAAAAAGGTAATATATTATGTCCAGTAGGGCTTATCCAAAGAATGCAAAATTGGTTCAATATTTAAATGTAATTGAACATTATATCAAACTAAAAATGAAAAATCGTATGATAATCTTAATACAGAAAAGACAATTTACTAAATCCACTATCTATTCCTGAAAAATACTCTCAGCAAACTAAAAGAAGCAAAATTCCTAAACCTAATAAAGGTCATCTATAAAACAAACAAATAAATAAAAAATAAATAAATGTAAAACAGTTATTATAGCTATGTTCCCTATGTTCAAAAGTTGTCATAAAAAATTCTAAATTGAAATTCTAGAGATGAAAACTCGAATGTATGAGCTAGTCTGCAGCTAATATCGTGCTTAATGATGAAAGATAATTTACCTCTGAAATCACTAACAAAACAAGAATGGCCACTTCAGCCTCTGGTCCAATATGGATAGAACCTGTGAGAACGGACCTGTGCATACTAGTGCACTCAGACTAGAAAAAGAAGTAAAAGGTATCTAGATGGGAAAGAAACAAATAAAACTGTTTTGTTTCTCAGACAACTTGATAATCTGATGGAATGTATTAAAAAATGACTAAAGCTAATAAGTGAGTTCAAAGGCTGGGTGTGGTGGCTCACTTCTGTGGTGCCAGCTCCAGCTTGAGCCGAGAGGATTGCTTGAACCCAGGTGTTTGAGGTTGCAGTGGGCTCTGATCATACCACTGCACTCCAGCCTGCATAACAGAACTAGACCCTGTCTCAGAAACGAACTACAACAGAAAAATGAGTCCAGCAAGATTGCAAGATACAAGACCGATATACAAAATCAATCATATTTCTACACACTAGTAGTGAATATCCAGAAATTGAAATAAAGAATACCATTTACACTAGCATCAAAGCATGAAATACTCAGGGATAAATCTGACAAAATATGTACAAGACCCAAACCCAGGATGCCACAAAGCATTTCTAAGAGAAATTAAGGAAGACCCACATAATGGAGAGCTCTATCATGTTCATGAGATGGAAGAATCAACATTGTTAAAATGTTAATCTCCCCAGATTAATCTATTGATTCAATGCAATGCCAGTCAAAATCCCAACAGTCTTCTTTGTAGGAATTGACAAACTGATTTAAAATTCATATAAAAATGCAAAGGATCTAGAACAGCCAGAACAGCACTGACAATGTCTTTATAGAAATGTAAATTACTTTCGGGGGTGGGGAGGAATTTCAGAAGGGCAGGAGGAAACTTTTTGGGGTGATGGATATGTTCATTCTCTTAATTGTAGTGATAGTTTCACAGATGTATACCTATGTCAAAACTTACCAGATTGTACACATAAATAGGTATAGTTTTAAAAATGTGTCAATTATACCTCAATAAATCTGTTTTAAAAAGGAAGGAGCACATTAAGAAATCTTTCACTGAGAAAGGTTTACGAGACAGAGGAATTTCTAATGATAGAACTTAGACACTAGGGTATACATATGGGGATATGTGGAGGATGGAGACAGACAGTTATCTCCATGTCTCTGAATTACAGATACCTTTTTATGGTTAACATTGATGCAGCTAGCCCTTTCCTACTATTATTGCTCTTCTCCAACCTTTTTCTTTCCATCTCTTCATTTGCATCCATGAAAGGAAAACATTTCTGAGCAGGCTTGTGATGGGTGAAAGATGTGAAGAATTGTTTTCTTGATAGGGACAACTATACTACTCCTTTCCTGTTCTTGAAAACCCACTGTGTATACACAAGTTATTTGGAACACAAGCCACTTTGGAGATTGACCCCATAAAGGGAAAGGATGAATGGATCATAACTAGGTTTCACAGGGGGCCTCAAACTAACTTATTTTCTTTTTCTTCCATCATCCCTCCATTGCTCTCTTTATTTATTCCATCCTTTTTTTCTTTTCTTTTTTCTTTTAATATGGCTTTGAAGGAAACAAAAACGGTTTACCCCAAAATAAACTTCTTTGACATATTTTGAGATGGCTGTTCAGAGAGCCTGCAAAGCTGTCTTTTGTGGGGGAGATTGGCGTCTGTAGAGAATCTGCAGTGATGCTTCCAGGCTTTCTGCAAGGGCCTCCCTTGTCTGGATCTAGGAAAGACTAACTGAGAGTCTGACCCTTAAAGGTCTGAAAGAAACATTTGCCATCTATTCTCTCTAAAGGCTGCTACCTGTGAGGTTTCATCTGTATAACAAGACCACTTTTGCTAGCCAGGCCTCCTCTTCTCCACCTCCCGTATCTGTCTTGCCACTATAATCTGATTTACCATCATAACCTGTTTTGGGCCATGCTCTGAGTTCCCATTCTTTATGTAACCTCAGGATGGTATATAAGCTTCTGTATCCCTTTGGGGGGCTTGGGATAACCACTCTGTGGTTTTTCTCATGCACGTTAATAAATTTGTGTGCCATGTCTCCTATTAATCTGCTTTTTGTGTATTGATTTTTCAGTGAACAATCTATGGCTTCATCATCTTTTCCTATCTAATCATTGAGAAATTGTTGATAGATTGGGGAATGAGATGGTACGAAGTTGAATATATGTACCTGTTTTCTAAATTACTTTTATATTTAAATGTATGCTTCGTTCATGGATAAAATCTTCTCAGCCAGAGGAAATTTAGAAATGCAGATATTCTTGAGTTGATAATGTTGGAGCTCAGAAATATACCCCAGAATATGGCACTTTGACATGCTGCACTTGTTCTTAGATCTCGTACAAGAATTCAAGGAAAGTCCATAGAGTAAAGTGAAAGCAAGTTTATTAGGAAAGTAAAGAAATAAAAGAATGGCTACTCCATAGACAGAGCAGCCCTGAGGGCTGCTGGTTGCCCATTTTAGTGCTTTTCTTGTCCTGTCTTTTCTTTTCTCTCCCCTTCCCTTTGCCCTTCCCCTTTCCCTTCCCCTTCCCCTTCCCTTCCCTTTCCTTTTCTGACAGAGTTTTGCTCTTGTCGCCCAGGCTGGAGTGTGATGGCATGATCGTGGCTCACTGCAACCTCCGCCTTCCAGGTTCAAGTGATTCTCCTACCTCCACCTCCTGAGTAGCTGGGACTATAGGCCTGCACCACTATGCCTGGCTAATTTTTTCTATTTTTAGTAGAGATGGAGGGGTTTGACCATGTTCGCCAGGCTAGTGTCGAACTCCTCTGAACTCAGGTGATCCACCCTCCTTGGCCTCCCAATGTGTTGGGATTACAGGCATGAGCCACTGCACCTGGTACTTATTTCTTGATTATATGCTAAATAAGGGGTGGATTGTTTATGCCTTTCCTTTTTAGACCATATTGGGTAAATTCCTGACATTGCCATGGCATTTGTTAATTGTCATGGCATTGGTGGGAGTGTAGCAGTGAGGATGACCAGAGGTCAGTCCTGTGGCTGTCTTGGTTTTGGTGGGTTTTAGCTGGCTTCTTTACTGCAATCTGTTTTATTAGCAAGGTCTTTATGATCTGTATCTCATGCTGACCTTTCATCTCATCCCATGACTTAGAATGCCCCAACCATCTAGGAATGCAGCCCATTAGGTCTCAGCCTGATTTTATTCAGCTCTGTTTAAGATGGAGTTGCTCTGTATCACATGCCTCTGACAAACTGAACAAGAAGCCACAAGGTCTCTGTGACCTTTTCTCGCAAACTTCCTGTCTCTCAATCTTCTGTCTGTCCCAAAGAACAGGATGAAGTTGTTCTCTGAAGTTTCTTATCTGCCTAAAATCTGTACCTGCCAAAGAAGAAGACAATTACCTCTAGCCTCTTCCCTACGTTTTCATTAACTGACCTCATATTACAGGAAGGATGACCGAAGTCTGTCAACAAACCTGGACAGACATTTGTCACAAATCATTGCCCTCTCTGTGGCCCCAACAGACTTTGTCACAGGCTGTTGTATCTTCTTCAAGCCTACTGAATTCCCCTAAATATCCTTTACTCTCTCCCTAAAATTATCCGCACTTCCCCTATCTTCCTTTTCCCTCAGAAGTTGGGTATATAAACCTGTGTGACCCATTGGGATTTTATATAATCACTCTGTGATTCTTTCCTGTACATGCTAATAGATTTGTGTGCCTTTTCTCTTATTAACCTACCTTTTGTGTGTTGATTTTTCCATGAACCTTCTGAGGGCTCTTTACTCCTACAATAAACTACAATAAGTACTCAAATAATGTGGAAGGAAGATATCATCTTTGCCTAAAATGACAAAGAATAATTAAAGCAGGCATTTTGAGGTTTCAAGGTCTAGATTTTTGCTTTTCCCATTTGGTTTAAAAGAAATACTCACTGCAACTAAAACCTTTTCTAACTCTTTTCTTTTGCCTAGATAAAAAAGAGAAAGTAAGTTTAGTTAAAAAAAAATTAATCAGAAAATGAATACTGACTTTAGTCTGAACATATTCCAGGGGATTTCAACTTGAAATTAACTTAAAATTCTATTACAGCATTAATATTGAGTATCTGCATAGCACTATATTGCTCAGAGCTTCATAAGCATCTGAGTTATGCCCTTTTATCACTTTTCAAATTCCATTTATTCATTATCAAGTTCCAAGAATCTTGTTTAGTGACTAATATTTCATTCTACCGGATGGTACTCTGGTACTGAGAAGAGAAAAAGTTTAGCTCCTTGAGCTATTTCTCCAGAGGAATATGGACTCTACTTCTATAGTTTACTGTGAAGAAGAAGCTGTATTTTTATGTTCATGTCACAGCTGTGCTAAGGCTTAAAGGAAGAATTTGGCAACATGCTGACTCACCAAAGAGATTTTACAGTAGACACTGGTTCGTAAGGACTATGTGCTCTGGTAAAATTAAATAGTAAACGGATGCTTAGCATTCCCAGTGCTTCTGCCATGGGCCTTCTACTTCATTCTGTATTAAGGGCAGGGAGGGTTGGGAATTATTTTAGGCCCTAAGCAGTTCCGTGAAGATGAAAGACATCATCACTAACATTATTCATGAAAAAATATGAAAGGTCATCTATCTCCCTTAAGGTTCATTTGGTGCACTTTTAATGAGTGATGGATGAACTGCAAAGGGTTTATTGCAGAGGGGCTGTGCCCTGTAAAAGTTTGGATGACTGTTGCTTCTCTGAAACTTATCCACACATTTTCCCCAGTTTCTCCCCGTCATGGATTTTCCAGCTGATGGCCTTCAGACTTTCTCATTTTCTTTCTTCTTTGGCACTTTGGAAATCTTACTTCCTTCAATGTTTTCTCTGCTAAGATATTTGTTTCCATACTTTTTTTTTTGATTGCCTGAGGTAAATGGAGCTTTCCTAGGGTTAAATCGATCCCAGTGACTTATTTCTTAGGCCAAGGTTAACTTTTCTTGATCTAGCCTTTTAACCAGTTTAGCTGAGTACTCTCCCCCATGTTCCATTCCTGCTTTCCTTCATTCCTTCTTCTATCTATGACCTCTACTCTGTTCTACCTAATGTTTCCTGCCTCAGCTCCACCTTCTTTGTTCCTCTACATTTCTAAACAATCTGGATTTACCTTCCTTTTCCAGTTTATTATCTGTTTACTTATGGAGGAAAAGAGATAGGCAGGGTAGAGTCTTACCTGGGACAGCCAAGAATTCTGCAAGGTCAAGTCACTGTAAAAAGAGGAGAATCTAAAAGCATAGAGAAACTCTCTTGGAGATGGGCAGGGCTTTGGCTTAAGGACCAAAAGCATGAGCTGGAACAACACAAGTGGGTGAGAATGGGAAAGGGCCAATCAGAGGAAAGTGTCACAGGCTATCAAACTGTTGAGACTGAAAGAAAGGAATTGGGAATGGGATGCTCATTCAAAATAAATGGCATTTAGGAAAGAACGTGGTTCATCTCAAGCTATGAATGAGGTTAGGCTTGAGAGCGAAGGCAGTCTCATGGATAAAATCCAGACATGGGGATCTGGCTGTCAATCATCTGGGTCCCCAGGAGAGTCACTTAATTCAGGCATGCAGCTAATTGGGCTATATTAAATGACTCACCTGCTCATGGTGGGCAGTTTCTATAAGTTCATACTGGGTCTGGCAATGCCCAAGTGTCTGTAGGCAAGTGGGGCCAAGGCCACAGAATCTCTGGTTTCCCAGCTTTTGCTTAAACTCTTACACGTGTGGTAGGGTGCCAATATAGTAAGACCAAAGTAAACAACGCTCTACATGTTGGCATTTGGCAATGTGTACCATCTAGAAATCAAATACAGAGTCTATGAAACCAAATGAAGGAGGTCAAACTTACCAGGAGAAAGTAGTCATGAAAATATATACTGAGATTAGATATTTCTAGAAGTGATTTAGAACTCAGCTCTTTTTTTTTTGAGTATATGCATAATTTTGTTCTTTTTAAGAAAAAGTGTCAACCAATTGCACACATAGCTACCCTTGCTTAATGCATCACTGTAAATATACACACACGTGTGTGTGCATTCTTGTGAGTATACTCATTTTTGTGTGGGCAGGCTCAGGCGTCATATGTGCAGTGGTGTGTGTATTATAGCAACAGAACAGCTGCTTTTCAGAACTCCCTTTCTTGATCAGTCACACTGGTGACAGATTTCTGTGATCCTTCTTAGGGAAACATTTGAGTTTGCCTGCCTACCCTGCCAGGCTCCCTAAGCTGCTCTAGTTATTCTTGTTGCCAGTCCAGGTTTACCTCCTAGCACTTCACAGTCTAGGTCCTAATTTTCTAGTGCTGATTCAAAGTCAAAGTGAGTACCTAGAAGAGCGGGCACATCTAGTGCAAGACTATCCTCAACAAAACTGTAACAGGGAATCTATCTGTGTTCAGTGTTGCTCCCCTGAACACCGTGCTCTTCACTCAGCCTTCACACCCCTCACATGGTATTCTATTTAAAAAAATAATAATAATGTGAATTTAGAGATGGGGTTTAGCTATGTTGCCCAGGCTAGAGTGCTGAGGTTATTCACAGGTACAATCATCCTGCACTACAGCCTCGAACTCCTAGACTCAAGCAATCCTCCTGCTACTTAGTCTCCTAAGTAGCTGGGATTACAGGCATCTGCTACAGTATTCTTTTTTTTTTTTTTTTTTTTTTTTTTTTTTTTTTTTTTTGAGACAGAATCTCACTCTGTTGCCCAAGCTGGAGTGCAGTGGCATGATCTTGGCTCACTGCAAACTCTGCCTCCTGGATTCAAGTGATTCTCCTGTCTCAGCCTCCCGAGTAGCTGGGACTACAGGCGCGCACCACCACGCCCAGCTAATTTTTGTATTTTTAGTAGAGACTGGGTTTCACCATGTTGGCCAGGATGGTCTCCATCTCTTGACCTCATGATCGGCCTACCTTGGCCTCCCAAAGCGCTGGGATTACAAGTGTGAGCCATGGCGCCCAGCCCAGTCATAGTATTCTTGTTGTTTCTCTTTCTTCTCTTCTTTCTCCCTTCCTCCTTTCCTTCCTACCTTTTTTCCTTCCTTTCTTCTTTCTCCCTTCTCTCTTTCCTTTCTCTCTCTTTCTGTTTTATCTCTCTCTCTGACATACACACACACGTGCATGCACACACACACGCATACACACACACGCGCGCGCACACACACACACACACACACACACCCTTCCCAGTTCAGGGCTCTCAGGGCTTTGATTTCTGCCAGGTGGTCTTAGGAAACTCTTTAGTGTAGGTATTCACTGACCTTGCAAAGGGCATATGGATACCAACAGGTTGATAGATACTAACAGATTAAACATTTTCCTTCCTGGGTAATATATTTGCATAACCATAGATGCCTATCTTAACCAAAGACTGGCTCAAAGATTTCAAAGTTTGTTTCAACTTAGAAACAAACAAACAAACCAAAAAATCTGATGCTTAAGTGTGTAAGGGGTGGGGAGAGCAAATATTTGAGGAAGACAAACCTTTGAGGGCCTACAGCATCCCCCACAAAGGCCCAGTTGTCCATGATTGAAGTCAGCAGTGCAGAGACTCAGCTGATCAAAGAGAAGATGAGGCTGCTTTCGAACTATAAAGGAACCATGGCCCTCATCTGGTAAATCAGCATTGATCTGTCATGGTATCTCCTTGCAGTATAAATTGATAAGGGAGGATCATGCATTAAACCATCTGCTTCAAAAAGTTTAACTTTCTTTCTTAGGGGAGCAGTTCTAGGTTAGGATCATAATGGAGTATTAACTTGTTTTATGGTATATACCAGGATATTTTTCATTCTCCTTGCCAGAATAGGCAGCTGTCTTTACCAATAAATCTTGTGAAGTTTTCCACTTTTGGGAAATCATCTGATTCAAAGCAGAACTGTTCTTATAACTTCAGGAAACAAATTAAAAATCTGCTCTATTTTAAATACCCTTAGAGCAAAACATGTTGAAAAATCTTATTTAGTATTTCATGCCTAACATTATTTGCATTAAGAAGGCTCCTCCTAAAAGCTAACTCAAATCTTTTTGCAATAATTTAAGCCATTTTCTGGGCATGGCTGAAGTGAGAGTTAAAAACTTTCGTAAATCCCTTTTGCGGCTTGAAGGAAGCCAATATGTCTACAGAGAATTTAGGAGGATACAAGATGTCCTTAGAACCTTTCTGGTCCTGACATCTATTCATTTGGAACACTTTTCTTGTGATCTTTTGGGATTCTGGGTCTCCTTATAAATGACTTCTGAAGAAGGGACAGACAGCAATAGGGTAACAGAGAGCAAAGAGGCTCCGTACTATTTTTTGACTTTTCTGACCACTGTGAAATTGAGGATACATTGTTTTGGAAAAGAAATTCCTTGGGTGACTTCAGCTGTGTTAGTGGGGCAGGACTCCAATGAGTTCTCCACTGTAAAATAAGAGGGCTATGCTGGGTGGCTGATAAGATCTGGCCACTAGCTGCCGGTCCCCCAGCCATTTCCTGGCCTCTGCATTAACCTCAGCAATGCTTTTTCTGTAAATGCTTCCTCTACCGGGTTCCCCAGTCGGCTATGAACTCAGGCAGCTCAATTCAGGGGTTGTGTGAGGAGGCAGGCTTGCCTATGGGAGCCCAGCAGCAACCATAGAAGAACTGATTAGCTTTTAATAGCAGACCTCCGCCAGACAGGCAGGAGTCTAAAGAGTAAATAGAGGTGCTGGCCCTGGAATTTTTTTAAAGGCCCCAGAGGGATTTGTTCACCGGCGTTTGAATTTCTACAGAAAGGCTCTGTGAAGCTCTAAATTAAACCAAGCTGACCCCTTTCACAACCCAAGTTATTTACAGTTCACAGGTCTTTGGAGAGCTCTAGTTTGCATGCAGTTGAAAATGGGTCCCTGGTTGGCAAAGGTAGCCTACTGTGGTGCTATTTGCATTACACTACCTTGCTTTCCTTTGGTGTGGGAGAAAGCTCTGGAATGGAAGCCAAAAGATGTGGTCTAGTTGTAAACATGCCTTTGTTTTTCAGCAAAGGAATGGCGCCGGTAGAAATAACCAAAAAAGAGCCCGCTACTAGAAAGCAAATAACTGAGTTCTCTCTGTAATTAAATGCATTCCTCAGAATAATAACTAAGTAGTAGGAAGGAAACCAAGCAACACCCCCTCCCCACCACTGCAACTGATTTCCTTTGCAGCTTTAACAATCAGATCAGTCAAGAAGACTGGCACTGATTATAGCACTCAGTTTCCCCATTTTGCTCCATACTGGGAGAGTAATTAAGTTAAATTGCTTTCAGTGCCTGAGATCTGGTTTGTGTCAAAGTCAAATAAAGTGCTGGTTCAAGTTTGTTCATCAGCACCTTGAACTTACCCCTGGCCCTCACTTGTATAAAACCATGGCAAGGTTTTGTACCATGGCAAGTGTTGGATAGAGAAATCTTGAAACCCCACAATAACCTCATTTCCTATGAGAAATGTGGCATGTGTCTCTCTTTCTCAAGACTGGTAAACTTGGTTTGGTGGATATTTAGGAGAAACTTTTTGTGATCTATCAAATAAAAGAAGACAGCTTGCCAAGACACAAGCCCAAGTTTAGTCACAATTACTGAAAACTGGATTTCGTGGGAAGAAAAGTACAACAAAACTTGTAATCTGGAATTAGGAGAAATGTGAAGGTAAAAAGATTGATACGTTATGTTTAGGAGAAAATGAGGTGATCTCATACTTCCCTCCCTTTCTTCTTTATCTCCAGCTGAGTCTAAAACACATCATTCTCCCTCTTCTGGGTAGGAAAGTATACTAGGCATGGATATTGGTAGTGAAGGAAATAAAAATATTTTACTCCAAAATATACCTGTCTGACTTATTTTGAGATGGTTGTTCAGAAGGCCTGCAAAGCTGTCTTTTGTGGGAGAGATTTGCATCTGTACAGAAAATCTGCATTAATGCAGCCAAGTTTCTCTGAGACCTTCCCTTTTCCAGATCTAAGAAAGATTTAGGAGAGAAAGTGTGACACGTTTAAATATCTGAAAGAAACATTCACTCTCTATTCTCTCTGAGGGCTGCTCCCGGTGAGATTTCATCTGTATAACAAGACCTCCTTTGCTAGCCAGCTCTTCTCCCCAGCCCATAACCTGTGTGGCCACTGGAATCTGATTTGCCACAATACTCTGTTTTTGGCCATGTTCTGTGCTCCCATTCTTTCTGTAGCCTCAAGGTGGTACATAAGCTTCTGTACCCCACTGGGGGGTTGTGATCACTCTGTGATTCTCTCCTATGTGCACATTAGTAACTTTGTATGTATTTTCTCCAGTTAATCTGTCTTTTGTCAGTTTTTTTTTCAACAAACCTGTAGAGGGCAAAGGGGAGGCTTCCCCTTGGCCCCTGTAATCGTGATGGTAGTGTGTGTGCGTGTGCGGAGAATGATTGGAGTGTGAAGGAGGGCTGGCAGGTAAAAGGACTGCAAGAGAGAGAGAGAGAGAAGCCATAATTTGGATCTTTAAGTGATTTGTACTTTATCTGGAAACTATGACAAACACATAGGAAAATGGCATGACAACATATTCATGCAGAAGGATGTATCTTCAGTGTCTGACACGTGGTAGACACTTAACATTCATGGAATGAATGAATGAATGGGTAGAATAGGATGGATGGATGGCGAGAAAGCCAACTATAGGAGAAGAGAGTACAGTCACTAAAGCATTTGCTGGAAATAAAATTAATTGTCCATCTCCCACTGGGAAGAAAACCTTGGGCCATATTCCTTAGCAGTATGGCTAAATTTGGATGAGCATAAGTATTGTGTAAATAGATTATGTAGTGTAGATAAGCAAGCCCTTTTTTTCCCTATGAGTTAAAATTACACTCATTTCAGTTCAAGGCAAAAATAATTTTATGCATATGATACAGAAGTTAAATGACAAAATGTAGAAATTGTAGTGTGCTAGTTTTCCATATGAAGTGTTAAGTTGGGGCATACATGCAGAAAATAAGATAGGTAGGCAGTGGAGAAAGCAGTTACCAAATGGATAGAAACTGAGCCCTAACTATGAGGGGAAAACAAGTCTATATTGTTGTTTAACTCCTACACTGGAGGTATCAACATGGCTATACACAGTTTTTCTGAACCTGTGTAGGACTCTCTTCTCAATCCTTAGCCATCCAGTTCAGATGTTCTCTCTGACTATATAGTCATTCCTTTTTCTCTGGTGCCCCAGGGCTTCTGGTATTGCATTGTGATTATTTGCCTTCTTTTGCAAGAGCAAGAATACAGTACATTATAGCGGTCAGTAAGAGTTTGTTTATTATAGGCCAGGAATTGTGCTAGTTTCCTTTAAATAAACCATCTTTAAAAAAAATTTTTTTTTTTTTTGAGTCGCCAGGCTGGATGGAGTGCAGTGGCACCATCTCGGCTCACTGCAACCTCCAACTCCCTGGTTCAAGCAATTCTCCTGCCTCGGCCTCCAGAGCAGATGGGATTACAGGCATGCGCCACCACACCCAGCTAATTTTTGTATTTTTAGTAGAAATGGGGTTTCACCATGTTGGCCAGGATGTTTCTGGTCTCCTGACCTTGTGATCCACCCGTCTCACCCTCCCAAAATACTGGGATTACAGGCGTGAGCCACCATTCCCTGCCTCAAATAAACCGTCTTATATCATCTTTGCAATGACTTATTTATTCTCATTTTGTATATGAGGGGACCTAGTTTCATGCGCATCAGTGTGAAGAGACCACCAAACAGGCTTTGTGTGAGCAATAAAGCTTTTAATCACCTGGGTGCAGGTGGACTGAGTCCGAAAAGAGATTCAGCGAAGGGAGATAGAGGTGGGGCCATTTTATAAGATTTGGGTAGGTAAAGGAAAATTACAGTCAAAGGGGGGTTGTTCTCTGGTGGGCAGGAGTTGGGGGGTCGCAAGGTGCTCAGTGGGGGTGCTTTTGAGCCAGGATGAGCCAGGAAAAGGACTTTCACAAGGTTATGTCATCACTTAAGGCAAGGACCGGCCATTTTCACTTCTTTTGTGGTGGAATGTCATCAGTTAAGGCAGGAACAGGCCATTTTCATTTCTTTGGTGGTGGAATGTCATCAGTTAAGGCAAGGACCGGCCATTTTCAGTTCTTTTGTGGTGGAATGTCATCAGTTAAGGCAAGGACCGGCCATTTTCAGTTCTTTTGTGGTGGAATGTCATCAGTTAAGGCAGGAACAGGCCATTTCACTTCTTTTGTAGTGGAATGTCATCAGTTAAGGCGGGGCAGGGCATTTTCACTTCTTTTGTGATTCTTCAGTTACTTCAGGCCATCTGGGCATATTCGTGCAAGTCACCGGTGATGCGATGGCTTGGCTTGGGCTCAGAGGCCTGACACCTAGGGCTAGGAGGGTGTGTGATATGTGTGGTAAATGGTAAAGGCAAGCCTCAAACTGAGGTTTCCTGATAGCAGGTTCACTGCTGTTTGCACCATAGCAACTCCATTTGCTAAAGCAGTGCTGAACAATAAAATAATAATGCAAGTTATACGTTTAATTTTAAAATTTAGCCACATTACAAAATGTACCATATTTAAAAAAATAAAAAGAAGCAGGTAAAATTAATTTTTTAAATTAAATTAAATTTGAATTTTAGTCAACATATAATAAATATACATATAATGGGGTACATAGTGATGTTTTGATGCTTATAATGAATATTGATCAGATGAAGATAATTAGCATATCCTTCACCTCAGACGTCGACCATTTTTTTGTGTTGGAAACATTTGTTATCCTCCTCCTAGCTATTTGGAACTATATAATATATTATTGTTAACTTTTGTAGAAACATTTAAAATAGTTTAAGATGTACAGAAAAGTTGCAAAAATGATGCAGAGAGTTCCCATTTACTCCACATCCTATTTCCCCTAGTGTTGGCATCTTACATTTATTTAGTGTGTTTGTTACAATTAATAAAACAATACTGATATTTTTTTTTTTTTTTGAGACAGGATCTTGCTGTGTTGCCCAGGCTGGAGTGTAGTGGTGCAATCACTGTTTGCTGCAACCTTGACTTCCTGGGCTCAAGGGATCCTCTCACCTCAGCCTCCTTAGTAGTGAGGACCACAGGTGCATGCCATTATGCCCGGCTAATTTTTTTTTTTCTGTAGAGGCAGGATTTTCCCATGTTGCCCAGGTTGGTCTCAAACTCCTGAGCTCAAGCAATCTGCTGGCCTCAGCCCCGCAAAGTGCTGGGATTACAGGCATGAGTCACTGTGCCCATCCCTGATACATTATTAATAACTAACATCCATATTTTATTCATATTATCTTTGTTTTTACCTAATGTCCTTTTTCTGTTCCAGGATCCCATCTGAGATAACCATCATGTCTCTTTAGCTTCTTTAGACTTTGACAGTTTCTCAGACTTTTCTTGTTTTGATGACCTTGACAGTTTAAGGGTACTGGTCAGGTATTTTGTAGAATGTCCTGGCTATGGTCTGAATGTTTGTGCCATTATTCACCCCTACCTGCCCCTGCCCCATGATAAATTTATCTGTTAAAATCCTGTACCCCAAGGTGATGGTATTAGCAGGTGTATTAGTCTGTTTTCATGCTGCTGTTAAAGACATACCCAAGACTGGGAAGAAAAAGAGGTTTAATTGAACTTGCAGTTCCACATGGCTGGGGAGGACTCAGAATCATGGCTGGAGGCAAAAGGCACTTCTTATGTGGTGGTGGCAAGAGAAAATGAGGAAGATGTAAAAGCAGAAACCCTTGACAAAACCATCAAATCTTGTGAGACTTATTCACTACCACAAAGAAAGTATGGGGGAAACTGCCCCCATGATACAAATTATGTACCACTGGGTCCCTCCCACAACACGTGGGAATTATGGGAGTCCAATTCAAGATGAGATTTGGGTGGGGACACAGAGCCAAGCCATATCAGCAGGTAAAGCCTTTGGGAAGTAATTTAATCATGGGGCAGAGCCCTTACAAATGAGATTAGTGCCCTTAACCAGGAAACTACAGAGAACTAGCTAGTCTCTTCTGCCACGTGAACACAGTGAAAAGGTACCACCATTAATAAGGAAATAGGCCCTCACCAGACACAGAATCTGTTGATATCTTGATCTGGGACTTCTCAGTCTCCAGGAGTATGAGCAATACATTTCTGTTGTCAATAAGCTACCCAGTTTATGATATTTTGTTATAACAGCCCAAATGAACTAAGATAGAAATTGGTACCAGAAATGGAATGGTGCTGTAACAAATACCTGAAATGTGGAAATGGCTGTGGAACTGGGTAATAGAGAGAGGCTGGGAGAGTTTTGAGGTGCATATCTAAGAAATCACAAAATCATAAACAATGTTGATAGGAATATGGACAGTAAAGTCCATTTTGATGACATCTCAGGTGGAAATGGGGAATATTTGATTAGACACTGGAGAAAAGGCCATCCTTACTGAAAAAGGGGCAAAGAACTTGTCTGAATTGTGTTCATGCCCTAGTATTTGTGGAAAAGATGGAAAAAGATGGAACTTGTGAATGATAACATAGGAAATGAAGCTGGGGACATTTCTTAGCAAAGTGTTGATGTTGAGGGTGCAGCTTCAGCTTGGCTTCTCTTGTTCTCTTGGAGGCAGATAGTAAAATGTAAGAAGAGTGAAATGATTTAAAGATGGGATTTTTAATCAAAAGAGAAGCAGAATGCAAAGATTTGGAAAATTATCACTTTGTCCATATTTAAAGGAATTAGAAAGTATATTTGAGAGAGACCACCAAAGTTATGGCCAAACTGCTGTTTGATAAAGAGGAGATTAGTATGGAGTTGTCAAGTGGTAGTCATTCAGACAATGGAAGAATAACAACAAAGGAAGTTTGGAGACCATCACTGATGCCCCTCTCATTGGAGGCCCAGAGTGCAAAAGCCTCGGGGGCAGAATGATTTTAAATGAGGGATCATGGGCTTCTACAGGACCTTCTTACTGGCTGCCTGGCACCCCTTCAAGGCTCTGCTCCCTGCATTCTAGCTCAGTGCTCCTTAGCCACCCCAGATTTTAGATCCAGTGGGCCCAAGTGCAGTGCAGGTACAATAACCACTCTGCAAAAGGGCACAACTGGTAAACCCTGGCAGTGTCTCGGTGGTGCCATCTCCACGGCCATACAGAGTCCATGAGCTGTGGAGTGTGGTTACCTCCACTTAGATTTAGAAGGATGGAGCCTCCTGGACCCTTGGGCATATGACCCAGACAGAGGGCCACTGTGGGGCTAGGCCACAACAAAGAACCCCCAGCAGGGCAATGACTAGTGGAGCCATGGGGGCAAGGCTGCCTCTGAAACCTCTGACTAGTAGAGTCACCAGGTGTGATTCCAGCCTGGGAGAGCTTAAGGCACTTGGCTATAACTAGTAAGAGCTGTGGTGTGGGCTGTGCCCAGCAAAGCCACAGGGCAGGGCTACCTGGAGCTCTGGGGGCCTAACTCTTACTCCAATGTGTCTAGAGGGTGGAACATTGAGTCAAAGGTTATTGGTTATTTTTGAGACTTAAGATTTAATGTTGTTTGCCCTGTTGGGTTCCAGACTTACTTGGGACCTGTTATCCCTTTCTTCTTTACTATTTCTCCCATTTAGAATGGGAATGTCTAGCCTATATCTGTCCTACCCTTGTATTTTGGAAGCAAATAATGTATTTGACACTACACGTTCACAGCTAGAGGGCAATTTGCCCCAGGATGAACTGTACCCTAAGTCTCACATATATTTGATTTAGATGATATTTAAATGATGACCTTGATAATCTGGCTGAGCTAAGTGTTTGACAGGTTTCTCTACCATAGAGTTATACTCCCATTTCTTTCCATACTGTACTCTTTGGAAAGAAAAGTTAAGGGTGAGAGTTAAGCTCTACTTCCTTGAGGGGGAAGAATCTCCATAGGTCATTTGAAATTCTTCATGGGAAATTTATTTATTCTTCCTCATGTATTTATTGAAAAGTATTATTTATTGCCGGGAGCGGTGGCTAACCCCTGTAATCCCAGCACTTTGGGAGGCCAAGGCGGGCAGATCACAAGGTCAGAAGATCAAGACCATCTTGGCCAACATGGTGAAACCCCATCTCTACTAAAAATACAAAAATTAGTTGGGCATGGTGGTGGGCGCCTGTAATCCCAGCTACTTTGGAGGCTGAGGCAGGAGAATCGCTTGAACCCGGGAGGTGGAGGTTGCAGTGAACCAAAATTGTGCCACTGCGCTCCAGCCTGGGTGACAGAGCGAGAGTCCATCTCAAAAAAAAAAAAAAAAAAAGTATTATTTATTTTTATCAGCATAGATTCATGACTATTTAGTGAAACTAATGCAAACATGTTTTTATTTAACCCAATATATCCAAAATATTACCCTTTCCATTCATAATCAATATAAAACGTTTGAAGGCTTTGCATAAAAACAAAATGAAGAATACGTTATAAATAAGTCTTCAAAATCTGGCATGTGGTTTACGCTTATAACATATCTTAATTTGGATGCTAAACTTTCATTGGAAATACGTGTTCTATATTTAGATTTCATAAAATTTATAGTTCAAAATGTAGATTCACATACGCAAAAAACTACAGCTATACCTAAAAGTTTTCCAAAAAATGAAATAAGTACTAAAAAGTCACATTCTTTTAATAGTTGCATCTATTTTACAAAATTAGTTCATCTTTTTTAGAATTTATTTGACCTACTTGGGACCTGCTATCCCCATAATTTTACAATATGTACAAATTAAGTAAATTCACTAACTCTGTGTCAGATTGGTACTATTGCCATCAAATTCAAAGTGGTATTGCATAAATTGAAAAGCATCTTTAGGCTGGGCACAGTTGCTAACAACTGTAATCTCAGCACTTGAAGGCCGAGGTGGGAAGATTGCTTAAACCTAGGAGCTTAGGACCAGCCTGGGCAACATAGAAAGACCCTGTTTTCACCCCCCGGAACCAAAAATAAGATAAGATAAGATAAGATAAGATAAGATAGCTGGGTGTGTGTAGTCACAGCTACTCCAGAGGCTGAGGCAGGAGGATTACTTGAGGCCAGACACTCAAGGTTGCAGTGAGCTGTGATTTTGCCACAGCACTCCAGCCTGGGTGACAGAGTAAGACCTTGTCTCTTAAAAAATTAAAGTATCTTTAGATTTACCACAATCAACAAAGACTTATTTAACTTTTTCTTTTAGTTTTTGAAGCAATTTACATAATGCTGTTGATTACAATTAAACTTTTTGATATATTGATTTATGTTTTAAAATTACAAAATCATTATGATTCAATTGTATTATGAAAAATTTCTATTTCATCATTAATTTCCATACTATATTACTAGGTCATAAATAAGGTTTTACTTTCCTTGGAATTTCAAATATAACTCATTTATATGCAGTGTTATATCAGTGAGAAAACATAAATCACACTGTCATTTTTTTGCTGCATGAGTCATACTGACATTTTTTTGTTTGATGATTACATATTTGGCAAGCATTCCTTTTGTTTCAAGAAAATCTTGAATTAGAGTTAACAATGTAGTAAATTGTCCTAAGACTCTTTTACAACTCAACCAACAAGCATTTGCAAAGAATACGAGATCACAAAATTATCTTTTATTTCTTTTAAACAGTTTTACAAATGAATGAATTTTCATAGCATTTTGTATGTAATGAATGATTTTAAAAACTCTACCTATGAGACTTTTCATAGAATCTGGCTCAGAAAACTAATCACAGATATATTCAAAATGTAACATATAGGTATGAAGCAATAAGGGAAATATTAGTCTCTTTGTTTTAAAATTCCAATAAATCCAGATTTTTCAACCTAATATAGGTAGAGTACTGTTTGTCATAATAGGAATGAATTTTTTTTATATCTAGCCAAATTCTTTAATAGTTTTAAAAGATTCAAAAATTTCTATGCCATGAGTGTAATTTTTTAGGCTGGAGATTGACAACTTTTTTTTTTTTTTTTTTTTTTTTTTTGCGACTGTCTTGCTCTGTTGCAAGGCTGGAGTGCAGTGGCGCGATCTCGGCTCACTGCAAGCTCCACCCCTCCAGGTTTAAGCAATTCTCTGCCTCAGCCTACCCAGTAGCTGGGATTACAGGTGCGTGCCACCACACGCAGGTAATTTTTTGTATTTTTAGTAGAGACGGGGTTTCACCATCTTGGCCAAGCTGGTCTTGAACTCCTGACCTCGTGATCCATACGCCTTGGCCTCCCAAAGTGCTGGGATTACAGGCGTGAGCCACCGCGCCCGGCCGACAACTGTTTTTGGTAATTTTGGAAGTTCTTTGAGATAAAATATAAAGTATTAATCAGATAGTGACATATCATACAACTCATCTAAAGCTAAAGAAAAATAATTATAATTTTAAAAATTTTGAGTCAATTAGTCTTTTATATTTAGAGAAATATTGGATTTATGTGTAATCATTTGGTGGCTTAACTGAAGATCTTTCACTTTCTGTAAAAAATCTTTTAAAATCTGTTCTTTATAACCTTCGAATAGAATCTTAGTAACTGAAGTAGCTTATTGTACCATGTCTCCATCTAAAACTTTTTTTGTCTTTTTGTATAAGGATGTCTAGCTGGCCAGAGTTATAAACTCAGAGCCCCTAAAAAAGACTTTTAAGATTGTATTAATAATTTAATTTTGATTTCAAGAAACTAATTTCACCAAATATTTTTTGTCTGTTCAGAGGAAACCTCTTATCACAATGTATTTGCTGAAATGTCTTAATTTTGCCCACTTAATTTCTCATAATTTTTTTTTTACAAACAAAGAGGCAGCTTTTTCACTTTTCTCTGCTTCAGCAAATTGTAATTGTCATCCTTTCTGAAGAAAATCCTGACATATTCTGGTCTTTTATTTTGTATTACTATTTTGGTCATAATGCTAGCTTCTAAGATTTCCATTCAATTCTGTGTAAGTAATATGCCTTTATTTTTAATCTAAAAATGTGTCCATACTTATTTTTTTGTACTGAAATTATGATTTAATGGTATTATGATTAAAATAACTAGTATTTCAGTTTATTAAGTATGATTTCCACAGATATTACTATAACTCCTGCTGTCTCTCTAAAATAATGAAATAAAAATACTATAGTGTTACACCTATGAACAGAAAAAAGGATTCAACTTGAATCAATACATTGTCATCTGTTAGGCTGGTAATACCTTTCCATGTAAAAATGATGCATGTACCACATATTTTGCACTCTATAATATAACAATTACTTCTTATACAGTACAATGGTTAAAGTAATGAGTACTTCTACGAAAACAATAAAGTTGAGTTTAGTGGAAACATAGTTTAATTTAAATTTCAATTAATTAAAGTTAAATAACATTTAAACTTTAGTTCTTTCATCATCGAGACCATATTGTACATGTTCAATAGCCTTGTGTGGCTGACTCTCATACTAAACAGAGCAGCTAAAAATGCCAGTCTAGGTGGTGTTTTTTTTTTTCTTTTAAAGGGTAATCTTCCTTTTCTTATTAACCTCACTTTATTTGTTTATTTATTTATTTATTTATTTATTTATTTATTTTAGACAGAGTTTCGCTTTTGTCGCCCAGGCTGGAGTGCAGTGGCGCTATCTTGGCTCACTGCAACCTCTGCCTCCCAAGTTCAAGCGATTCTCCTGTCTCAGCCTCCTGAGTAGCCGGGATTACAGGTGTCTGCCACCACGCCCAGCTAATTTTTGTATTTTTAGTAGAGACAGGTTTTCACCATTTTGGCCAGGCTGGTCTCGAACTCCTGACCTCAGGTGATCCACCTGCCTCAGCCTCCCAAAGTGCTGGGATTACAGGCATGAGCCACCGTGCCCGGCTGGTGGTCTGATTTTTATTCCAAGGTCAAAGTCTACAAAAGAAAGTCCTAATCTTTTAATTAGGGTCTGAAAAAATGAACAGAGACAATTTATAGGTGTATTCTGCCTCAATATGCTTTGTGTAGTTTGGTTACCTGGGAAAAGTAACAGAAAAACTTAAAAGTTTGAAAGAAATATGTATCAGCATAAAATGATGGTAGGTAGTAGCTAATTCAGCTCAGGGGAAGTAAATTTTCCTGACTTTTATGCCAGAAGTCATCCTAAGGAAGGGTGAGTAGGATAGAAGACATGAATTTCTGGGTTGTAAAAGAGAGATTGCACTTGCCTTACAAATGAATGACTATGAAGGGGATTTTTTTCTTTTTTTTTTTTTTTTTTTTAAGAGATGAGGTCTTGCTCTCTTACCCAGGCTGAAGTGCGGTGACATGATCATAGTTCACCGCAGCCTCAATCTCCTTGGCTCAAACAATTCTCCTGCCTCAGCCTCCTGAGTAGCTAGGACTACAAGCATGTGCCACCCCTCCTGGCCTAATGGGAGAAAGATTTTGACCCATCATTCAGAGGACCTTGTTAAGATCAGAGCCAAAGATGAGATACACTGCCTTGGTTAACTCAGGGTCTCTGTCTCTGGGCAACCAGAGATTGAGTACAGAATCTAGGACATTCCAGCATCAGATGGGAGAATAAGTCTGAATGACCCAGAAAGTCCATTCCAACCTCTAGATTTTGTGAGTCAAAATTGGAAAAGCATAATTGGCTTTCCTTTCTATCAGCTGTTATAACTTATCCTGATTCTTTTTTCAGCCTGTGAAGTGGGTGGTGTTTTTGTATTTTGTCCCAAATCCTAACCAGCAGAACTGTTCTGGCCATACAGATAAGCGCACTCCTTTGACAATTTCTCTATTGACTAATTCATGACTCACTTTGACTCTATTTATGGATTTATGCCCTTCTTAGTCCCAGAGACAATTTGAAACAGTTTACAGTCAAAACAATATACCTAGGCACTTTACAAAGCAGGGCCAAACAAGGGATTGTATTGCAGATAGACTAGTCCTAATTTCCAAAGAGATTAGGGTCCAACTCCCCCACGTCTTTTTTATAAGATTGACGACTTGAGCCCAAGATGTTTAAATTTAAATCAATAGCCTATTAATGACACAGATGGGATTATCTTACTTTTAAGACATAGTTGCAAATCAAATTATCTGAACACTGTAATAACTCTCCCATCCTTGAAGCAGTGTTGTAAATGTAAATGAATAGTCAAAGTCAAAACATAGGAAAGCAACGTGACAAATTTCAAATTAATGTTTCCCAAATGCACAGCATTTTCACATATTTAATTGATTTAATGCGTAGTCGCTCTAAGCAAGAATCTGCTTTATTAGAAAACCACATCAAATCTGACCTAATATAATTAAAATTGTTTACTGCTACCATGTGAGTAATGTAAGATGTGTTTAATTCATTGATTTACTCTAAGGGTCTCAAGCTATTATGTTTAAAACAACATTTCCAAGTGATCTTTTACATTTAGAATTACTCTCCTTTTAAACTTCTATAATCAGTAAGGGTGTTGGGCTAGCTAATCTCTGATGCAGTGCTCTTCCTAATCTACAATCCAATATTTCTTCTCTCTTCGCCTCCTTCACACACACACAAAGTCACCTTGTTGTCTACCCTGTCAAATCCTTGCTGGGTTCCCCATCTTAGTATCAGGCAGATTCATGACTAAGAATACAGGAGGGACTGCTGTCCTTCAGCCTTCACCCGTAATCCATGGTGGTCTTCTTGACTAGTGTTTGTAGTGACCACCACACACATGCAGTTTATGCAAAAAATCAAGTATGAGCTCTATAAAGGCTCTAACACAGCGTTCAGATGGAAGGAGAAAGAAAGAAAGTGGTAGGCCGGGCGCAGTGGCTCATGGCTGTAATTCCAGCACTTTAGGAGGCCGAGGCGGGTGGATCACCTGAGGTCGGGAGTTTGAGACCAGCATGACCAACATGGAGAAACCCCGTCTCCACTAAAAATACAAAATTAATCAGGCGTGGCGGCACATGTCTGTAATCCCAGCTACTAGGGAGGCTGAGGCAGGAGAATCGCTCGAACCTGGGAGGCAGAGGTTGCCGTGAGCCGAGATCGCGCCATTGCACTCCAGCCTGGGCAACAAGAGTGAAACTCCGTCTCAAAAACAGAAAAAAGGAAAGAAAGTGGTAGACAGAGAAAGAGAGAGAGAGATCTCGACAGAATAAGGCAAAGATAGTGACAGATTGCAGACAGAGAGAGAAAAATGACAAGGCATAGCCACAGAGTGAATGAGTTCCTAGGGGGAAATGCAAAGCAGAATCAATGAGTGGTTGAAACTGACAAGATAATCATAACCTGATTTCTTGTCCACATTTTCCTTTTATACTCCAGTGAACAACTGCCACCAAGATCACCCACGTCTGCCCAGGAATTCTCTTCCCATAAGAACTTGCAGCCCATAGGCCTTTTCTCCATCTCCAGTGGGGAAACGTTGAACTTCCAACCCAGCCCTTCTTTGCCCTTTACCCCTCCGTCATGCCCTAACTTCTCAACCAAAGATTCTTTCCTGCCCAGAGCTCCTACCTTTGCCCTGCATTCCTAATAGCAATTAATGCTCTTTCCTGTTGTAATATTCTAATTCAAGTTTTATTTCCCCCCACTCCACCACCAACTCCCTGTTTTTATTCTTAAACCAAATAGGCAGGTGACCTCCTAATCTCACTCACCTGTTCAGATTTCTCACTGTCTCCTCCTCTTTTTATATTTTTTGTTGTTGTAATTTGCTTCCATGGCACATGACCCTTTGTTAATTCTGACTCTATAGTGATTTCTGCTCTTGTGGACTCCAGGCAACTTTATTGGTTTTCCAGGCCACCATGAAAGTTGATAAGTTTGAGAACCAGACCCCTACATTTTCTTAATTTAGGCTGAGAGGTTGAAAAATGATCATATTAGAATAAGTAAACTGGATACAATTAATTGTAAAGTAAAACAATTTTTTTTTTTTTTTTTTGAAATAGAGTCTTGTTCTATTGCCCAGGCTTCAGTGAAGTGTGGTGGCACAATCACAGCTCACTGCAGCCTCGACCTTCCAGGCTCAAGTGATCCTCTTACCTCAGCCTCCCAAGTAGCTGGGACTAAAGGTGTGTGCCACCATGCCTGACTAGTTAAAAAAACAAAAACAAACAAGAAAACCCACTTTTTTTAGAGATGGGGTCCCACTCTGTTGTCCAGGCTGGTCTTGAAATCCTGAGCTCAAGCAATCCTCCCGCCTTGGGCTCCTAAAGTTTTGGGATTATAGGCATGAGGCACCACTCCTGGCCTCTTATATTTTATATATCAATAGGGTTTACATGTCTGTGGGTGTTAGAAACTTGGTGTAGGCAGAAAAGAAGAGGTTTAGGTGAACTCTTCAAAAACACCCTCATTTTGTTTTTGTTCAACAAGTACTTGCTGAATTTTTATCTGTGCCAGGACTGTGCTGGACAATACCTACAGTGCATATGATGGACATAGCCCTGCCCTATCAAGCTTACTTTTCGGTAAGAAAGGTGCACGTTGTATAGATGACAAATAAAGTAAGCAGTAGCAGTCACTCAACACATCAAAAGTTATTCTGACCACTTGAAAGGCAGCATTCATCTCAAAGCATCTTACCTCCCTCCAAAAAAACATAAAGAGGTATCTGTTGATTTCAATATTAATGCTAAGATGCGATAATAAAAATGCTCAGTGGATATAGCATGCAAACATATGTATGTACATTTTCAAATCATTTTGTTAAGGATTTTGTTTTCTGGGAGATACAGTTGTATTTTGGGAAAAAAATAAAATCAGATGGTCTTGGTATAGATTTTAATGCTAACTAGCTGTGTTATCTTGAGCGTGATATTTAAACGTTCTGGATCCTCTCATTAACTTGAGAGTAAAACAACCTACCTCAAAATATTGTTGTAAATACTTAGTGAAGTAATTTATATAAAAAAAAACCTCCTGTAGAATATCTGACATTTGTGTAGTGAGTTAACATTTGAAAAAATAATCAGAATGCTTAGACATATAACCAAATTTTTCTTCAGCAGACACATTTAAAAGTATCCCTCTCTAAAATTTTGAGCCAAAGAGAAAAATTTTGGCCTATGGGTTTTTATCTAAAAAAATAGTTGTGCTGTTATTTGTATCTAACAGTTTTTAATAAATCCAACGCAACAGAATTTTAAGTGGCTATTATTGATGTGTCAAAGATAAATAGTAAGATTTTTTTAGATCAAAGAAGTTTAAAATCTTTTGGGTGTATAAGACAAATATGCCAAAAATAATAATTTTTGATTTTTTTTTTTGTTTGGCCAGCAGTGTCTTTCTCCTCCAGCTTATTTCCTCAACAACCTCAGAGAATGGGGCAGAGACATAGTATATCAGTTAGCTATTGCTGCATAACAAATGACCCCACAACTCAGTAATTGAACCTGACAATAATTTCTTCCCAATCATGTGTTTGCAAATCAACCGGGAATCTGCTGTACTTGGCTGAGGAGTTCTGATTCAAGCCTAGAGTCCAGTTGCATTTGACTTTTTGATATAGGTTGTGCTCAGCTGTGCTTCATCTATATTCATTCTACAGCACAGAATAAATGGCATCACCTATCCAATTGCAATTGCAGAGGCATAAGAGTGCAAGTGAAAATATAACACATGAGGCTCTTGAAAGCCTAGGTTGAGCACAGTCAGCTCTCAGTTCTGCCCACAGGCCATTGCCCAAAACAAATCAAATGGCCAGATCCCAAGTTAAGAGGCAAGGAAGTACACTTCACTGCTAGAGTGTGAAAGACTGCACTGTTACCTGGCAAAGCATAGAGATTCAAAAAAAGGATGAAGAAATGGGGCCAGGAACTCATTCTACCACATTAAAGTAGGTTGAGAGTTATGTGCAGGACACAAAAGTACACTAGATCTAATTTTTAAGAATTTTTCACCATATGGGTCAATAGGAAAGAAAGAAGGAAATGGTAAGGAAATATCAAATTGTGAATTTCTCCAGGAGGCATATATTCTAATACACCTTTCAGAATTTTGCAAGAATCTCTTGTTCAGTTGTAAGCACCACTGGATAGTATTTTGAACACTTCAAAATAAACTGTTTCAGTGAAGCTGAAATGTACTAATTTTGAATACTTAGCCATCTGGAGCATTAGATGCTTAATTACAGCTGAAAACTCATGAATGAACAGTGTGAGGCAGTTTTTCTTTCCAGTGGATCCCAACTGTGTTTGTCTTCATTCTCAGGAGAGGAAAAAAGGGGAAATATGCCAGTGGTTATATTATGCCGTTTCTTGGGCTTTTTCTTTTCTTCTCTTTTTATGTATGCCTGTCTTAAAAATATCATCAAGCCATACCAAGATCTTGTACCTTTTCATAATACATCAGCTACAAATGCATCTGTCTGTTATGTGAAGTAATAATGGTCATTGAAGATTGTTTTATTATGTCAACCAATAAACTCAGTTTCTCATTTAAACTCAATTTCCTCAAAGCTTGCATGTTTTATATATTTTTGGAGCACATTTCTCCCTATTTGATGTATTCAAAACTCTTAACTAACTACAATTATAAAAAGAAAAGAATCGATGGTTCTATTTTCATTGTGAGAAACACAATTCGCTTAGAATAATTGAGCTAAGAAATTAAGAACTTAAGTACGGACTTTACTAATCTCCTTTCTCCATTTCCTCCTGAACATATTAAAGGTCAGTAAAAGCCAACTCTGCAAACACTATGTAAGGCACTTAAGGTACCTTCAGCCTTGGCCAGGTAGTTCAGAACTTGCAGATGTAGTTTAAGGCTCTTCTTTGCTATCAAAGTGCTTGTAGTTTGTTTGAGAGGCAAAGTAGTGGTATGAAATAGTCAACTGCAAATCTAGCACTATATTATATGCTACATTTCTTGGTATTAGAGGGAACCTCTCTTTCTCCACCCTGTGTTAATTAGCTCTGTCCTCACCTTCTTCATCTCTCAGTACACCCGCTTATATCCTTCAGAGCACTTATCACAGTTTCTGGTTCTATATTTGCATATGTGTTTATTGCCTGTAGGCCCCATTAGGTTGTAAGCTCTAATGGCAGGTGCCTTGTCCAATTTATCCACTGATAGATACCCTGTGCTTCACATGGGGGTTAGCCTTTGTACATTCTGTTGAACGGATGACTGAATGAATGAGTGGAAGGAAGGAAGGAAGGAAGAAAAGAAAGAAAGAAAGAAAGAAAGAAAGAAAGAAAGAAAGAAAGAAAGAAAAGAAAGAAAGAAAGAAAGGTCTCTGTTGAAGTAAAATAATTTAGAGGACTTTAATTTGAGATTTAGTTTGCTAGAATGAAGACCCATACTTGAGGATTTGTTGCTGTTGTTCTGGGGATATGATGTGTTAGATGGAAGAAGAAAGGGCAGTCAGGTAAGCAGATATGATAAAAATGCGTGTGCCCATCCTACTCTTCTGCCACCCAGCATGTTTGGGAGCTGGGCCAGCTCTAATGACACAATTCTCTACCTTAAGGAACAGAGGGAGAGAGAGAGAGAGAGAGAGACTGACTGTGTCCACTCTGGTCTCAGAATTCTGATTCTGAAAGGTAGCTCTTGGTCAGTCGTGTGTGGTAATAATAGGAGAACCTCATTCGTGAGCATGTAATTTTATCAGCAGGTACTGTTTACAAAGCACTGTCAATATGCCATGTCCTGTGGTTAAGTGCTTACACAGTGTAATCTCTGATTGTGAACAACAGCCCTAAGTGGTAGTTATTACTACTGAGCCCATTTTACATCAAGGTGACTAAGGATCAGGAGAAGACAAGTGGCAGTGAAGTGTCTTGGCTGAGATTTGAAGTCAGTTCTGTCTAACTGGAGTTCATGCTCAGAGCCCATGCTTCTCTCAAGGAAAAAAGAAGGAAAAGAAAACTATAATCCATTTTTTCTTCTGGTAGACTTAATTTGAATACCTTTCCTTCTTGTGCATGAAAACAACCTCAAGACAGTTACTTAATCATTTAATCAATCCATGGTTACTGAACTTCTAGGTCTTTGGGATACAAAGATTCACTCATTCACTTAGCCAACAAATGGTTTGTGAGCACCATTGTGTCCTAAGTACCAATCTAGGAACTTACAGTTTATCCACAAATAACAGCCAAAGATCCTGCTCTTAGGAAGCTTATGTTCTAGATAAGGAAACAAACCATAACCAATAAACAGACTAATAAGTGAATCATAGCGTGTTTTAAAAGATATTAGCTAAGATTGCCAGGCTTGATGGCTCATGCCTGTAATCCCAGCACTTTGGTAGGATGAGGTGTGAAGATCACCTGAGGTCAGGAGTTAAAGGCCAGCCTGGACAACATGGTGAAACCCTGTTTTTACTAAAAATATTTTAAAAAATTAGTCGGGCATGGTGGTGCTTGCCTGTAGTCCCAGCTACATGGGAGCCTGAGGCAGGAGAATCACTTAAACCCTGGAGATGGAGGTTGCAGTGAGCCAAGATTGTGCTACTGCACTCCAGCCTGGGTGACAGAGCGAGACTCCGCCTCAAAAAAAAAAAAAAAAAAAAAAAGAAAAGAAAGAAAGAAAGAAAGAAAGAAAGAAAACCAAAAAAACCCAAAAATAAGAGGTATTAGCCAAGATCGAAAATAGAAAATGTTATAGGGACTGGCAAGAAGGTCAGGGAAGGTGGAAGTCTAGGTTGCAAATTTAAAGAGAGATTTCAGGAGAGGTCTCAGCAAGAAGCTGATGTTTGAGCAAAGTGAACCATGAGATCTCTGGGGGAGGAATGGGCCAGGCGGAGGAAACAGCTGCTGCAAAGCCTTTAATGTGGAGTACGGACATCTTGTAGTAAGGTTAAGTCACTGCTTTCCAGGAGCTGACACTCAGGGAGAAAGAGGTAAACAAACGAACAAAGTAATTATAAATAATTATAGTTGAGGGTAGTAAGTCTTAAAGAGAAGGTGTGTGCCTAGTGTTATGAGAGCTCAGAAGTGGAGGGACTGACTGCCTGGGGGCATTTGGCAGGGCCTTGCTGAGGAGATGATAATGTCATTTTTTGCTAAAATAGACGAAGTTTTTCAGATTGGCCGAGGGAGGATTGACAGAGACGTAAAAGAAGCTCGATGGAGCATCGCGTGCTCAGTAAGCAAGAAGTTGCCTTGCCTGAAGCCAGAAGTTGAATGGACAAGAGATTGATAGGTTGGAAATGGAGATTAAGGTCAGATTGTACAGAGCCTCGCTTACTGCTAGAAGAAAATTTAATGTCTTGAAAATGATATGGAGGCTCTAAGAAATTAAACCACAGTTGGGGGAGGCATTTACGTAAATAAGAAAATTGGGGTTTAGAGAGGTTAAGAAACTTCTTGGGCCACAGAACTACTAAGTGGTGGAGCCAGGATTTAAGTCCAAGCTTGTTTGACCTGAGAACCCTGTGATAACAGAAGAATTCCCCCTGCTGAATTCCCCGTTAGTTATTGCAGAACAGAGAACTTTGTGAAGCCAGGTGCTTTTCTTGTAAGGGGAGCCTGGTCAGAAGTTGCCTTGCTTTTGGGAAGTCCAGAATCCACTCTGCCTAGAACTCTACTTTTTCAGAAAGTCAAGAATTCCTGTCATCAGTTATTTTACCAATGCTTACATCAAAGTCATCACAAAATTTTCTCCTTTTTAATAGCTGAGTACGCGGTAACACAGATATATTAAGTAACTTCATTGAATTCAACCAGCAAGTCACTCTCAGACCTGAATGAGAAGGAGACTAAGCAAGCTGAAATGAAAATACAACATAAATGTATCCAGTCAGCAGGAATATGTTAGGCCCTATTTTTAGGAGTTAGAGCTACATATAAAAACAATTATGCTGAACAAACTTAAATTTGATGTTTAAACTCAAAGGGGCATTGAAATTAGATGAATAAATATTATATCCATGGTACAGTATAATCACAGATGGTTTTCTTTCTGTTTTCTGGAAAGATAAATGTAGAAGCTACGGCTATAACACTTTGCTTTGCAGGCATATATTTATGTCATGACTATTATAGAAAGGTAATATGTTACCCTGAACTTTGTGTCTTTTTGATTTGTTAATGTAAGTATGAATGTACATAAATCTAAAATAAGGCCTGCAATAATATCCCCATTGTTTTTCTTTTTCTTGTTATTTTCTTCGTGCATGGCTGTGGGTGTATATGTGTATGTATGTTCTAGGGAATGATTTAAAAAGTACCAAATGATCAGAATATACTTTTTTTAATTTGAGAAGATGATCACATTTTGGTATAGTTGTGGTAGATTCATGGGGTATCATGAATCTAAATAACAACATATTATTTAGGACAGGTAAAAATAGGTTTCTTGTCCAGGCATGGTGGCTCACGCCTGTAATCCCAGCACTTTGGGAGGCTGAGGTGTGCGGATCACCTGAGGCCAGGAGTTCAAGACCAGCCTGGCCAACACAATGAAACTCAGTCTCTACTAAAAATACAAAAATTAGCTGGGCGTTGTGGCAGGCACCTGTAATCCCAGCTACTCAGAAGGCTGAGGCAGGAGAATTGCTTGAACCTGGGAGGCAGAGGTTGCAGTGAGCCGTGATCGCACCACTGCATTCCAGCCTGGGCAACAGAGGGAGGCTGTGTCTCAAAATAAAATAGATTTCTCAAATTCAGTCACTTAAATAACAAAAATGTTTATCTCTTTCTCATACAAGGTTCGGGTTGAGAATTCAGTTCTAGTGAAGCTCTTCACTACACAGCGATTGAGAAATCAAGGCTGTTGGCTGCTTGGACATCTTTAATGTGCGGCTTCCAGGTAGGTCATTCTGAGTGTTGCCATCACAGTCAACCTAAACTGGGAAAGAGAATGGAGGAGTGCACGTGCAAATCATTTATGGTCCAGATTTGGAGGTGGTACACATCACCTCTGCTAACATGTCAAAGGAGAGAGCTCAATCATATGCCACGCCTAACTGCTATGTAGTTTTGGGCCAGAAGAAGGGGAATATGTATTTTGGTGGACAGCTAACTGACTTAACTGCTAACACCCCTTTATGGCTTTATTTGCTGATGGAGAATGATTCCAGAAGAAAAAAGCATCCTACCTTTACTTACCACAGATTCTGTCCACTAAATAATCATATTCATGAAACCTCAAATCCCCAAATTCAGTATCAACTCTCTTGACTTGAATTTCTCACTTATTACCTTTCCCATGCTTTAAGTCAATTTAAAGGACATTTTTTATTGATACAGTTGATTCACATTCAAGCTGATACTAACTGGCAATTATCAACCAGTGACTCTAACTTTAGCAGGGATCATAAACACCTGGTGTAATGTGCAAATTCTACACCCTAACCCCACAAAGTTTCAGATTTAGTATGTCTAGAATAGAACCTGGTATTTATTTGTTTTTTTTTTTGTTTTTTTGTTTTTTTGTTTTTTTTTTAGACAGAGTCTGTCTCTGTCACTCAGGCTGGAGTGCAGTGGCCTGAACACAGCTTACTGCACCCTACCTCATCCTCCTGAGCTTAAGCAATCCTTCCACCTAGCTGAGACCACAAGTGTGCACCAACACACCTGGCTAATTTTTTTTTTTTTTTTTTCAGTAGAGATGAGGTTTCTCCATGTTGCCCAAGTTGTTCTAGAACTCCTGGCCTCCCAAAGTGCTGGGATTACAGGCATAAGCCACTGCACCCGACCCTGATATTTTCATTTCTAACAAATTTCACATGATACTGATTCTGCTGATCTGGGACCACACTTTGAGAATAACTACCCTAGACTTTTGCAATGATGCCTGAATTTTTCTCTGCTTACACTTTTGCCTACCTCCTTACAGCAAAACCATCCTTCCTTGAACCCAAGAGGACTTAAAGATATCTGCTCACCTTCTGTAAGGCAAACTGAAACTTCTATTTGAGCTGGTGTTTTTGCTAAAATTGTGCTCTCCAATCATATTTAATTGGACAAGTAACTGTGATTTGATTTATTGCAGATCTGAAGGACCACTCTTGCCCTCCCACTATCCAAGACTTCTTTTTAGCGTAGGTTTTCTTGTCATACACTCCAAATTTGGATTTGCTCGTCTAAACCTCTGGCTCACATATGATATTTAAAGAGTCTTACTCAAAGCCTTCAAAGTGCTCCCTTCACTTCTCTAGCAAGTGGCATCACTCAGAAAGTTGTATTTTTGTATCAAATGTCTAGCTTGTCTGGGACTTTTAAACAATGTTTAAGAACTAGCAACCTTTGCTAGTTTTGTTGAATACCTACCATTCTTTATGTATCCCAAAGATACATATACTTTGCTACAAAGATACATTACTTCTTTATGTATCTTTGGGATACATAAAAAATGGTAGGCACACTATTTTTTTTAATGGCTCCACATCTTGATCTTTGTTCATTATTCAAAATTACATGCTTATTATTGGGCATTGCAGGCTGCCTCTATAACCCAACATTTATCACATATTTAAAAATTTGGTTCTTTTTTTTTGCTTCCAAAATAGTTATCTCAGGCAAACAGGAATCCATGAGAACTACAGTCATATCTTTTGACCCAATTTGTCTGCTGACTTCTCTTGGTGATTCAGTGTAAAACACTACAGGTGCTAATCTGCCTGGGGCAGGAAAGTACAAAACAGATTTGATACAACAGTTTCAAGGCTTACAGGTAATTAACTCAGCATGATTTAGCTGGATTTGTACCAAGCATTTGTTTGCCCATGCTGAGAAAACTAATACTTTGTCTCTTTCATCAGTGGATCTCAAAACAGTTTGCAAACATTAATTAATGCTTATCACACATCTCGTCATCCCCATTTCCAGATGAGGAAACTGAGCAGTAGAAGCTAGAAAGTGATTTGCCTGCAGTCTTGCAGCTGGGCCCAGTGGAGTGCAGAGTAGAACACGGTTTTTGGTTTTTTGACCTTGGGGTCATACTTCTTCTTGTTGACGGAAGAGCTGACACCATACTCTTAAATAGGGACAACCAAGTTTAGTCATTCCTTCAACCTAATCTATTCAAAACACAACAAAGTGAAAATTTAGGAAAGATATGTGGCTATGTTTTATATGGATAAACTCTGGTGGGAGTGTGTGTGTGTGTGTGTGTGTGTGTGTAATCACATATGTGTATGCTTCTGAACATGCATTTAATATTGAGTTACAATTATTCCTTAGTTAGACAGCATTTTATAAGCGTTTATTTGCCCTGTGGAGAGATTGACTGATCAATGAATGGAAGGAATGAAAGTAAAGGGTTGCCCCTTTTCATGGATCAAGTCATGAGATAGCTGCAAGTAGGGGCTCACCCAACTGTCAGGAAATGGCTGCACTTCAAATTGGCATTCCACGGGACTAGTGGCTTTGCTTCTCTGCAGTTGGAAGAGCTACAACTAAACCCAACCTCACACCAAATGTTCACCAGATGCTTGCAGCTGGCATTTCCAGATAGCTCCCTACACAGCAAGTGACTGGCCCAGGCTGCTCATCCCCTGCCTGCAAGCCTGTTCTCACACTTGCCTTATAGAAAGGGAGAGCAGCAGGAGGGTGGTGATGTCTCTCCAGGGGCACACTTCTAATGTGGGCCCAACTGTACTAGGCAAGGAACCCCTTCCTGCAGTGAGACCTGGGCAGGCAACTGCTGACCCTGTTCTCTTGCAGTTCCAGCCTGCACCATGGGACATCACCGGTAACTGGCCAAGCCATTTATACACACAGCTGTCCCAGGCACCAGAGTCTTGACGCTCAGAGTCAGGCCCTCAGTTCTGGTATTTTTATATATCACTAGTGGGAGCAATTTTTATTGGCTTCAGTAGATAACTTTTTAAAGATGACAGAGGAATTATAAAGAGTGTCCAAACTTGAATTGAAAATGTTATATATGCCTTTTTCAGGGTACCAACATAAGCATAGTATACATTTAATTAACATTTCATTTTATGTAGGGCTAGCCTACATTAAAATTCTCAGAACACTTACATTAGCCTATGGTTGGATAAAATTGTCTAGCACAAAGCCTATTTTATAATAAAGTGTTGAATATCTCATGTAATTTATTGAATATTGTATTGAAAGAGAAAAACAGATGGTTTTGCACCATCGAAAAGTCAAAAAATCATAAGTTGGGGACTATCTATACACACTTTTTTTTTTTTTTTGGTGAGACAGAGTCTTGCTCTGTTGCCCAGGCTGGAGTGCAGTGGTGTGATCTCGGCTCACTGCAACCTCCACCTCCCAGATTCAAGCAATTCTTCTGCCTCAGCCTCCCGAGTAGCTGGGATTGCAGGCATGCACCACCAAGCCCGGCTAATTTTGTATTTTTAGTAGATATGGCGTTTCTCCATGTTGGTCAGGCTGATCTCGGCCTCCTGACCTCAGGTGATCCGCCTGCCTCGGCCTCCCAAAGTGCTGGGATTACAGGCATGAGCCACCGTGCCCGGCCCTATCTATACATATTTTAGGGGAAGATGGGTATTCATCAACTTCCAGATCCTCCTTACGAAAGGCCTTTGGAAATCTCTAGCTAATGTGGTAAGGGACACAGTTTCTGCTTTCCTATATCATGGTCCTCTTTCCTTTTTTGTCTTTGGGTTTCTCTTCTGTGGCTTATGTCATTGTTGCCCCATGCCAATCCGTGATAAGATAATGTAGAATCTTCATTACTGCCTTTTCATTATTACTCCTCAGTTTGATGTTCTCAAATGGTAGTGTTCATTAGAAGTATCTGGAGATCTTGTTTAAAAGAAAATGCAGCTTCCTGGCTGCACTCTGAGAGATGCAGATTTAACAGGTCTAGAATGGGCCCCAACTGTCTGTGTTTTTAACAAACATGCCTAGGTCATTCCAATGTATGTGACCCATGGATTGCACTTTGAGAAACATTGCTTTAAAGTTTGCATTTGAAAACATTCCAAGTTTGTTTCAAATACAGCCTTTGCCAAAGCTTTACTCTACAAAACGCTGGTTGCCCACTTTGTTAAATAAACTCCAGGAACAGCTTTTGCTGCTTACCTTGTCTTGCAGCTTTCTGTAACTCAATATCCTGTTTGGCCTCTGATCTCTTTATCCTCATGTATTCTCTCCTGTACACTAGGGTAAAATAAAAGAATTTTTATTCTGCCAAAAGTGTAACTTTTAGATAAAGGTCCTAATTAAAAAGAAATCTCCCTATTATACACAGTCATGTATAAATACCATTAAGCACCCCTCAGGCGGCAATTATTGGATTTTTATTGTTCAAACAACTGGAAAGATATGCTTGTGGATGGTCTAGTTTTTAGAAAACATGATAATTATCTATTAATCAAAAAGATGTCTTCTGTTTTCATTGCACTGTTTACATATATACATATACTTATTTATATATTAGAAAAAGAAAAGACAGTATACGTTCAGCAAATTTGATTCCTGCTTTAACTTCTAAATTATCCAATTCTCGTTCCCTTTTATTGCCACTGGCATACATTAAATAATGGGCACATGGCAATCCAGGCCTATACTTTGTTAACACCAGCCAGCGCTTTAATTCCAAGGATCTATCGAGCAGGCAACTGCCATTTTATGTGGTTAAAAAAGAGTAAGCAAGAAGATTGGTTTTTCTGACACTGAGAAGCAGAACGTTTCCACAACATGGCAGCTAATGCTATACCATATGTTAGGATAGCAAAACTGTGACCTCTAGGCCAAGTCAGGCCCATCACTTATTTTTGTAAGTAATGTTTTATCAAAGTACAGCCATGATCACTGGTTTATCCGCCTATGATTGCTTTTATGCTACAACATCAGAGTTGAGTAGTTTCAGCAGAGACTGCATGGCCCGCAAAGCCTATCAGACTTGCTATCTGGCCCTGTGCTACAGGATGGGCCTTTCTGTGGTCACTGTCCACATAGAATAAGTAGCAAGAGCATGTATAAGATTTGACCCCGAGGGGAACTACATTTCCTGCAGCCTTTCTGGAGGATTGGGATCACTCACTGGCTGAGTGTTTTGTTGTATTCCCTTTGGAATTAGTATAGAGCAGCTACATTTAAAGAACATTTACAATACTTTTTATAAATTTTCTTCTTTTCTCGCTGGCTTTAAAAATGTAAACATTTCCCAACTCATTTTCTAGGTAGAAGAACTTACCATTATAGATACCGTGAAAGGGATCTTATACCAGGGTTTTCCAAATAGTATTCTGAAGCACACTATTATTCTTTTACATCCGAATACATTTTTTTTTTTCTTGAGACAAGGTATCGCTGTGTTACCCAGGTTGGAGTGCAGGGGCACAACCATACCTCAGCGCTGCAGCCTCAACCTCCTGGGTTCAAGCGATCTTCCTGTCTTAGCCTCTTGAGTAGTTGGGGCTACAGGTGGTATGCCACCATGCCTGTCTAATTTTTATTATTTTTGTGGAGATGGGGTCTTGCTTTGTTGTCCAGGTTGGGCTTGAATTCTTGAGTCTCAAGCTATCCCCCTGCCTCGGCTTCTGAAAGTCCTGGGATTACAGGTGTGAGCCACTATGCCTGGCTTTAGATCTGAATAAATTTTTTAAATTAAAAAGTTCGATAAGTAATGGGGTGAACAAACTTTTACTTTTTTATGCTGTAGAATTTCTCAGAGCTTTAATATGCTCCAACTCTAAAAATAAACTATACCATGGAATATCTTCCAAACTTGTTTGTGTAGTGTTTACATATTTAACCAGAGAATATTTTTTGAGGAATAGTAATTTTTGAGAGAACATGGATTGGAAAGTGCTAGCCTAAGTCAAGTCCTTGCCTTTTATAGTGTGGTACTAAATAATTCTAAATAAGCATGATTTGCTTTTTTGCAAGTTTGTAGCAGGAAATTCTACCCTCTTAGTTGTAGCCCTGCTCACCTAGTTGAAACACTATTAATTTGTGGCTTCAAAGTCTGTATTCACAGCATTCCAGTGACTTGATCTGCTCATTCTAATTGTTTTAAACACTGTTGGTGTTAAAAACAGCCTCCAAAGACTGCCTCAAGAGCTTGCTCAATTATTTAAGAGGCTAAAGCAGGAAAGCAATATATCCTGAGGGAAGACACACCATTAATTAACATGTCTTCTGTCTTATCATTGTCCTTCTTCACGTTTTATCCCATTGTCAAATTTGTTTAGTTTATTAATAACTAAGGAAGAGGTGGAGCATGGTGGCTCACACCTGTAATCCCAGTATTTTGGGAGGCCGAGGTGGGTGGACCATCTGAGGTGAGGAGTTTGAGACCAGCCTGGCCAACATGGTGAAAGCCCGTTGCTACTCAAAATACAAAAAAAAAAAAAAAAAAAATTAGCCAGGCGTGGTGGTGCGCACCTGTAGTCCCAGCTACTTGGGAGGCTGAGGCAAGAGAATCACTCAAACCTGGGAGGCAGAGGTTGTAGTGAGCCAAGATCATACCACTGCACTCCAGCCTGGGCGACAGAGCGGTGAGACTCTGCCTAAAAAAAAAAAAAAAAAGCCATGAGACTCCATCTCAAAAACAAACAAACAAATAAAAACAAAACAAAAGAAGAGTTTGGTTGCATTTGGAACCTGCAATGTTTGTGGTCTTGTGGAAAAAAGAGTGATATCGGTCAGCTGGGTGCAATGGCTCACACCTGTAATCCCAGCACTTTGGGAGGCTGAGGCGGGTGGATCACAGGGTCAAGAGATTGAGACCGTTATGGCCAACATGGTGAAACCCCGTCTATACTAAAAATACAAAAATTAGCTGGGTGTGGTGGTGTGTGCCTGTAGTCTCAGCTACTCAGGAGGCTGAGGCAGGAGAATTGCTTCAACCTGGGAGGCGGAGGTTACCATGAGCTGAGATCACGCCATTGCACTCAAGCCTGGTGACAGAGCGAGACTTTGTCTCAAAAAAAAGAAAAAAAAGGTGGTATATTTATTATCTTACTATGTGCAAGAAGCTTAGTTTTTGTTTCTGCCTTTCCTTGTGTGTTGGGTTGGAACTTTACTAATAAAACAGTCAACCAGTAGACTAAGTTAATGATACATATGCCTTGACAAAATTTTTTCACTGTTTGTTGTTGTTTTTGATGGCTACAAGACTTTTATTATTGATATCTTCTTTTTTCCTCAGTCACAAATTAATTATTACATGTAGATTTGCTAATGTACTGCCCAGGTGGATTGTACTGCCTAATCCATCCCAAACCACTAATACTATCAATGGTTCTGGAATAAACTCATTATCCTTCTGCTCTGAGCCAATCAGCCCCTATTCTGGTTTGATAGATGCTGGAGACATTTATGAGATTTAAAATTAATATTTTCTCTGATAATTTAAGACATTTGGAGAGTGTCACGTGGGCATTTTAACTACTTTCTCCAAATTACTTTAGATGGCAATCTGGAAGCCCAGCCACCTGGAGCAGTAAACAAGCAGGTGTGGACTAGGCAGCCCAAATCCTCTAACTCAGGACAGACAGTGTGAAATTAAGATGGGAAACAGAGAAATGTGGTGGTGCCCTGAGACATGAGCTGCCTCCACAAGTGCTCCTGCAAGTGAGTTTCTGCTTCTGGAAACAAAACTCTAGTTCATATTGACTTTCTGTGATGTATCTGTATATGTCAGTCAGCAGTTGCTATGTGCATCAGGATAGCAGTGACCAAAGGCAGTGGCTGTTTTTTTTTTTTTTCCTCCCATGCCCTCTTTGTGAGGAAAGCCTAACATCTTAATCAGAAATAGCATGTGCCTGTAGGAATCTGATGTTTTTCTCATTATAATTCCCACCTGTGCAGATGGCAAAGCACCTTTGCCTTGGGACAGATGCTCTCCATACACTGCTCACCATTGGTTCTCTCTTATCTCCCAGATTGTGAATTTTCCAAGTGTTAGAGCTGTTTTTTACTAGCTCATGAGAGCCTGTATTTTACATATCTCTTCTCAACTCCATGTTCAGTGATGTTGAGGGGCTTTAAAGTGGCCAGATTGAGAGTATTTGTAAATTAAGGCCTCCTTCCCCCTACCAAGGGGACTGGTTGGTAAACATTCACTGGCAAACCACTGGTTCCTTCCTTCCTGATCTAGCCTCCCTGGACTTAACTTTGGCCTGTAGAACTTCAGTACCCACACAACCCAAACTAAATATTTCTAATTCTTTGTACCTGACATCTTTGGTTCATTTATTGCTTTATTTATATTTGAGCACATGCCAGGCACTATGTTACAGTTCCAGGGATGAAAAACAATATGCCTTATCCTTTAAAAAAAAAACAAAAACTTACCGAAGTTCAGGTGCAGTAGCTCAAGCTTATAATCCCAGCACTTTGGGAGGCCAAGGCAGGAGGACTTCTTGATCCCAGGGGTTTGAGACCAGCCTGGGCAACCAAGTGAGACCCTGTCTCTACGAAAAAAAAAAAATTAGCTGGGCATGTTGGCAAGTGCCTGTGGTGTCAGCTACATGGGTGACTGCGGCAGGAGGACTGCCCAGGAAGTCGAGGCTGCAACATTTATATCATCCCCAAAAGAAACTGTATATATCCCAGCTTTTGCTCTCTCCCTGCTCGACCCCTTTTTTAACCACTAATCTATTCTGTCTCTGTAGAATTGCCTATTCTGGACATTTTACTTAAATGGAATCATATAATATAGCCTTTTATATACCTATTTATATGATCTTTTATATCCGTCTTCTTTTACTTAGCACAACATTTTTTTCTTTTGAGATGGAGTTTCGCTCTTGTTGCCCAGGCTGGAGTGCAGTGGTGCGATCTTGGCTCACTGCAACCTCCGCCTCCCGGGTTCAAGCAATTCTCCAGCCTCAGCCTCCTGAGTAGCTGAGATTACAGGCACCTGCCACCATGCCCGGCTAGTTTTTTGTATTTTTAGTAGAGATAGGGTTTCATTGTGTTGGCCAGGCTGGACTCGAACTCCTGAACTCAGGTGATCCACTCGCCTCGGCCTTCCAAAGTGCTGGGATTACAGGCGTGAGCCACCACACCAGGCTGTTTTCTTTTTCTCTTTTTTGAGTCAGGGTCTCACTCTGTCACCCAAGCTGGAATGCAGTGGTGCGATCTTGGCTCACTGCAACCTCTGACTCCAGGGTTCAAGTGATTCTCCTGCCTTAACCTCCCAGGTAGCTGGGATTATAGGTGCTCGCCACCACGTACAGCTAATTTTTTGTATTTTTAGTAGAGATGGGGTTTTGCCATGTTAGCCAGGCTGGTCTCGAACTCCTGGCCTCAAGTGATCTACCTGTCTCAGCCTCCCAAAGTGCTGGGATTACTGGCGTGAGCCACTGCACCTGGCCAGAACAGTTTTCAAGATTCATCCATGTTGTAGCATTTATCAGTACTTTATAGCTTTTTTAAAATAGACAATTTTGTAGGTCAGTTTTATTTTTATTTTTATTATTTATTTATGTATTTATTTTTGTAGAGCAATTTTAGATTCACAGCAAAATTGAGAGGAAGGTACAGAAGTTTCTCATATCCCCCCACCCATGCATAGCTTCCCTATTATTAATATCCCCCACTGCAGTGGTACATTTGTTATAATTTATGAACCTTCATTGACACATCGCAATCACCCAAAGACCATGATTTACATTAGGGCTCACTCTTGGTGTTACCTGTTTTATGGATTTGGACACATGTATAATAACATATATCTACCATTATAGCATCATGCAGAGGAGTTTCACTGCCTTAAATATTCTCTTGTTCTATATGTTGTACGGGAGTTAATATACCTTTTCTCTTTACGTTCTAGGTTGATGTTTGAGGATGTTATAACAAAAGACAGATTAGCAGGAAGAAAGCATGCAAATTTAGTCACATCCAAACATATGTTTTTCTCTTGATAATCTGAACTTGGAAAATAACTGGCAGGAAATTTTTACCTTCTTTTCTCAACCGGACACTACAGACAAAGATCTGGGAGAGCTGACTTTAGTAAGAATTTTTACATTTTGCCAGCTTTTATTCATTGTGCTAGAATCCCATCCGTAGCTCTAAAGCAAATGGGGTTTTCAGCCACCCCATGTTGGGCTCCAGAAAACGTTGGTAGTGGAAAAAATAATCTTTTTCTCTACTCTACCTAGGTTTATGGCTGACACCCCTTTAACAATACAAATTAACAAGAGAAAAGCATACATATTCATTTCATATAAGCTTTATGTGACATGGGAATAACTGTAAAGAAGTGAAAACTCAAATAAATGGTTAAACCTGCGTATTTCTATGCTAGGTTTGATGAAAAATGGATAGTATGGATAGTTATGGGTAAATGTACCAGGTCAAAAAGGGTATGATCTAATGGTAACAAACTGAGGGAAATGTAGTGAGACCCATTTGTTCAGATTCTTCTCTGTGACCCTTTGTCTTCAGAGATATGGATATTCATAAGACCCCCATGTGAGACGTACTCTCCATGTACCAATAGGATAGGAACTTCCATATCTTATGAAAGTCAGAAAATTCATCCTAGGTTTTATGACCTGCTTCAGGAAAGAGTGGTGTGGGGAGGGTGAGAGTGACCTTCTTGTTTCTGTTGCTTTCTCAAATGCCAAGGTGCCATATTTTGGGGAAGTATATTCTGAACCCAATCAGTATTCATCTCCTTCTTCTCTAACCCCTGGCAACCACTGATCTTTATACTGTCTCTACAGTTTTGACTTTTCCAGAATGTCATATAGTTCAGGTCATGCAGTATGTGGCCTTTTCAGATTGCCTTCTTTCAGTTAGTCTATGCATTTAAGTTTCTTCCCTGTTTTTTCATGGCTTGTCAGCTTATTTCCTTCTACCACTGAGTACTATTCCATTATCTAGATGTACCTGTTTATTTATCTGCACACCTACGGCAGGCCATCTTGGATGCTTCAAAGTTTTGGCAACTATGAATAAAGCTACTATAAATATCCGTGTGCAGAGTTTTTGGTAGGTAAAAGTTTACAAAACCTTTGAGTAAATATCCAGAAATGCAATTGCTGAATCGTATGATAACAGTACGTTTAGTTTTGTAAGAAACTGCTAGACTATTTTCCAAAATGACTATAGCATTTTGCATTCCCAGCAACAATCAAAGAAAGTTCTTGTTGCTCCATGTGCACTTTATTTCTAACTGCCTAACATTCAGTTGTATGTATGAATATTACATGTTACTTATTTTTTTAAGAAATACCAAACTGTTTTCCACAATGTCTATACCAATATACCTTCCACTAGCAATGTATGAGGGTTCCAATTTTAATACATTATCAGCAATTCCTTTTATATTCTGATTTAAAAAAATTATAGTAATTCAGGTGGGTGGTATGTCATTATGATTTTGATTTTCATTTTTCTAACCCCCAATGATGTTAAACATCTTTGCATGTACTTATTGATATTTGTATTCATGTATCTTTTTGGGAGTTACACTTATTCAAATCTTTTGCCCCTTTTTTTTCCTTTTGTTAGTGAGTTGTAAGAGTGATTTATATATTCTAGATACTAGACCTTTTTCAAATATGTGATTTGCAAATATTCTCTCCCATTTTGTAGGTTGCATTTTCATTTTCTCAATAATGTTCTTTGTTGTTGTTGTAGTTGTTGTTGTTTTTGTTAAGACAGGGTCTTAATAAAAGCTGGAGTTCAGTGGTGTAATCATAGCTCTCTCTGCAGCTTTGACCTCCTGGGCTCAAGTGATCCTCCCACCTTGGCCTTCCATTTACTGAGATGGACAACACTGGAAATAAAAAGACAGGTTTGGGGAGAATAATTAACATGCTGTTTTAGATTTGTCGATGTTTTAGATTTTTATTTGACATCTACAAGAGCAAAGCTGGAGATATAAAATTTGGAAGTCAATAGCATATTTGTTCTTTAAGGTCTTGTGACTTGATGAGATTACATAGGAGCAGACTCTAATAGAGAGCTAATGAGGTCACAATACTGAACCCTCGTGTCTTTCTGACATTTGGAGGTTGGTAAAAGAGGATTCATTAAGTGGGAGAAAAACCAGAAGACAACTTGACTTTAGAGCTGGATAAGTAAAAATTAAAATAATATTGATAGTTATAGTAATAAGGATGAGTATAACACAAGGTGGGGAACTGTCTTCGTTTGGGAAACTCCTTGATAGTTATGTTAAATCTGTCTCTTAGAGTACAGATTTGAACAAAATAAAAAAAAAGATTGCTAATCTGCTATTCATAAAAGATAAGCAGGAATTTGGAGGACAGGGAGAATTTTAGTGAGGGTATTGGGAATAAGGGCAGAGTGAATGACTAAACAACACAGTAGGGTGGCTGAAGAACTTCTAGATTTTAAGTTATTTTAATAGCTAGAAGTCAATTCATCTGTTTCCCCAAGACTTCAGTAATATGTGCTACATAGAAAAGAGCTTTTAGTGACTGGTGTGTGTGTGTCTCTGTGTGCATATGTGTATTCATGTGTGCAACAATGAAGACACTCATATAGATTGGGTTCGGAGCTGAGCAGAGAGGAGGGGCAGAAGAGGCCACCCGTCTTGAGAGAAGAGTGGAATGCAGACTTATGTAGCAATAGAAATTTGAAGGCAGAATGGACATGGGAAGGGAAGTCATCGGGAATGCAGAGACATCTGGGGGTCTGGGATTGAACTACCTTCTAGGTTATACCTCTATGACCTACTAGCTGCCTGATTCCTCCACCATGTTAACTGCTTTGGACTAGGATCTCTTGTTACTTAACTCTTAGTATTTATGCTGATTTCCTTAGTTGCTTGGACTCCCATTCCTGCCTGCTGCTGGACAACACCATTGGGTTATCACTTTGCTCTGGCAGTACTCTTTCCTTTTAAAATAGGCCAAATGAGATTGATGTGTATTTCCTGCTTCTAAAGAAATACAAATAAATTAAATGAGAATGTGGCCTCCTCTGATGCAAAGAATGTATCTTGATATGTTTTCAGCTGCCAAGCTTTCAAAATATGCCCAGAATTTTTCCCCACTACTAGGTTTGTCTAGTTTTTGTCGATAGTGGTGATTAACTTTTTGTGTCATCACTTGTATAAATTAACTCTAAATTAAAAGAAAATCTTTTTTGTTCTTCCTAAACAAAAGTTTAATTTTTATGACCTTTGCTACCTTTTAGATAATGGCCAGTTGATTGTATTTTTTATAGACTCTGAATCTTTATTTCAATATCTGAAGACTAGACAGAGGATACACAAAAAAAGACTACATTCAAGTAACAGAAAAAATACTAGACTTATAAATTAGTTTTCAAACTCCCCAATAGTTCTTCATAAATAGTTGGATTAAACAATACTATTTTTTTGGTTTCTACCTAACCTTGTTCCTTCTTTAACTAACTGCCTCTTATCTCTCCCTTTCTCTCTTCCTTCTTTTATTCACAAATGTGTCCCATAACCTCTAAAGCTAAAGAAATTAGACGTACTGAACCACTGTTGAATAGAGGAATTTAAGAGCCCCAATCTGATCTATTAATAAGTTCAAATCTCAGCTTTACCACTTCCCATTCTTGTGATCTTCATAAGATGTTTAACCTTTGTGCTTTGGTTTCCTAACCTTTAAAATGTGGATAATAATAGTACCTGATCACATGGGGCTGCTAGGGAAACTGAAATAGATTATACACACACGAAGTACTTAGAGCAATGCCTAGCATAATAAACACTAGCTGTCATTACTTTCCACATTATCTCAGATTTAAACAAGATACTAATACTAGAGGGAAATAATTAAAGTATATTTTGCAGTGTTGTCTGTTTGTACAGAAGAAGTAACTGGGGCTGGGAGAAAGATTCAATGTATTTGAAGAATAGATGAAAAAGAGCCAGGTAATGGTCTAACTTCTTTAAGCGAATTTAGAAAATACTCTACCAGTTAGTTTGCTTTCTTGCTTTCCTTTTTATTTTATTTTATTTTATTTTTTTTAGAGATGGGGTCTAGCTATGTTTTCCAGGCTGGAATGCAGTGGCATAATCACAGCCCACTGCAACCTTGAACTACTGGACTCAAGCAATCCTCCCACCTCAGCCTCCCAAGTAGCTGGGACTGCAGGTGCCTGCTGCTGTGCCTGGCTTATTTAAAAAATTTTTTTTTTGTAGAGATGGGGTTCTTGCTTTGTTTGTTGCTCAGGCTGGTCTCAAACTCCTGGCCTCAAGTGATCCTCCTGCTTCAACCCCTGGTTTGTTTTCTTTATTGCTCTTCATCTCTGTGACTCTGCTACTTAGATGTCATTGAAAAAGAGCATGATGTCTGCAGTCCTCATATTTGTCTTGCCACTAAGAAAAAAAAAAGTGACTTTGAGCAATTTATTTAGCTTTGGGAGTCCTGATTTCTTATATCTAAAATGGAAAGAGTAACTTCGAATCAAGTGAACTTTGGAAATGCACTATGAAAATATTACCAAGAACCACCCTTGTCTGGAAGCTTTCTAAGATGCTATGATTGCTCAATGAAGGATGGATATGATTTTACAAAGTTCATCTGGTCTTTGCAGAGTGACTTACCCACACGAGTTCTGCTCTATGTTTCTAGGAAAATTACTTCAATTAATCCCTGAATTGTAGCCCTCTCCCCTGGTGCAGCAGACAACAGCTGTTCAATACTCCAGAACAGGAGACAGTAGTTTTGGTATAAAAAAGGGAGGATTCATTTTTTGTTCAACTATAATCACAGGGGAGTTTTGGGGATGGGTGGAAATTTTTCCAGAGGAGAATAATTTCCTCTCCTTTATTCAAAACAGAAAGCAAATACAGATTAACAGCTCCTACCCGTGCAATGACAAAAGAAACTCAATTCGGTCATGGTCCTTCTCTCTTGGCTGCTCATCCTTAGGGCCCAAGCACTTGAAAAATCTCTGAATCACCAACAGACTAGAGTATAATAGCCCTTTTGGAGCAGTTATGGTCTGTCTTGTCAGAGGTCTTTGGGGGACACTTTAATCCTTGTATTAATAATACAATAGCCTGAAAATGTCTTCTTGGAAATCATCTGAATGTACCATTACAAACCCCCCATGAGTTAGCAATCCAACTCAACCGACTAAAAACTCCTTTCCTGATTTAGATAAAAATTATGTCAGGGCATGAACAATATTATAACACCTTAGAACACTTTTCTTTTTTGTTGGAAATTGCAGACACTATAAGTTTATATTAGAGACCTATCACCTATAGGATTTCAGTGGAAAAGTCATAGCTATTATAAATATTCTCTTTTAGTAGCTAAAACCATAAGCCATTTCTTTTGGCCTTTCTAGTAGTGCCTCTCAAAAATGGTCAAACTGATTTACATTAAATCAAAACCATTTGCCCTTGCACAGGTCCTTGGTTTTCTTTGTGGTATGTTTGTGTAATTTTTTTCATTAACCGGTTGAGGCATTTTGGCAATTTCAGTGCTACAGGGAGATTAATGGAAGTTTAATTCAATAAACTGCATAGCATGAAACCCAGTGCCCAAAGTGAAGTGATGTGAGCTATTTTAATAAGGCTCTTAACTTTTCCTCTTTCCTCCCAAGACCCATGTTGGCTCCTGCCTTGACAAAATTATTTGTATATCTCTCAGAGCTATTTTCCTGATTGTGCAGAGTGTGTAACCAAGGTGGCCTATTTGATCCATTTAGTTTTTGTGGAAGTTTGTGCTTGGCTGAATGATTTTCTGTAAAGCATTAGAAAATGTTCTTTCCACCTAACCAAAGGGAAATGTAATGAGGAAAGTGCTTCCTTTTCCAGCTGAAGGAACTGATGTTCTGTATTAAAAGAAAAAGTCAGAAAAGAATTAGTAGGATATTGGTGGAAATAAGTCTTGGGTGGGGGAGCTCTCAAGACTCTAGGAGAGATGACTCCCAAAAGAGGGAGTTAGATGCTGATGAAAGAATTAATCATGAAGTTCATAGAAACTGAACAAGAACAACAAATTACACTTAGCAAAGCAGGAAGAAAAAATATAACTATAAATGCAAGAATTAATGAATTAGGAAAATAACAAAATTGGCTGGGCATGGTGGCTCATTTCTCTAATCCCAGCACTTTGGGAGGCTGAGGCAGGTGGATCACCTGAGGTTGGGAGTTCGAGACCACCCTGACCAACGTGGAGAAACCCCATCTCTACTAAAAAATACAATACAAAAATTAGCCAGGTGTGGTGGTGCATGCCTGTAATCCCAGCTACTTGGGAGGCTGAGGCAGGAGAATCACTTGAATCTGGGAGGCAGAGGTTGTGGTGAGCCAAGAGTTCACTATTGCACTCTAGCCTGGGCAACAAAAGCCAAACTCCATCTCAAAAAATAAAATAAAATTACAAAATTATTAAATGCATCCCATAGTATTTCTTATAATAAGAAAACAATAACAAATACAAATATTCAAATAAGTTACTAGGTCATCTATTTGTGAAAAATAGAGAAAAAACACAAATACATAATTAGGAATGAGAAAGATGAAATACCCACAGATAGGATATCAAAAAAAAGTATCAAAGAGCAGGCTAGTTTATATGAAGACCTTAATGAAAGAAATTGTTTCCTAGAAAAATATGAATTATCAAAATCAATTAGAGAAAAGTTTAAAAACCTGGCCAACTGAATATTCATGAAAAAGATGAGAATATTGAAAAATCTCCATAAAAGATTTGAGCCCACATAGTTTCACACAGAATTTTTTTAACTCCTTAAGCCACAGGTGATGCCTGTTATTTCTGCTGTTCTGGTATTGTTTTGTCTGGTTTTATTTTGTTCTTTTCTCTTTCTTCTTTTTCTTTTTCTTTTTTAAACAAAGCCAGCCAACCTTGACAAAATTAACACACACCCACTCACACATAAAATAGATTACTCTCACACGTGAACATTGATAAAGCAACTCTAAGTAGAAAAATTTCAACAGAACTTAAGAAAAAATGTTAACCCTGATCAAGTAGGGTGTGTTAACATTTTGTGATTGCCATGTGAAAACTCACCTGTGACTCTTTAAGAGTCCGTATTGGTTTATGGACCCAGTAGGACCAGGCATTAATGTGACTTTAGACGTAAAAGTATTCACAGGCTTAAATAATGTCATTCTCTTCTATTTTTTCAGCTTTTCTTCTCTCAATATGTTGACTACACCTTCCTCTGTGGGGAAAGGGAAATGGCAGTCAGCAACTTGAGGTTCATATTCTTTTTTTTTTTTTTTTTTTTGGAAATGGAGTCTCGGTCTGTCGCCCAGGCTGGAATGCAGTGGCGCGATCTCAGCTCACTGCAAGCTCCGCCTCCGTGGTTCACGCCATTTCTCCTGCCTCAGCCTCCTGAGATGCTGGAACTACAGGCGCCCGCCACCACGCCCAGCTAATTTTTTTTATTTTTAGTATAGACGGGGTTTCACCGTGTTAGCCAGGATGGTCTCGATCTCCTAACCTCGTGATCCTCCCTCCTCGGCCTCCCAAAGTGCTGGGATTACAAGTGTGAGCCACCGTGCCTGGCCTGAAGTTCATATTCTTGAGGCTCAGAAATGCCAGTCGCAAGAGACTGTCTTTCTTCCGGCACTTTTATAGCCCCCTTAGGAAGGAACTCTGGCCGATATTGTGTTGTACGCCCACCTCTGGGTCAACCCACTTTATTGTTTTCTGCGCGTTGTCTTTGTGCCCTTCTGTATAGTCAACGATTGAGTACTCCACCAAAAACATGGAATGGGTGAGAGGTCGCTTCTCAAACAAGAGGATGCTGGTCAGTCAGTACAGTATGTCCATGATCTAAGGTTCATGATCAAGTATGGCTCAATGTTATATAGTATTTATTATTATTGTACTATATTTGTAGTTCAAATGAGAACAAACATCGGATCCATTTCTTACATGCCAAAAATGCATTTAATAAAATTCAACATTCATTCTCAAAAAATTTTGTAATTAAAATGGTAATAGAAGAATATACCCCCAAAATAGGCATCTCAAGCTAACAGGTAATGTAGGGTTTAGTGGTGAAATACTGAAGGACTTTCCGATAGTAATTAGCTTGATAAGAATAGCATCTGATCAGTATTATGACTTAAAATGTTTATGGGATGCTTGTTAATATGTTTAAACACTGTACCAATAAAAAGAGATACAAATTTGAAAGGAACAATCAAATTATCATTGCCTGAAGATTATTTAACTAAAAATTCAAGGGATCACAGGGAGATCTGTTGGATTCTGTAATATGGCATCTCGCACATTTCACTCTTGTCTTATTCATCCTAAAGCCTTCTCACAAACTAATGATTCTCAGTGTGTGGTTTCCAGACACCTGGAGGTTCCCAGGACAATTGGATGGGGTCAAAACTGTTTTCACAGTAATAGTAAGATCTTATTTGCCTTTGGTACTGTGTTGACATTTGCAGTAATGGTAAAGCAATGGTTGGCAAAACTATTGGCACCTTAGCTGGAATCTGCTGCCATGTACTCACAGTATAAGAAATTGCTAGTTTCACTTAAGGATGTCTTACTCCAGCAGCCTAAATGGCTAATTCTATTAAATCTAGACACTTGAATAATATCACTTTAATATTCTGTGTGAGAAAATGGGAAGTACATATAAACATAAACACTTCACTTGCAAATGGCATACAATGGATGCCCTGGGGAAAAACGTGTCATTCTTTGAATTGTGAGTTGAATTAGCCACTTTTTACACTCAACGCCATTTTTATTTGAAAGCATGACTGACAGACATATTATGGCTATTTAAATTTAGGTATTTCGCAGAAATTTTATTTAACATGAATGACATAAGCCTATCATTTCAAGGAAAACAGCTGACAATATTTGTTGTCAATGATAAAATTCAAGTTTTTGAGCAAAATTAGAATTTTAAAAACCTTAAATCTGTCACTAGGAGCTTGATAATTTCCAAATACGTAGAGACTTTCTTATGAAATTGGTGGTGATATTAACACATGTAATTTTATTGATAGTATAATATAATATGTAAACATTTGGAGCACCTTCAGTTAGACCTCTGAGTCAGGGATCTAATATTTTCTAATTGACCAATGTATGCCTTTGAGAATTTATCAAGCATGAATGAAAGATCCATTCAAAGTACAACATAGACCAATAGATTTTCATATACCAGGCAGGGCATGAAAAACTCGTTTCTATAGTTTCAAATTTCTAAATTGCATCTTATCTTTAAGAAACTGTACTTGCCATATTTTAATGGAGCATCAAAAAATAATATACACAATTATTTGGAAAGGCTATTAATATACTCCTTCTATTTCCAACTTTATTTTTATATAAGACTGTATTTTCTTCATATACTTCAAGCAAAGCAACATATTGCCGCAGACTGAATGCAGAAGCCAATTTAAGAATGCAGTAAGAAACAGCTATCTTCTATTCAGGCAGACTGAAGACATTTTCAAAGTGTAAATCAATAAAGAAATGCTGCAGTTTTCACTACATTTTTTCATTTGGAAATATACAATTTTCACAAAAATTTTTTTTGATAATATGTAATAGGGCCAGGTGCGGTGGCTCACGCCTGTAATCTCCGCAGTTTGGGAGGCTGAGGCGAGCAGATCACTTGAGGTCAGGAGTTCAAGATCAGCCTGGCCAACATGGTAAAACCCCGTCTCTACCAAAAATACAAAAATTACCCTGGCGTGGTGGCAGGCACCTGTAATCCCAGCTACTAGGGAGGCTGAGGCAGGAGAATCACTTGAACCCAGGAGGCGGAGGTTGCAGTGAGCTGAGATGGCACCATCGCACTCCAGCCTGGACAACAAGAGTGAGACTCCCTCTCAAAAAATAAAAATAAAAAATAAAAATATGTAATAGATTTATTGTTCCTTGTAATATATGAATAAAATTTTTAAAAATTAGTTTTAATTTCAAATATTAAGAGATATAACTCATGTAAAAAAGCCCATTGGAGAGCTTCAGTGATTTTTAAATGAGGGGTTCTGAGTTCAAGGAGTTTGAGAACTGCTAGCATATCTTAATCTCTCAGTTTGAAAATCTCCCTCTCAACTACAGGCATGCCTCATTTTATTGCACGTTTCTTTATTGCACTTTACAGATATTGAGTTTTTTTTTTTTACAATTTGAAGGTTTATGGCAACCCTACATTAAGCAAATCTATTGGCACCATTTTTTCAACAGCATGTGCTCACTTTGTATTTCTGTGTCACATGTTGGCAATTCTCACAATATTTCAAACGTTTTCATTATTATATTTGTAATGGTGATCAGTGATCGGTGATCTTTGATGTTACTATTGTAATTATTTTGGCATCCCTTGAACCATGCCCGTATAAGATGGCAAAACTGAACTGATAAACATTGTACGTGTTCTGACTCTTCCACTGACCAGCCGTTTCCTCTCTCCCTCTCCTTGGGCGTCCCTGTTCTCTGAGATAAAAAGATCTTGAAATTAGGCCCATTAACAACCCTTCAGTGGCCTCCACTTAGAGTGAAAGGAAGAGTTTCAAGTCTCTCACCTTAAATCAAAAGCAAGAAATTACTAAGCTTAGTGAGGAAGGCATGTCAAAAGCTGAGACAGGCTGCAAGCTAGGCCTCTCGTGCCAGATAGATGAGTTGCTAATACAAAGGAAAGTACTTGAAGCAAATTAAAAGTGCTACTCCAGTGAACACACAAATGATATGAAAGCAAAACAACCTTATTGCTGATACAGAGAAAGTGTTATTGGTCTGGAATAAAGATCAAGCCAGCCACAACATTCCCTTAAACCAAAACCTAATCCAGAGCAAGGCCCTAACTCTTTTCAAATCTGTGGAGGCTGAGAGAGGTGAGGAAGCTGCAGAAGAAAAGTTTGAGGTTAGCAGAAGCTGATTCAGGAGGTTTAAGGAAAGAAGCTGTCTCCATAACTTACAAGTGCAAGGTGAAGTAGCGTGTGCTGATGTGGAAGCTGCGGAGGTTATCCGGAAGATCTAGCTTAGATAATTGGTGAAGGTGGCTACAGTAAACAAAAGATTTTTAATTTAGACAAAACAGCCTTATGTTAGAGGAAGGTGCCATCTAGGACTTTCATAGCTGGAGACGAGAAGTCAGTGCCCAGCTTCAAAGGACAGGCTGACTCTCTTGTTAGCAGTTAATGTAGCTGGTGACTTTAAGTTGAAGCCAATGCTCATTTACCATTCTGAACACCTTAGGTCCCTTAAGAATTATGCTGTATCAACTCAGCCTGGGCTCTATAAATGGAGCAACAAGGTCTGAACATCTGTAAACATCTGTTTACAGCCTGCTTTACTGACCACCTTAAGCCAGCTGTTGTGGCCTACTACTCAGAAAAAAGACTCCTTTCAAAATATGATTTCTTATTGACAATGTACATAGTCAAGCAAGAGCTCTGATAGAAATGTACAAGGAGATTGGTGTTGTTTTTAATGCCTGCTAATATAACATTTATTCTGCAGCCCATAGATCAAAGCGTCATTTTTACTTTCAAGTTGTATTATTTAAAAATACATTTCATAATGCTATAGCTGCCATAGGTAGTAATTCCTCTGATGGATCTGGGCAAAGTAAATTGAAAATCTTTTGGAAAGGATTTAGCATTCTAGATGCCATTAAGAACATTGGTGGTTCACAGGAGAAGGTCAAGATATCAACAGAAGCAAGAGTTTGGAAGAAGTTGCTTTCAACCCTCATGAATGAGTTTGAGAGGTCCAAGACTTTAGTGGAAGAAGTATTTGCAGATGTGGTGGAAATGGAAAGAGAACTAAAATTAGAAGTGGAGACTAATGATGGGACTGAATTGCTGTAATCTCATGGTAAAACTTGAATGGATGAGGGTTGCCTCTTTTTTTAACTGCTAATTTATGTTCAGGGTACATGTGCAGGTTTGTTACATAGGTAAACTTGTGTTGTGAAGGTTTGTTGTACAGATTATTTCGTCACCCATGTATTAAGCCTAATACCCATTAGTTATCCTTCCTGATCCTCTCCATCCTCTCAACCTTCATCCTCTAATAGGTCCCAGTTTGTGTTTTTCCCTCTCTGCACCCATGTGTTCTTACCATTTAGCTCCCACTTATAAGTGAGAACATGCGGTATTCGGTTTTCTGTTCCTGTGTTAGTTTGCCAAGGATAATGGCCTCCAGCTCCACACATGTCCCTGCAAAGGCCATGGTCTCGTATAAGTTGTTCTCTTAAAAGACGTGTACACATGTATGTTCATTGCAGCACTATTCACAATAGCAAAGACATGGAATCAACCTAAATGTCCATCAATAATAGACTGGATGAAGAAAATGTGGTACATATACACCATGGAATAATGTAGCCATAAAAAAGAGAGTTGCTTCTTATGGATACACAGACAGTGGTTCTTGAGATGGATTCTACTCCTGGTAAAGGTGCTATGAACATTGTTGAAATGACAACAAAGGATTTAGAACATTTAATAAACTTAGTTGATAAAGCAGCAGCAAGTTTTGAGAGGACCGACTTCAATTTTGGAAGAAATTCTACCGTAGGTAAAATGCTATCAAATGCTATCAAACACTATCACATGCTACAGAGAAATCGTTTGTGAAAGGAAGAATTCATTGATGTGGCAAACTTTACTGTTGCCCTATTTTAGTGAATTGCCACAGCCACCCCAACTTTTAGCAACTACCACCGTGATCAGTCAGCAGTCATCGCCGTTGAGGTAAGGCCCTCCACCAGCAAAAAGACTACAACTCACTTCAGGCTCAAATGATTGTTAGCATCTTTTAGCAATAAAGCATTTTTAAGTTAAAGTATGTACACTGTGTTCTTGACATAATGCTATTGCATATTCACTAGATTGCAGGATAGTGCTAACATTATTTTTATATGCACAGGGAAACCAAAAAAATTGGTGTGACTTGTTTGATTGCTAAACTCACTTTACTGTGATGGTCTGAAACCAAATCTGCAATATCTTTGGGGTATGCCTGTACCCCAGCTCTGTCTCATTCTCTACCATTGAGCTTGAAGTAAAGTCCCCAACCTCCCAATTTCCTAGACAGGATGATACCACCCAGTGAGGAGTGCCTGTGCACCCCTGTGTTTCTCCTTCATGGCACAGTCACCAACCTCCAGGTTGCATTCCCTCTTTCTGCCTTCTTACTGACTAAGTCAAAGAAGTCCTTTCTTGTACTTCCAAAGTATTTAAAGGGGCCTTTGGATCTAGTTTCAACATCTAGGGCAGTGCTTTGCTTGCAATTAGTCAAATTAGGCTATTTTCAGAATACAGTAGTCCCTCCACATTTGTGGGTTTCACATCTGCAAATTCAAACAACCGCAGATCAAAACTAGTGTAAAAAAAATGGCAATAAAACAATAAAAGTAATAGAAATAAAAAATACAGTATAACAACTATTTCCATAGTATTTGTAGCAATGTTAGGTATTATAAGTAATCTAAAGATGATTTAACATATACAAGAGGATGTGTGTAGGTTATATGCAGGTAGAATGTCATTTTATATAAGGGATTTGAGTATAGTGGATTTTGGTATCCATGGGAGTCCTGGAACATATCCTTTGCAGATATCAAGGGGCAATCGTATATTGGTTCTATTTGAAAATTTAATTTAAATACCAAATTGCAATGATTAAAATTGGTATGATCTTATTTTGGTGCCTCTATTTCATTATTATCTTATTCTCTATCATCGATCATAAAGCCCTCTTTCCTCTCCTCCTCCCTCACCCTCAGCTGTAGTGAAACTGGTTAATGTAGGATATTTTAATGCCAAAAATTGAGGGACAGACTCATTGCCAATAATTCAGTCCAACCTGTGTAAACATCAGAGATTAAAGATTGTTGCTTCTTACCTTCCCCACTTCTAAAAAAATAGGTCGCTTTGCAATCTGGAATGCAGAAAAGAGAAGAGTGGTTAGTTTAGTTCTGATTATTTGATTACTGTGGGTCAGTGAGGCTCCTGCGAGGATCCTAGACCATCATTTTTTCTTGCTAAACTTCCTGTATTGTGGAGGGGAGGGCTCTCTCACTTTTAAGGTGCCTTGATAAATTAACTTGGGTAGACCTTTTCTGAGGGTGGGTGAGCACGTTTCTTCCAGGAATAAAAGTCTCACTTAAAAGAGTGAAATGAAAACTGACCAAGAACAAAGGCATCATTAATTTCAAGTGGAAGAAATAATTCACAAAGCTGAGATAAGTCACTTCTCATGGGTAAACTATTTCCTTTTATATACTTTGGTCACCTTGGTATACACTACTATACAGAAACCTACTGGAATACTTTTATTTATGCTCTTAGATTTTCAACACCATTAGTCCCATGAGCTCAAACTTCAAAGTGTACCCATAGCTTCATTATTATTCCTCCAAACTTTCCTTCTCCAGTAGCCCACAAACTTTTCACCCCCTGAGTAGGTGAGCAGTAGTTACAGATATGATATTTAAGTTCTCCTCCTCTTGGCCAGGTGCCACTTCTTGTGGTTAAGGGAAGAAGCATAAAAACTTATTAAAAAGTTCTGAAAATACATCAGACACTCAACACAGTGTGTGCTCATGATTTGTGTGGAAATGAATTACAAAATGTAGATTGAATTTCCCCCTAAATTCAAATGACTTGAACAAAATGAAAGAAAATAGTACATGGCACAGATGTAAGCACCATGTAATTTTTCTTTCATATAGTTTTTATGAAAGCTCACCATTGTCTATTTTACTCAGCCCTTAAGTATTGATTTAGACTACTATAATTTTTAAAGTCAACATCCAAAATTATTGGACTTTTTTTCTCTCACAAAATCAAATCTATTAGTGTTTTAAGAACATTTCACTTGAAAAAAAAGTCAGAGAATCTTCTCCATCTTCTTCTGATTCTTAACATGCTTTTGAAAGTGGAAAGTTTAGTTCATTGCTGAAAGTTACTTATAAGTTGATGTTGAAGTCCATGTGGAACCCTATGCATAGGATGAATATATATTTACACATGTGTGAATACATTTGTGTGTAAATGTATGTGTGTATATATATTTTCTTTTTGTTCTACGTTTATTTTAAAGGCCTGATAAGTCCTGCAATCCCTATTTCTAAGCATGAACTTCTACAAAATGAAATGTCGTTGTATTATATTATTATATTATATGTCAGATATTATATAATTTTGAGATTTCCTACAGGCTTGTTCTAAACATTAAAAAATAAAGCATGTCTCCAATAGTGTGTTCAATTTCCTGCATGATCTTTGGAAATGCTGTAATTAAATAAAATGTAACACATGTGGGATCTGTACTCTTGCTTATTATGACTTTAAAGGCTTCAAGGCCTTCTCCCTGCATACAAGTCAAGATGCCCAGAATAAAGAATGGCAAGTGATAGTTTTTTGGTCTTGCTGTAACTTTCCACTAATCATCAGCAGGTTTTGAGACTGCACTGTAGAAATCCTGGATAACTCCTATTTATTTTTTTTAATGTATAAGCAATACATGGAAGGAATACTGAATGTTTGGTATCCAGACTTCTTGTCCTCAAGCTATGTACCATAAGGGAAATTGAGGCTCAGAGACTTTTTCTAGGATAAAAATAGAGCGCACACATCTAGATCACCAACATCTCTCTGCTAGGATTCAGATGTCCTATCTTTATACACTTAAAAGCAGACCACAAATGCATGTGTTATTCAGTTACATATATCCTTTGCATTTCCTTGATGCAGTTAAAATTGTGACTGTATTGTTTGATGTCTTAATTTCCTTAGGCTGTCAAGATGATGTCTGCTGACTCTAAATGTCAGACCTCCCTCATTACTGAACATGCAGGAAGTTGAACACAGCTCTTAAGAAATTTACATATTTAAAGGAACTCATGCAAGCTGAAATAGAAATAGAAGTCATATGAGAGTTTTTCTGTAGCTACTGTGGATAGCAGGATTGAATGGAGTGATTAGGACTGGAAAGTGCAATAGGGAAAAATAAATCAGATCAGCCCAAGAAATAGGGAACCATAAGAGCAGTGATTCTAGGTTAGATTACAACAAACAAGGTTTTCTGGGTAGGAAATACAGTTAACAGTGTTGGAGAACTTGGCTTTTGGACAGTAACTATTACTGGGTTTCACGGCCTGTTTTAGGAGAGATGGGGTAAGGGGAAGCTGAGAGTGACCTTCTAGCTTCTGCTACTTTCTCAAATGCCAAGGGGCCATATTTTGGGGTAGCTTGTCCTGAAGCCCAACCATCCTATATGTTTAAACTAGTTACTTTATCCTCTTTTGGCTAAAGGAATAAAAATTACCTTAACCATACCAATAGAAATACAAGTTAGAAAATACCAATTTGACAGTAGCATTGAAGTTGATTGAGATAGAAGACAAATGTGACTCGGCAGTCACATCTCTCCATTGTCTCCCTTTGCGTGTGGGCTTTGTCTCCCATCAGTGTCCAGTAGAAGTTTTTGTATGACTTAGATGGAGCCATCCACCATAAAGTGGTGACAATGATCCACTATGGTGAACTTCACTGACGGGAGAAGAGTGTAGAGCAAGATCAGATCTGCCTAAAGCTGAGAACATCCTTGTGGTGCTGGTTGTAGAAAAAATCTCCAGTGAACCCGTCTTAGGTCATTCTGTTTTCTCAGATTTTTTGCCACCACCATGCTAAAGACTGGTAAAAACCAAAGAAGTTTGTATTTTCTTATGTCTGTTATTTTAAGTAAAGATGGCAGTATGGGCAAAGTAAGGCACAGAAACTTCAAACATTTGCCTAATTTTTTTTTCTTTTCCAGGACAGCAGTTCCCTTCTCATTTGGGATCGTTTTTGCCTGTGTAAGTATATTTTTCAGGGTCCAGTGAACTGAGAAGTGCTGTTCATTATGAGGTGATGGCTCAGATCAGCCTTGTTGGTGTAGAATGGAATGTCCCAATGATGATGGCAGCTGTGCTTGTCTACTTGTTTGTTCTAAACAGTTTCTACACATTTACAGGGTGATTTATTGCAAGCCCAGCTGCTTTACTTATTTTGTCAGTAGTTGAAATTAAAAATAATTCATTTGTAATTGAATCTCAGAGAGAAATAATATTAAATATACTTTCAGTCAGAGAAGGGGCAGAAAGTGGAAGTTTGTCTCATGAGTTAAAGCCATCTGTACGAAGATGCGCGGTTGTTTAGGGCGGACCTGTGGATGGTGGTTGGAATGCATTTTTAACTTCAGGACATGCTTTCTTTTGGGGTTTGAGCTTAAAAATAACTGTGTTTTTATGATTAGCATGACTAGCACTAGTAATCCAGAAATGAAATAAGACTTTAAAACACATGTGCATACATTCACGCCTACACACATGTATTCTTGCACACACACACACACACACACACACAAACAGTACTGCATAGATTCAGAATGAAAGTTCAAAAAGACCCAAGTGGAAACATTTCTAATAGAACTAAATGAAAGGAACACTGGAGACTGAAGCAAAGAAGGGATTTAGTAAAGGTCAGAGAAAGCTACAGTTCGTTAGCAATGGTTCTGACAACAGTTTTTGCAGTTACTGTGTCCTTCAGAATAGAGAATTGGGTTACACTGACGACTTCATTCAGGCCTCTTTTTTGTTTTTGTTTTTGTTTTTGTTTTTGTTTTTGAGATGGAGTTTCGCTCTTGTTGCCCAGGCTGGAGTGCAGTGGCGCTATCTCGGCTCACTACAACCTCCGCCTCCCTGGTTCAAGCGATTCTCCTGCCTTGGCCTCCCAAGTAGCTGGGATTACAGGCATGCGCCACCATGCCCAGCTAATTTTTTGTATTTTTAGTAGAGATGGGGTTTCTCCATGTTGGTCAGGCTGGTCTCAAGCTCCTGACCTCAGGTAATCCTCCTGCCTCAGCCTCCCAAAGTGCTGGGATTACAGGCATGAGACACCACGCCCGGCCACCATTTGTTTTTTTAAGCAGCATTCACTTTCTCCATTTATTCATATTCTTTCATTTGTTTACATATTTGTTTATTTATTCCATCAGTCATTTTAAGAGGAGTTTACTGGGAGACTTGTGTATTCTTTCTTCTTTGTAGGGTCTGTGGTAACCCAAAGTCACATGGATGAAGCCTCTGCTTCATGTGAGTGTCCTAGGGAGACAGGTTTGTAATACATTGTTTTTGTAGTGAGTACGTGGAGATAGTTGTAGAGACAAAGTGCTGTGGGACCACGAAAGAGTGACAGCAGTTTTACTAAGGACAGCAGTTGGTGAGGTTCTTATAATTGGTCCCTGACCATTCAGCTTGTCTTGCCATCCAAGATCCCCTTGGCTAAATTCCAGGTGAGTCTGTTTTCTCTTTTTCTATCTCCACTTGTTTTCCTTCTTACCATCCTTTCTCTAGGCTTTACATCTCCTTTCTCATTCATTGAAGACTTGAGTTAACCATTTTTTTCCTTCTAATTTGTGGGGAAAGGTGCCATTTTCCTTGGCCTTCTGTGTTGTGTGTTGACCTAAACATCAGGGAAGTCCTTTCCATCAAAACATTAATGCATCAGTCTCACAGTATAACAAACACAACTCTCTACAATATGATCTTATCATACCTGGGAACCTAGGAGTCAGAGTTGTGAGGCATAAAGAAATCAGATGCTGTGCATGATTTTGTTTGGTGGAAGAGAATAAATCAAGGAATCACAGGTTCCAGGTGACTTCTGAGAAAAATGTGTTGCTTCTTTGAAAGGTAGGATACAGGATTCTAAAAAGGCCTCTGGGCTACTAAAGGGTTGAGAAAATACTTAGATATATTGGATTTCACAGTGGTAAACTTATTACAAAGAATATTTAAATGAAAGGTAGTTGCTATGTGACACAGATATGGAGAAGAGATGATGTCATTAGAGACATCTTCATTTGAACGGTATGGGCTTCACATGGATGGTAGAAGTGAAGTCACAGTTTCCTTCCACTCATGTCACTGCATGCAGTGGCATCTTATCATGTCACTTGAAAAGATTCTTGAAAGCCATTGTCAAACGACTGAAAGAAGAAGACAAGCAGATGAGCTATTCTCTGGAATACAAGTAAGGGAAGACACAGAGACCAGAGGCTACCTCAAGGCCCACAGACAGCATCCTTGAGGCTACCTGCTTACCCTTTAGGAGCTGGCTGCCTCTTAAGAATGAGGAATGCATTTCTTGGGCCTCAATTTCCAAATATTTTAATTGCGAAGCTTGATTAGATCAAACTTTCTCAATTTCTTTTCTGCAGCAAATTAGAAGTGTGATGAACCTTCCATGTGCAAATCTCAGAGCACTGATTGTGCCTAAACCCTTTTCTTTCCCATAAAAGAAATCTTAATGGAAATTAAGCAAACTACCATTATTTTAGGAATGGCCTTGAGTTCTCACCAATTTATATAAGCAAATTTTTGTACTTTAATGATTATTAGTATTAAGTTACTTATGAATTCCTCACATTGTTATAGACAACTGCCAAAAAGGACAACTCCAAGAAGCTGGAAGATCTAACATTCTAGATTTCATGTTTCCCAGTACCTGTGAAGAAAGGGGTTAATATAGCCAGGCCTGAGATTGCTATTCATAGAAAGGCCTGTCAGTAAGATTGGCATTTGACTGGCATCTGGGAGCCTGACTGGTAAACAGTCTCCAGCATTGATATAAAACTTTCATTAAATGATAAAGCTGGCTTACCTGGTTTGTGCAAACATACGGTTCATGCTGAATACTTACTGTTTTTCTAAGGGTCTGGAATTTTAGTATATGCTAGGCAGAGGATGCTTACATGACCAGTCCCCAGTCATGGGGTGCTTAGTCTCTATTGCGCTTCCCTGATAAGCAACACTTAACTCATATTGTTGGCACAATTACTTGCTAGAGTAGAATTAAGGGCATCTTATTTGACTCTACTGGGAGAGGACTCTTGGAAGCCTGTATCTAATTTCTCTTTGTATCTTTTTCCTTTGATGATTTTGCTTTGTATCCTTTTGCTGATGTCTCTATGCTGAGTCCTGTGAGTCCTTCAAACAAATCTGGTGCTGGAGATTCCGATACAGGCCACATACTGATTTTTAAAAAATCTTTTATTAAATGTTGCCTACTAAGTAACTTTTGGGGGTGAGGAGACAGAGTAATGGGGCAAGAGCAAAGATGAGTAACATACAGTCGTGCCCCAGTTTAGTGGGTGAACTTGACTTACACAAGGAAGCAAATGCAATAGAGAGTGATGGCAGGCGGGGCAGGAAGTGGGTGTGGGGTGCTGAAGGTGAGATGAGTATGGTGGAAGTTAACTTAACATTTGTAATGGGGTTAAGAGGATTATAATACATGGTGCTCTTAATGCCCATTGCAATGTATAGACGATTTAGGGAGCATGACCTGAGTATGGAGGCAAGGAAAAGTCCCAAAAAATGGTAAAAAAAAAAAAAAAAAAAGAATAAGGATATATTTGAGAAGGGGTGTTCTGAGACACAAGGGCCCAGAATCATGTATTCAACTTTCTTCTAACTAAAAAAGAAGGGAATGGTATTGAGTGAAGAATAACTTCAAAAGAGTCATCAACTTCAGATTGGAGTTGCAGGAATTCCAAGTCAGCGAAATCAAATCTAAATCCTTGAGTAGCAATAAGCATGGTGTGATGATAATGAAAATAATAATGACTAAACATATTGAGTGATTCCTGTGTGCCACATACTGTGGTAAGCTATTATATGCATTGAATCTTTTAATGATCCTAGCAACCTGTGAGGTAAGTACTTTTCTCATCCTCCTGTTTTAGAGATACAGAAGTAGAGGTCCTGAAAGTTACTTTTCTCAAGGTTATAGACCTGGTAGACCCTACTTAAAACTTCCATGCTCTACTGCTGTGGAAGTTAATAGAAGGTTCGTCTGTTGAAGGCAGGACTTTTTTCCTATCAGCATATGCCTTTTCTAGGAACACTCTACAGCTCATCCAAGACAATGGAGTCCTGAGGAGAAAGGCAAAAGCAGCAACCTCTCCCCTTGCCTAATACCATTGTCACAGGAGTATGAGGAGGCAGTGGTGTGCAGTGGTTTAGTGCCTGTCTTTCGAGTCAGTGGAAACTGGACTAGACCTGCTCTGTTGCTTATTAGCTAACTGATTTGGGACAGGTTGCTCAGATTTCTCTGTGCCTCAACTCCTTCATGTATAAGCTGCAGAAACCTACTATATACCTTAATGTGGCTCCTGCGAGGACTGAATGCTATAAGATGGTGATTCTAAATTGGTGGCACACTGCCTGGTCCATAGTAAGAACTCAACAAATGGTAGCTATTACTAGTTAGTTGGAAATAGAGTATTCTCCCACCAATTTCCATTTTATGGCCACTTTTAATTTACCACTAATTACCTTTTGATGGCGTTGGCATACAGCATTTAATTGACTGAAAAATTCCATTAATACTTCATAATGAAGTACACAAATTATATGGGGAAAATATTGTGGTGGTGTTCTAAAGGAAGGCCTACTTTTTCCTTCTTCAAATATCTAAAATTGTGAGGATGACTGTATCTCAATAACTTGGTAACTGTCAACAGTTTAATGTGAATGGGACCATTAGGCTCCTCATGAGTGAGCAATACAGTCATTTTGCAGTCTTACCTCTTTGTGTACTCAATCAAGGAAAGTGCTGTACTCTTAGTCATGTCCCTCTCTCCACCACCGCCATTACCATGTCCATCAAATCCTATCCCTGGGGTAATTTTTGTTTTGTTTTGTTTTAGATAGAGTCTCAATCTGTTGCCCAGGCTGAGGTGCAGTGGTGCGATCACAGCTCACTGTAGCCTTGAACTCCCAGGCTCAAGCGATCCTCCCACCTAGGCCTTCTGAGTAATTGAGACCATAGGTAAGTACCACCATGCCTGGGTAATTTTTATTTTTATTTTTTGTAGAGTTGGAGTCTTGCTATGTTGCCTAGGTTGCTCTCAAACTCCTGGGCTCAAGCAATCCTCCTGCCTCGGCTTCCCAAAGTGCTGGGGTTACAAGCTTGAGCCACCACACCTGGCCACTAAGGTAATTTTTGGATTTGTGTCTTTGCTCAGCCACCAGCATTACTCTTAGGATGAGAGTGTTAGCACTCCTGGTAGGTACTCATGTCCCATCCTGTGAACCTTAGTCACATTGCTGGTTCAGCACACTTGGTGAAATGGTGACAACTGTTGAGACTTCTTTGTGGACACTTTCCACCGTCTTTAATCCTCTTCATCAACATGCTGCCTCTACCAGTGTCCTGAATGATGTCCTCAACTATATGTCACTAGCTGCCTTCTCTCTTCCCCTGGCCTGCCTTGAAAAAAAGGTTAAAAAAAAAAAAATTGTGCTCAGAGCCACTTACGGATTGTCAGTTCTTCTTTCTCAATGATCTTCAGTGACCCAAAGTCCCTGTGTCGAGGCCTTGAACCCATGCCATGGGCATTAACATTTCTTCTTACAAGGCTGAAGGGAAAGGGTCTACAATTAGCTTCCTGGCTATTCACGTAAAGGGGCTTTTTTCCACCCACTCTCTCTCACTCTTGCTGGTATGTAACTCCACCATGACTCCACCATGACTCCACCATGACCTGTACTTCCTCAGCCTTTATTTCTCCTCTATTTGCATTGAGGGTGTTTGTTCTTAGGTATTACTTTACATGTACCCTTACTAAAATGTATCAATTGTTATTGCCATTTGAAATATTTTCTGGCCAGACATGATGGCTCATTCTTGTAACCCTAGGACTTTGGGAGGCTGAGGCAGGTGGATCGCTTGAGCCCAGGAGTTTGAGACCAGCCTACTGGTCATGGTGAGACATGGCAAAACCCCATCTTTACAAAATAAATAAATAAATAAATAAATACATACATACATACAAAAATTAGCCAGGCATGGCAGCCCATGCCTGTAGTCCCAGCTACTTGGGAGGCTGAGATGGGAGGATCACTTGAGCCTGGCAGGTGCAGGTTGCAGTGGGCCAAGATAGTACTACTGCACTCCAGCCTGGGTGACAGAGAGAGACCCTGTTTAAAAAAAAAAAGTTTCTGTTGTTCCAGAGTTCTATCTATACAAATTAATTATCTGCAAATTTGATGAGAAATTCTTGATCTCTCTTTTGAAGATAGAGACAACAATGTTTCCATATTCCAGTTATTCATACACAACACCTTCAAAACTTTTTGCTATATGTACATACCCCTGTACTTTTTGCCAGTGTGCATACCCCTGTACTAAATGTACATACCCCATACTAAATGTAGGCACCCCTGTATGTACATACCCCTGTACTTTTTGCCATGTGTGCATACCCCTGTACTAAATGTACATACCCCATACTAAATGTAGGCACCCCTGTATGTACATACCCCTGTACTTTTTGCTATATGTGCATACCCCGTACTAAACTTTTTGCTATGTGTACATACCCCTGTACTATTATTTACTTAATAAAGTCAAATCTTCCCTGGTGAGGCAAAATTGCTATCAGTGGAGAACCACGATGTGGTTCATGCATATGTGGGAGAACAATGCAGGTCTCCTTGCCTTAATATTTCCTCTCTGAGTACAAGCTTCAGGCCAATATGAGATGTAAAACCAGACTACACATATGGTTTATGGAGGCTGTCATGCTGTCATATAAGGAGACCAAATAGGTTTGCTAAGATTTATCCTTCTTTTAGTCATATTGGTTTCTATGAAGTCCCTAAATCAGGGGTCTGTCCTTTTTTTTTTAGAGGGTCTAAAGAGGAGCTACTTTGTCACTCATCACTCGCTTGAATATTCATCAGCAACAGAAGAGGAAGCTGATCTGGGGGGTGCCGGTGGTTGTCTGTAAGTCACACAAGGAGTAGATGGTTCACAGATCAGCAGATGCCACTGCCACCTTTATCTTGTCTGTGTGTTCTTCAGTCGTTCCTACGATAAGGCTTTTGTAAGGAGCATAGTGCTCTTTCCCTTTCTATGGAAGTATACTTGTATGTGGATAAGTATCCTTGTATGCTAACTACTGTAAGAGAAACACATAGTCAATCCTACAAATAAAAAATAATATTTTGCTCAGCTCACAGTTGGGAATGGGTTAGATGGTCCTCTGAGGCAGCTGGCTGTCCTTTAAGTGTTTACTCAGGGATCTCAGCATTGCTGCCTTTGACTATGTGGCTATGTCATCTTGGGCCAAGAGATCACAGAACATTATCTGGGACAGCAGTTACATAGTTCTGGTCAAAACTCTAAAGAAGGCATGTGAGTGATTAAAATTTGTCAAATTCAGTGTTAAGTGACAACCTGCATCTGGACTCCTAGATAGCCAGTGTTTGATGGAATCTCCCTAATGTTGGCTCTCTAGACCATTCGTTCTAGGGACCTGTCTGCGCAATTGGACTTCCTGCCATGTCTCATGGTGCCTCCCTGATGTCTCCTCACCTGCAACTCCAAATCCCAGCCACTCTCCGTCTGCATCCCTCAGCTACATAGTTCCCTTTCTGGTCCTCTGCATGATGAGGTAAGGCAAGTAGACTGGTTCAAACTTCTCCACTGGGATTACAAACTGTGATCCCAGACAATGAACCATGGCCTCCTAAAGTCATAAGCCCAGGCATTCCAACAAGACAGAATGTTGAAAAATGCCTTCTCATGTCAAACGTGATTAGGCGAATGAGAGAACATACTTTAAAAATAATAAGGTCTGAGAGAAATGTGTTTTTTTTAATTACTATATTCCTATTAGAAATGGTGTCATGGTAAAAATAAGGAGACTTTCTCCATCAGCAAAACCCACTCCAGTCTTACTGCAGTGTGGTCACCCTTGACAAAGATGAAAAGGTGAGAAGAGTTTTGATTGTTTTCATCCTGAGGTGTATGGACAGGTGTTTGAATATACTTAGTGGGTTTACATAAAAACACTAAAAAAACTTAGAATATTTTGGTGAAGATAATGCAAAATAAAATGTTAAACTAAAAAGTCACATTTTCAGTCTTCTGTTAAGAAGTGTTTTTTCTCCATGAGGAGGATGACATAATTTTTCTTCATTGCTTGTATTCATCATACCTGAGAAATATTATTGGTTATGTTTTATATCTTGATGAGTTTAATCATGTACATTTGATGCTAGGCCAAAATGGGAAAGAGGCAAGATGTATCATCCAGCCGTCCCATTCCTGTACTTTTAGTTATTCTTGTTGGTTCATGTTTCCCTCAGACACAATTATTCTTAGGCTGTATTGTAGGCTGGGGATACTATAGATCAAAGTTAATGGATTTGGTTCTTTTGTATTTTTCCGGTTGTTTGGGCAGGGATGGTTTTTCTTTCTTTCTTTCTTTTTTTTTTTTTTTGAGACTGAGTCTTACTCTGTGGCCCAGGCTGGAGTAGTGGCATGATCTCAGCTCACTGCAGCCTGCGCCTCCCAGGTTCAAGTGATTCTCATGTCCCAGCCTCCTGAGTACACTCAGCTGGGACTACAGGCATGAACCACCACACTTGGCTAATTTTTTTTTTTTTTTTGTATTTTATAGTAGAGATGGGGCTTCACCCATGTTGGCAAGGCTGGTCTTGAACTCCTGACTTCAGTTGATCTGCCCGCTTTAGCCTCCCAAAGTGCTGGGATTATAGGTGTGAGCCACTGCGCCTGGCCTGGACAAGGATTTTAAAGAGCAGGGTGCTAGCAACAGATGATGGTTGCATTGAAGCCTGCTCCTCTCGTGCCTATTGATTTTGTTTTTACTGCTATTCAGGGAAAAAAAAAATCATCCAATGAAACTAATATACACTGAGGTTTTAGGGGACTAATATATTGCTTCCATTAGAAGAAAACTTTTTCATCTTTCCAAAAACAATAGTGATTTTGTGATGTTAAGCTATTTAGAAGAAAATGCAACTGAAAGCTTTAAATGCATATGTATGTACTTATAATCGAAACTAGGGTGCCTCAGAACACACTTGCCTGTGGAAGTTAATAATGGAGCAACAATAATCGTCATAAAACTGTGTTTCTTTGGACGCACTTGGCCTGTCAATTTTGTCCTCAGTGATTTTGGGGTTCATCAGGGAATCCTTCTTCTGCACATGTGTCCTTGTGACCAGCAGTCCTGCTGTTGCCCTGACTGCTCATGCTGCTCCTGAAGCCAGTGAAGCTCTCTGAGGCCTAATAGCCTTGTCATCTTCTGATGTTAGGAGACTCCTAATGTTGCACATGCTCTAGGTACAAGCCCCGAGCAAAAAATGTCCTCTTCTCCCTCTCATGGGTGCATATATTCTAAGCTTTGGAATCTTGCTCTTTAGTGAAACAGATGCTGCAGTGCGTTGAGTGGTGGCTTGCCGGAATGTTTGTTCATATCCTGACTCCTGAAACCTGTGAATGGGACCTTGTTCTTGAAAAGAGTCTTTGTCAATGTATTAATAATTAATGTAACTAATAATGAAGTAATTATTAATTACTCAGTGTAATTAAGGATCTCTAGATGAGATTATCCTGAATTATTTAAGTGGATACTAAGTTCAATGACAGGTAGGTGTCCTTGTAAGAGACAGAAGAGGAAGAGACACAGACAAAAGACAAAAGAGGGGAAGGCCATGTGACAATAGAGACAGAAATTGGGGTTATGTGACCACAAGCCAAGAAAGGCCTGGAGGCATCAAAAGTTGGAAGTGTCCAGGAAGGATTCTTAGACCCTTTGGAGGAAGTGTGACCCTGCCGCCTCCTTGATTTCAGACCTTTAAATTCCAGAACTGAGAAAGAATTTTTTTTGTTGTTTTAAGACACTGAGTTTGTGGTGATTTGTTACAGTAGCTAATTAGGCACATAATACAAGTATACTTTTCAGACTTCATTTCAACCACTTTTCTCTAAGACTCAATATGAATTCCTGAGGATTGGGTTTAGGACAATCTACATGACAGACTGTGATATACTCAAAATCAATCCTCAATCAGATATTGACTCAACCTTCAACCACACTATGTGCCTCAGCTTTCTCTTCCCTTGGGTTGAAATTTTTTCATATATATATATATATATATATATATATATATATATATATATATATTTTTTTTTTTTTTTTTTTTTTTTTTTTTCTCCTCAGAGACTTCCCCAGAGCCTGTGATAGGCTGGATGTCACACATGAAGTGGGTTATCAGCAGCCATGTTCCTTGGCTTCTGGTCATAGTATTAGGTTGATGCAGAAGTTGTGGTTGCTGCCATTACTTTCAATGGCAGAAAACACAGTTTCTTTTGCACCAAACTACTAAGTTCAGAGGTAGACACCTAACTCACACCTAGCCACCCAGTGGGGGTGGTGGTATTGAAACCTAGAGCAGTGGGTGGATGAAGCTATCACATGTAAATTTGGAAATGGGTATGGCCATGTTTCATGTAGTATACTGGGGAAGAGGAAGTGTGTCTTTAGAGAGAAAAAAGGATACAGGTAAGAGAAAGCAGGTCCCCAGTGTGATCCCTTTCCTGGTTCTTTCTCAAGAGCATTTTGGCTCTTAGTTCCCCATCATGAATGTAACACATTTGCACTTTTTTTTTTTTTTTTTTTTTTTTTTTTTTTCTTAAATAAGGTAGAGTTGGTTGGTATTTGTCATGAAATAGTCCTTAGTGAAAGCAAATCCAATTTCTGGGCTCCCCAGTCCTTCCTAGAAGCACTGAGTCCCTGCCATCTAGCACTTTGTAGGTACAAGGCACTCTGATCCACATTATCTCATCCCAACTTTGTGTGGGAGGGTGACCTTTGAGACATGGGCAGAGGAGATTTGACCCATCCTTAACATTTAAAGGCACTGGGCTTAGAGAGGATGACAGGGGCTCTGGAATCCCAGTGCTTCCTGATCAGTTCTATTCTGTTTAAAACAAATTAACAACCAAAGCAAGACTAAACGGTCCCGGCAGGATGTGAATATGAAAGATTCTTCAGCATAGAAGGTTCAGAGCAGGAGGAATAATGGAACAAGTATATTCCATGACTACATTCAGGGCAGACAGTGGGAAGGAGGGGGTTGGAGGAAAACAGAATTGCCCAGTCTGAGAACTATTAAGAGCTCCCAGCCCTGGGAAGGATGGATGACAAGGGAGCACCAAAGAGGTAATTGGGCCCCTGATGTGAGGAACAGTCATAAATAAGCCGACAAAGTCACAATAAGCCTAAAGCATCCAGCAAGGATTAAGCCCCATTAGCTAACCTGTTAACATAGAGGTATTTGGCTGTTAGAAGACAGTTTTACTTTAACCCATGCATTGTCTGTACCAGAAAACTGTAAATAGAAAGCGGGCTTTGTAGGTCTATATGTTTTAGATTTCAACATTTTCTAAAGAGTTTGGGAGCATAAATAGTGAATATCAGAGAGGACTCTTGTGATTCCTGTCATCCTCCTCATTTTCAAACGTCATTCAAATTTTCTGTTTTTTTTTTTAATAATAATTATCAGTCACTACTCTCTCTGCTGCAGCCTATTTTTCTCTCTAAGCTTTTGATTTTTATCTGCTTTTTCCCAGCAGCAACAGTTTTCAGGTGTGAGGCCAACTATAGTTGAAAATCCACCCAATGGTTCAGTTATCATTTAACTGATATTTTATTGAGCACCAACTAGGTGCCAAGCATTGTTCTAGAAGCTCAGGACACATAGTGAACAAACATTTCTGCCTTTTTGGAGCTTACATTATAAAGCAGATGAAAAGGAAAAAATGTTATGGGAGAAAATAGAACAAGAGAAGGGCTGAGGAGCATGGGTTGCAAGTTTCAAAAGACTGGTAGTGGTGGTTATTATTTTCGGTCCATCTCCTAGCTGCTGAAGTTTTCTATTTGGCTCATCCTCAATCCTAAATGCTTCAGGACAGGCACTATGTCCCTTATTTTAGGATTCCTGCTTCAGTTAGTTCATTAGAGTTGAGATAATCCATGCTAAGAGCCCAGGATTAGAAATTTAGCCCATTAAAAAATACTAAGCCATGAGGATAAAAAATATTATGTGTGTGTTACCTACTTACATCTTTATACTTATTCCAATGCCTTGTTGAATAAAAGGACAGCCTTCTTTCTTCTTTTTCATATCAGGATTGACATTAATCATGGCATCTACTTGTCCTCCATTCACTTTATTATGAAAATCATTGGGATGGAGGAGGAAAAGTCAGTCTTCCATAATCAGCCTGGCTGTTTCTGACATTTTTAGGAGAAACAAAAGGAATGTAATTACTATTATTATCTATTTTTTCAGAAATGCAAGATAATTTTTAATTTATCCTCTATGACACCCTTCTTGTTTTCTCTGCCTTCTGAAGAGTTGACATCAGTGGGGAACTACATTTGAAGTCCAGCAAATCAATCTTTTATTGAGATTTCAGGATCCAAACTTGCATAAACTGCTTCATTCAGACAGCTTTTCTGCCTTTGCTGAGTTCTAATCTTGCCCTGCAGGATCAGCTATGTAATTTTTGGGGCCCAGTGCAAAATGAAATATGAGGCCCTTGTTCAAAATTAAGAATTTTGAGATGGCAGCAGCAGAGCATTAAACCAAACATGGGGGCCTGCTGAATGCACCATGAAGCTGACGCTGCCTCCTATTCCTGTTTTTGAATCAGGTGTTTATTTGCTTTAAAATCCGCAGTAAAAATCCAATCCAATGAAAATATATGGTGATACTTTTCAGCCTTAATTTTATGAGAGAAACATTTTAGTTATATATAAACTGAGAAAGAAAACTAGCAAAGGATTTACTGGATGTATAAAATTGAGAAAGCACAAGCTCTTTTTGTTTAATATAAATATGTAATTAAAAGAAAAATTATTAAAAATAATTCATCTTAGAAATAATCTTGAGAGTATAACTTGAACACTTTCTTATTAAATACAATAATAGCTAAATTATAATCTGCTTAACCAAGCTTCCCTGGTCTGCATATCATGTTCACATTCCAGGAAACATTTTGAAATAGGGAAATAGAATAAACCAGATTTTCAGGGCTAGTATTTGGAGACAAGGGAGGTGAGGAAAATACTTTTCATTTTGGAAGACTGCCATGGGAATCATCTATTTAAGATAAGTTTTCTGGCTCACAATTGCAGTGATCTTGCTCATCATCATCATTATTATATGATTTATATTTAGGAATATGTCATACATATTACATGATATATTTAATTGTATACTATACATCATGTAATAATGACAGGATATCACTATCACCATTTATATTTAGGGATATATCACTATTACATGATGTGTAATATGTCCATTGAAGCAAATACTCACCTTTGGCACTATCTGAGCAAAACTGCCAAAGGGAACCAAATTCGTATTGAGCAGTTCTGATTTGAGAGAAAGGTACAGGGACACATACTACTACATGCACCTAGGTGCACATGCACTATCATACTTACACACATCATATTTTAGAGCAGGGGTTGGCAAATATGGCCATCAGGTCAAATCTCGCCTGCAGGCTGTTTTTATAAATAATGTTTTACTGGAACATCACCACACCCATTTGTTTACTTGTGTCTATGGGGTCTTTGCACTGCAAAGGCAGAGTTGTGTAGTTGCTGTGAATTCCACACAACCTTCTAGGATAATAAATATCTTAGAATATTTATAGAAGAAAGTTTCCTGATCCCTTGTTTACCATCATTTAACTGTTGAAATATTTTTCTAGTAAATGATTACACCTATAAAATAAATAATAAAAGATACATTGTTTATCTACATATATTAATTCCTATTTATACATATATATCTCAAGGCAATGATTTTGACAGTTTAATTGGCATAAAACAATATCGAGACAAGTTATTTTTCTCTAATTGTAACAGACAGGACTATATTGCTCTGTATTCCTGGCATGATTTATTTGGTTCTCCGTTTGTCTTCTTTAATATGCAGGGCCACCAGCAGGTTAAACAGTTGTATATTTTCCATTTAAAATTTCCATAATCTTTTTTGTGTGTGTGTGAAAACCTAAAAATTGTGGTAACTTACCTGGAGACCTTGTGGAAACCATTTTGCTTTGATTTTTCCAATCACTCACAGTAAATCAGCTACTGAATATATTTCCCCGTTAGGAGTTTTTGTTTTTTTTTTTCACAGTTTCAAAATTATGTGATTTACTTACCAGTAACAGAGAATGAACTTAAAAGAGTAGTTTAAAAAATGAACAAAAATGCCAAGAATGTAACATAGAATTTAATTTTTCAACAGGTATTATTTACTTACTAACATAAAACCAGTCACTTTACTTTCATAGATCAAGTTTAAACCATACACACAGCAAGAGAGGTGAGCATATTTTCTCAAGCAAAAAGTAAAGGCGGATGATTATGGAGACAGTGTGTGTAGACTCACAAGGTCTCTGGGAGAGAATTATTTGAATTGGTGACTTTAAGGAAACCTTGGGTGTGGTATTTATATATTCTTCCAGGTAAATTTATATCACCCCTCCTTGCCTTTTAGAAAGATTATTTTTATTGAGCACAGAATAGTTATCAAAGAATATTTATTACATAAATATAAAGTATCAAGCATGATAATATTCACTATTTAATTTAGGGAAAAGAACATTGCCATTGGCTTTGACATTTCCTATGTGCCCTTCCCCATCCCAGCCTGGTCTCCCCTCTCTCTCAGAAGCAACCAATATTCTAAATGTTATTTCTCAGCCCTTTCTGCCCTTTTAATTTATTTATTGTTTTATGTTTCTAGGAAATTTTATCACATCTATAGATTCATGCAACCGTAGCTATAATCAGAATCCAGTACTTTTCCATCATTGCAGATAAATTCCTTTACGGTACTCCTAAAGAGCTGTACTCTGCCCCAACCCTAAACCCTGGCAACCACAGATTGGTTCTTCATCACTATAATTCTGTCATTTTGAGAGTGGATTGGCTTTTTTACACTCAGCATAATGTCACTGGGGTTCACCAAAGCTGTTAGTATATGAATAGTGTGCTTTATTTCTGAGTGGTATTCCATTGTGCTATAGTATTATAAAAAGTACTATAGTTTATTTATCCATTCACCCTTGAAGGACATTTGGGCTTTTTTTTTTCTCCTAGTTTTTGTCTATTATAGGTAAAGCTGCTATCAAAATTCACATAAAACTTTTTTGTGTGGAAATATAAGTTTTCATTTATTTAGGATAAATACCTAAGAGAGCAATTTCTGGGTCATATGGTAAGTATATATTTAATTTTATAAGAAGATACTGAACTGCTTTCCAGAGACACTACATTTCACATTCCCATCAACAATATGCTAGAGGTATGATTGCTCTACATCCTTGACAGCACTTGTTATTATCAGTATTTTTTATTTTAGCCATTCTGATAGGTATCTCTAACAGGTAATATAGGGGTATCTCATTGTAACTTTAGTTTGCCTATCCCTAGTGGCTAATGATGATGAATATCTTTTCCTGTGTTTATTTGCTATCTGTTTACAGTTGTTCCCCTGTATCTACAGTTTCACTTTTTGCAGTTGACTGCAGTTTGAAAATAGTAAGATATTGTGAGAGAGAGAAAGAGACCAAATTCATATAAGCTTTTATTGCTCTATTATTATAATTGTCCTATCTCATTATTAATTTTGTTAATTTCTTTCTATGTCCAATTTATAAATTAAACTTTATCATAGATACGTAAATATAGGAAAAAATCATAGAATGCAATCAGCCCTCTATATCCACAGGTTCTGTGTCTGTGGATTCAACCAACCATGGCTTGAAAATGTAGTTAGGTCTACAATGGTTGCCTCTGTAATAAATATATACAGACGTTTTTCTTGTCATTTTTTTCATAATCTATACCAAGCAACAACTATTACCATAGCATTTATTATATATTAGGTATTATAAGTAGCCTAGAGATAATTTAAAGTATATGAGAGAAAGTGCATAGGTTATATGCAAATACTGTGCTATTTTATATAAATGACTTGAACATTTGCAGATTTTACTAGCCACAGGGTGCCTAGAGCAAATCTCCCATGGACACTGAGGGACGGTTTGTATGGGGACTCTTGGAAGTTATCCTGTGCTGATAATGAGGGACTACAGTATACTCATTGGCGAAGTGTTCATTCAAATCTTTGGGTTGTTTTCTAATGGGATTTTACATGAAAAAAATGCTCAAAACCATTAGTCATCTAAGGAGATGCAAATTATAAGGAGTTAACACTACATGTCCACTAAGAAGGCTCAAATTGAGATGCCTTAAAATGCAGTGTTGATGAAGATATGGAGCAACTAGAACTTTAATGCACTGCTGGTGGGAATGTGAAATGGCTCAAGCACTTTTGAAAACAGTATGACAACTTCTTATAAAGTTAGCCATATAACCAGAAATGAAAACATATGTTTGCACAAAAATGTCCATACTGCTTTTATTCAAAATTGTCAAAGCCTGGAAACAAGACAAATATCCATCAGCATATGAATGAAGAAACAAATTATAATACTTTTGTACAATGGGATACTACTTAGCAATAAAAAGGAACAAACTATTGAAACATGCAAAAACTTGGATGAATATAAAATACATTATGCTGAATGAAAGAAACCCAAACTAAAAGAATATATATTTTTATCACTCCATGTATAGGAAAGCCTATAGTAGATAAAACTATAGTGCCTAAAAGCAAATCAGGATGGTCTGGGAGAAGAAATGGGGAGTCTCAACAAAGAAGAATGAGGAAATTTTCGTGACTAATGGAAATGTTCTGAATCTTGATTAAGATGGTCGTTTTCCAGATGTGTACATTTGTCTGAACTCATTGAATTGTACATTTGAAATGGATACATTTTATTTATATAAATTATAGCTCAGTGGGGTGATTAAAACACTTAAGAATATTTTCAAAGTTATTTTTGGGATGAAATGTTATATTAGATAATTCTGAGGCAGTCTAATTTTTCTTCATTTACAGATAAATTTTCATTTCTGCCTAGATCCTAAAAAGATCTTGTTTTCTTCATTTTTGTAGATTAGTACATGTTTAAATCTGAATCTCTTTTCATGAATCTTGTTCGTGCTTTCATAATGCCTTCAATCTGAAAGATTTGGAAAGCTGTAATTTTTTTGCTCTCTATTTTTTTCTTCTCTTTCTCCTTCCTCTGTTGCTTATTTTCTTCCAGTAATTTTGATCTCTCCTCTTGAAACATGATATATTGTTGTTTAACCCTCTTCTATTCCCATCTTTTCTAATTTTTTAAATCTCTCTGCCTTTCTGAGAACTTCTTAAGTTTCTTCACGCTGACTCCATTTTCCTGAGACCCAAAAATGCTTCTTACACTAGCACTGGAGTTTATTTTAATCGTGAATTATAGCTTCAGTTTATTTATATCCTTTCTTTGTCTTACACTACTACCTTTTATTTTCTCTTGTATTCTTTCATTGTGGCTTTTACTCCATTTCTCCAAACACAGCACTTCTTTCATTCATTTATTTCTATAATTTTATTCTGGTTGCCCATCAGAAATAATTTTTAGAGTGGGTCCTTGTGTCCATTGAGATTCTTTTGGTGCATACAACAGAAAATGATTCTAAATTAAGGAAGAAAAAACACGTTCAATGGCTTACAAAACCAGGGGGACTGGAAGGAGCCAAGGTAACAGGCTGATGGTAGGAATCACACACTATTGCAGTGATGAAAAACTCCAACCCCTCTTCAAGACTAAATGCCAGGCAGGGGCACTAGTTTATCTCAATTGAGTCAGATAACTGTCTCTTGGCTAGAAACCAGGGGGACTTCCCAAATACAGTCTCAAGGTATTGTCTCCAATAGAGAAATATTAATTCCTGAAATATAAAAAGATCTGTTAGGAAAGGAAGTAAGTTTTTGGTCACCAAACCCAACAGATACCCCAAATAATCTTCTGAATTGTTAGGATGGTATTTCTCTCTCATTGTCCTGATGTATATCTTCTTAAGTATCTTGCTTCTTGTTTTTGCTGTTTTCTTGTTTATTCATCCTGGAATGAGGGGAGATCTCTGCAGACCCTGTATTTGCCAATGGATATAGTAAGGCTTTTTTCTCCTGTGTTAATCCCAGCTGATTCATTGATAAACTTATTCAGCAGGATGGATGAAAATTCACACTCCCAAGAATTTAGTGCTTTGAGGCTTTAAAAAGGCTTCTACTCTTTTACATTTTTTGACTAATTTACAAGAATTAAACTTATCAAGATGGAAAGGGACACAGCTCCTTTCTCCGTTTACTCCTGTTTTATTGTTATGGTGGAGTTGAAACTGTCTAGTGAATATAATAGGATTTCTATTGGGATGCTTTTCTCTAGCCACCTCTTATAGCAGTGGGTCTGTGACTGATAGTTCTAAATGGTACAGGGCTGGGTTACTGAGTTGGAGGACAGCCAGAAGAGCAGCCCAAACAGGAGAGTCTGTCTAGGTCCTTTCAGGCTGCTGTGTCAGCTTGTTTTCTGCTGCTAAAGCCTGTGTCAGTTGCCCAAGAATAATCAAAGCTTACTTGTAGGTTTTGTATTAGTAGATCTTTCTTATAATTTTTAAGTATTTTTTTAGTGTCACTATGTGTTTTTTAAGTGTTAATGATTTTATAGATGCTTTATCAGAATATTAGAAGAGATATCAGTAACCACCATTTATCACAGATTCCATTTACTAAAGTAGATAGAATATGTATAGTAGAATACGCACTTATCACATATTCTATTTATTAAAGTAGCAACATATTTAAGCATTAGATATTTAAAGAGTGCCTTGTTTGTTTTCTGTGCCAATTAGAGGTACCTTCAGGATTGCAAAGGAAGATGGGAAATGAAAAGGTTTCTCTATGGGAGGCTTTTGGAGTTTGCCTACTTTTTCTCACTTCCACCTTGGGTAGTACTTTTGCTGATTCATTTAGCAAATCCTTATCCCCAGACAGGCCTGTGATCAGCTCTCCTGGAGGCTGATCACCATCTATAACAAGTGATTGGACTCCATGTTGGGAGAGACATTTATTTTTTCAAGAATAAGGATTTAAGAATTTCTTTGAGATACATTCACAGAATTACTTCAATCAAATGCATGTTTGTGCCATTGTCTTCCTTATAATGGTATTAAAATATGTTCTATTAAATATTAGAAGTCTGATGGTTTTTTTGAAAAAATATAATTTCTGTAGAGGTTTATCACAATAACTAGGGCTGTTTATGAAACTGCTGCTACAAGGGAAAAAAAACAGGCTGGCCCACTCATACCAATATGGAAGAGAGAACAGCAAATGAACAAAGTGAAAAGGCCAGTTTTTCTGTTTTCCCTGACTATTCAAAAGTATCTAATATAATTTGTTCCAGTGCTGAGGGCAATTAGAATCTATATCTCTAAACTCTTTGACTGAAGTAAGCTCTAAGCAAAGGAAAAAAGACAAGGTATAACTCAGAGAAAAATTTAACCCATTCATCAAAATTAAGCCACATGAATAAGTAAAGCTAGGCATAAAGAAGAGAGAAAACGTATTTCATTTTTATCTTTTTCTCCAAGTTGAAGTCAAATGCATGGGAAAAACCTCAGTGCATTTCATTTCTGATGCTTTTGAAGTCTTTTCTTGAAACTGCAAATTATTGCTTTACATCTTAACATCAAGCTCTAAAAGTGATTGTTGTTTATTCTGGAAGTTCGGTTTTTAAAAATTCCTTCTTGTCAAAGAGGAATAAATCCTGACAGGCATATAACAAGAACCAGTGCTCCTTTTTATAGCAAAGGGTCTATAAAATAAAAATGCTCCTGAGTAAAAAAGTGACCTCCAAAGAGACTTTATTAAAAACGTCTTATTATGGAATTCAGTATATCACTTTGGAGGGCTAGTTAGGTGGCAACCATATTGGAGACCTATTATTGTTTTCCGCATAATAGTAAATATCAAAATAATAAGCATTTGACATATTTCACTTGGAAGAAGTCAAACTCTCTGAAGGTTTTTCTGAGTTGACTGACATCTGACAGGGAATCCCTAATCCCTTCCCTCTAAATGATTGCCTGTGATCTCAGGGTTTTGACCCTGCATTTGTCTGCTTTTTGTGAGCTTCTCAATAGAAAGATGCTATCAAGTGCGTGTGTGGTATGGGAATTGGCTCACAAGACAAGGTTGCACAGGGTTTATGTAGCCATGTGTTTCCATAAAGTCTACAACTGCAATATTCAGGCGGAGAGATAAGAACAGTTTTTTTTAAAGAAGAATATCTTATTATTTTGTCAAAACTCTTGGAAATCTATGAATACTAAAGCCAAATTAAATGAAACAAATACTTCTTACGTTGGTTTTATTTTTACTCTCTTATTTCAAGTGGCTTTTGAAAGCCCTTTGCTTCATTTGGAAGCATTCCTTTGGCCATGGCACATGAGAGGGGGAAGACCTATTACAAAAGGGAATAAAAATTACTTAATCTTAATTCATAAAATCTTAGATTAGAAGCAACCTTTGAGATCATCAGTCCAATCTCTTTCTGAAGATAATCATCTAGGCTCGCTTGAGCATTTCTAGTGATTAGAAACTCATTATGTTTTAGAGAGTCATTCTCTTTGGGGAAATTACTAGAAGATCTTTCTTATCTTGAGATTAAATCTGCATACCTGTTAACTTCTACATCTCAGAGCAATACAAAGAAGATGATTAATCATTTCATTTAAAAATAGTTATCTTAGGCCTCTTCAAATGTTTGAAGAAAGTTTCCATGTCCCCACCTGAGTCTCCCCCTCAACCTCTTTCCCAAGGTTAAACATATTCACTTCCTTCAACCATTTCTCAGAGAAAAAAGTTTTCAGAGTTTTATCAGACCAGTCACCTCTGCATGAAATGACAGTATCTCTCTACAAATTTCAGCTTAGTTTTGGCCAAGTAAGATCACTTTAAGGAGTTCTCAACCCTGCCCATGCATTTGAGTCGCCTGGAGAACCTTGACAAGTTTTACTTCCTTTGTAGACATTCGATTTCAGTTGATATGGGATGAGACCTGGACATTAGAATTTTCTAATGTAAAAGAAATAAAACCCCTTCTACTGAAATCACCTGAGTCCCAGGCAGGGCTTTAGAATTGAGAGCAAAGCTAGTTAATAAATGTATGACAAGGCCCAGCTGAATTTTGAGCAGGCTATCTAAACATTTCAGGAGAAGATGATATTTACCATTTACCAAGAAGCCTGGTATCAGGCTAAGTGTGAACTAATTTAAATACAAAACAATAAATAAGAGCCTGAGGCTCAGAGCAACTAAGTGACGTGACCAAGATGATATTGGCCACAACAAAGAGGCAAGGAGATTCCATACTAGGCTATAGAGACCTTGAGCCAACCTCTTTTTGGATAAACTGGTTTTCCTTCTTCCATTACTGTCTCTTCTAGAACAAGGGCCTGAAATGGAAATGGTGGCTGTTGGACCACAAGAGTCAGTTGCTCTTAGGCTGCTTCCAAGCCTAGTGTGAGAGAACACTGAGTGAGGCCCTTTGCTATCCAGATTACTGAGGCAGTCCTGGGTAAGGTGGGCCTCTCCCACTAGTGCCCTTGCCCTGCATCCTTGCCTACCAAGCATCCTGAATACAGGAGGTAAAACTAGGGGTGGAGGACAGTGCTGTTCAGAGACTGAGTGGCCTGGCTGCAAGGACATTTAGCACAGAGGAAGCCAGTAGGGTTTGGTGACAGTCCCTACCATGGCCTTCATGTTCATTCCCCTTCGATACTTCAAACCAGAGCAGCGGGCCTTTCTCCAACAAGTATGTGAGAAAAAAAAATGGGATGGACACTTGGAACTGAGTAAAGAAACAGATCAATTTGACATACTGAGCATTCATTCCCAAGATCCTTATATAGCTGAAGAACTATCTGGTACATATATATCAACCATGTTAAATACTATTCACCATGGTCTGACCATCCCACACAAACCACTTCCTCAGGGCACGTCCTTCATCCCTGGCATCCCAAACCCCGTGTGGGTTCTCGTGGAGCTTTTTTAGTAAGGGCAGTCATGAGAAAGCTTGGAGTCTCTGGAGGACCATTTTCTTTTACTTACTTTTGTCATGTTATTTTAAAAAGAAAAAAAAAGCTTTGCCTTTTTAGGTTCATCTGTGTTTGATTTTTAGGTGATTACTTTAGCCTATGAACCTGTAAGCATTCAGGGACTGGGTTAAAATCCTGCCTGTTACTTACAAATATTGACCCTGACAAGTGACAAGTAGTGATCTGTTTATGAAATACGTTTTGTTTTTAAATCTGTTGAGGAACAGACTTGAGCCAGATTAGTCTTGTATCTCACTAAAACTTTAGCCATAAGAAATATGTATTGTTTTCTTAAGAGTTTGCTCATTGACTATTTTAGTGTCGGTTCCCCTGGAAGTAGACCTTGAGTCAACAATTTGAGTGCAGAAGTTATTTGGGAGTCAAGGAACACTAGCTTGGGCAAGGGGAATTGATGTAGGGAAGGAAAGAGAAAATAACAAGTGAATTATTAGGCCACCTCTCACAGTGGGGTAGCATAATTGCATGGAGAAACTCTAGAAAGGTAGTGTAAAACAAGTCTTAGAATTATCCTGCCAAGGAGTAAAGGAGAGGGGATATTTATGCCCCCACATCCATTAGTCATTGGACAGGGACTTTCTCTGGTAGTTCTCACGTCTACTCTTTAAAGATGCAGAGGCTGGCTGGTGGAAGCCTGGTTGGGCATGCATGAAAATAATACGTGGGTGAGAAGAAATTTGAGGGAAACACATTAGACATGTTAAATGTGGTAACTAAGAGGAATAAGGGAGTTTGTTGCATCTGGAAAGAGAGATATAAGCAAAAAAAGTTATAAAAATTGTGTTTGTAATTTAAAAATTAGTGTTTTCTACAAGTCTTCAATCAATTTTTTTCTTAAGCCATTATTACCAGAACTGTACGTAATTTTCTAGAAGTATAAATTAAAATGGGTTTTGGCTCATACTCATCTCTAGAGATTTTTGAATCCTGAGTCTCTCTTCCAAAATATTTATTATTTCTCCCAAACTAATGTTAATTTAATTCAATCTATGTGTATGTACTTGATATGTAATTTCTACTCAGCACAGTGCTTGCCACTTACTAAAGAAGCTTAGAGTGAGAATCCAAGTGTTTCAGTGTCAACATATTGCAATTTAAAAATTTTAAACTAGGTATATCCAGGTGTCCAAAAGTGCACATATGACCATTGTGACAGTTAAAAGACAGCCACAAGTTCTTTGGCATTCCTCTATTGAGAGGTGGGTCTGTGTTCCCTGTCCTTTAGTTCTGGTTGGGCTCTGTGACTACTTTGATTAATAGAATGTGGCAGAAGCAATGCTGTGCCAGTTTGCAGGTCCTAACCATATGGTGCAGTGCCAGCGGCTTCTACTTCCCATATCTGGAAATACTTATATTTGCAGTGTTTCCTCTGGGTAATCCACTGCCAGGATGTGAAACTCCAAAGCCACCTGATGAAGCCTTGTGTAGGTGCCCCTATCAGTAGCCACAGCTGAACTCCCAACAGATAGCCAGAATCAACTGCCAGCCATAATAACAGTCCATTTTGGGTACTGAGCCCAGTCAAGAGTTTCCATGACTGCTTTGCCAGCTAATATCTAACTATAACCTCATGGGACACCCTGCATGAGCCTAGTCGACTGACAGAACCATGAGAAATAATAAAAGCAATTTAGTTTTAAGGTACTGAATTTTTCATTGAGGGGTGGGGTTAGTGGGGGGAATTGTTACACTGTAATAAATAAGTGGAACATCTATGTGGGTTTTAGGGATGGTTTCTTAGAGTTGTAAGAAGGTCACTTATATAAGACCTTCTTATTGTACACAAGATGTTCACTTATTTTGAGTTAGAGGATGAGTATGAGTTATCCATAAAACAAAGTTAAAGAAAATGATAAGAGCAAAAAGAGCCTAGTACGTTCGGGAAAATGCAAGCAATTTAGCTTTACTGAGACTAAAATGATAATAAGGAAAGCTAGAAAATTGGGTCCATTGTTCAAAGAGGTTTCTATGTACTATGTTGAGGATCTGGTGCTCAGTCTTCTAAGTGGTTCTAATTGTTCTCAGAAAGCTAACAGTCTGAAGTCTTCAACTAATTGGATAATAATGAACTGAGGGGTTCATCCAAGTTGTCTCCAAATATGTTAATCGGCTTTGATCAGGCTCATTCATTCATTCGTTCAAAGATTTATTGAGCTCTTACTGGGTGCTAGGTGTTAAAGGGATCAGAAAACCAATAAGTCATAGTTCCGTTCCCTCAAATGCTTAGAGTGTCTTTGATATTCAGATGTATAGGAAAAAGTTAAAAAAGACACAGAGTCAAAGATGATACATGGAAAATTACACCTTCTGAATGCTCTAGGAGTTAAGAGAAGAAAACACGATTGTGGATTCCCACCCAAGAGGGTGTTCTTGAGCAAATAGGCTCACTTCCTAATGTGCACAAAAGCCAATCGCAGTGGCGTTGGCTTTTGAGAAAAGAAAAGCTCTATTGCAAAACCAGCCAGTAAGAAGACAGTAGTCAAGATCAAATCTATCTCCCAGGTTTAAGTTCTGGGGCAAGTTTTAAGGAATCAGAGGGCAACGGAAAGGATTTAGGGATGTTGGCTTGGCAGGGTCTGATTGGAGGGCTTCAAATTTGACCATTTATGGTAAGGCACGCTGAGGCAGATTTTTGGCCTAGATCTTCCAGGCCAATGGACACCTTGCTTCTGAAAGAGCTCTGGTGTTCAGGTTCTGGTCATGTCCCAGTCTTGGCTCTGAGGGGAGGAATCACTGGTCCTAGATATTGTTAGAAACCAAGGCTTTTTGTACTGTCCAGGTTACATGACTTGTTTTTGACTCTGTTACACTTACTAGGTAACTCAACATTTTGTTATCAACATAGTAGGGTAAGCTTGGGCGGGTCCCACGGTTACAAAGGGACTGTGGTTATTTATATCTTGGGAAGGAACTAACACTATCTCAACCCAATCCCACAGGAATACTCACTTTCAAAAAAGACTGATTAGGTATTTTATAAAATAATAATAATGAAAGTAAACACTTAAATTGCATTAACTATGTGCTGGCACCAGTCTAAGTGCTTTAAATATTTTAACTTATTGAAAGATAGAAACTTAATCTCAAACAATCCTATGTGGTAGTACTAATGATATATATATATATATATATATATATATTTTTTTTTTTTTTTTTTTTTTTTTTTTTTTTGTTGGAGATGGAGTCTTACTCTGATGCCCAGGCTGGAGTGCAGTGGCATGATCTTGGCTCACTGCAAGCTCTGCCACCCGGGTTCAAGTGATTCTCCTGCCTCAGCCTCACAAGCAGTTGGGATTATAGGGGTCTGCCACCGTGCCCGGCTAATTTTTGTATTTTTAGTAGAGACGGGGTGTCACCATGTTGGCCAGGCTGATCTTGAACTCCTGACCTTGTGATCCACCTGCCTCAGCCTCCCAAGATGCTGGGATTACAGATGTGAGCCACCACGCCTAGCCTAGTGCTAGTGATATTATCCCCAATCTGGAGAGAAGCAATAGAGTCATTAACTTGTCTATGGTCATATAGCAGTAGGTGACAGCACTGGGATTTAAACCCAGTTGCTACTACTAGCCAGCACACTACTGCCTCTCATTATTATACTATGGAATTTATCTGAATGTGTTTTATGAAACATAACTTTTTAATGACAAGTTGATAACCTACTTTTACTTTCTTTGTATATTAGCTATCGGCGCTCTTAAAAAATAACAGAAATATTATATAATCAAACCATCCATCTATCAGTCTATTATTTGGCTATTTTACACCATTTTTACCTTAATGTATAACATAGTATACATCTTATATACTAGATATATACTTATAGCATACATCTATAAGTAATGTATAAGATAGAACTAAATTGATTTTTATTGCTATGGATACTTTTTGATAAGTAAAATAGAATTAGAATTTTATTTCGTAGATGGGGGACAGTAACCCAAATATTTGATTAAGCTCTGAAAGCTGAAATGCATGAATGCTGCTGGTTGAAAGCATGTCTGTACCATAGTTTTTACCTTTCTTTTGTTCTTGTTTGAACTTCATTCAATTTGGCCAATTTAGCCTGAGAGAAAGTGGCTTTCAGTGAAAAGAATGTTGGTGAAGAGAGAGCAGACAGCTGTGGCAAGAGAGAGTGAGGCTTTTGCTTGCATAGTAAGGCAGAGCAGAGGCTGTCCCCAGAGATCCCACACACATCACAGGGACGGCATCTGCATGACTGGCTGAGTTGCTGTTTCTTTTGTTTTGATTTCCCCCAGTCCCCCACCCTGCCCCATCTCCAACAAAGCCATATTTAGTTAGTACTCTTAAGAAAATCACAGCCTCATTAGTTTACAAAGACAATTAGGAACAAACAGACCAGTACTTGCTAACTTCTCATCTTTAAATAGACCAGACCCAGAGAGATGAATTGTTTGGAAATGCTGATAGAGGCAACAATAATAACAGCAGCTACCATTTACCGAGAATATATTATATGCCAGGCTCTGGTCTAAGCATTACGTTCTTTATTCTTCAAAGCAACCTCATGAGGTGGGAGCTATCACAACCCTGTTTTAAAACTGTAACAACAGGCTCAGAGATTGTCAGTAACTCATGAGAGCCACAAAGTTGATAAGGATTCAAGTCAGGACTTGAATTGGCTAGGTTCTGAGAAGAGTAACCTGTGACTCTCTTAGGACATTGTTTATCAAAGGTAGGTAAGAGTGCCTGGCTTTGTTTGTTTTATTATTATTATTATTTGTCTGATGCTTGGAAAATTCCCTTCTCTCTGAATCTGGCAATGTCACACTCATAGTTCACCTTAGATGCATTTTTACCTCTCTATTTGGTGGCTCTTGTTGGGAATTGTGAACTCTCATTGAAGTCACTGTTGGTGATAGTTGAATAAATCTAGCAGAGGCTGGAAAAACAGAGTTGGCTGCTTAATGAGTGGTGATCAAAGCAAGTCAGAAGAATCCACATGCAGAACTGGCAACCCTGTCCCTCACTGCAGCAGTTGTGGAACCAGTTCTCCTAATAGACTCAAAGCATTTGGGTAATTTTGCAGGATGCTAATTTTAAAAAAATATTTTTTTGCTTATTTTGCATGATGCTAATTTTAAAAAAGCATATCTGTAAGATTTCCCAAAATCCTATTCTGAGATTTTCTTAGTCCCAATTAAGATATCACATGGCATTAATGGATTTTTTTTTTTTTTAAAGACCACGTTTTGAAGGTGCTCGGGCTTTAGAATGTGCAATCTTTTCTGCTCTCCGTCCTTCTCTCATTTCCCCTCTTGACGTTTTGGGATCCGGCAGGCACCCTCTTGACATCAGACCCAGAATATGTGTATTAGTGGCAGCTGCCAAGGGAATAAACAGGACACAACAGATGTGGCGACAGCCGGAGTGGACTCAGTTCATTTTGAATGGTTTTTCAAGTGAGGCTCAGCCAGGCAGCTCACAGACCTCATCATGTGTTTTTGTTCTTGTTTTTGTTAGTTAAAAGGCTAGTTAAAGGTACAATACATTTGTACATGAATAAAGAAGTCTTAGAAGAATTTAAAAATATAATATTTTCATCTGAAGACCTACATTTAAAAGAGGGCTTCCTAGCATGCTTAGTCTCCAAAACATATGTAACAGTTTATGTCGACTGCATCTCTAGTTATTGACCATGGCAAAGCTTTCCTAGATAAATTTCCCTAGAAAGAAAGTCAACAAATCTTTTAAATCCTCAGCCTCCAGATCACTTCAGCTGGGACTCTGGGGACCAAGCCTGAACTTGGTTCCCATTTGATCCATCTGGGGTTTAGCCTACCCACCTGGATTTCAAAAGGCTCCCCAGGTAGCTCTATTATATAACCAAAGTTGAGAACCATCGATCTGGAAAGATTTCATCTTTCCAGGGCAATTTCCCTGGGCAATCATGATGGCCCAGGGGTAGGGAAGTTCACAATCCTTTCCCTTTTGACAGGTTTATCATGAGTTGGGACTAATTAAAAAGCCTATGGAGAAAGAGATTGAATCCAAAGCTGTCATCATCATTTCCTATCAGTGTGACTTTGTTTAACCTCTGTAGTTTGGTGTCCTACTTTTAAAATTACAATAATAGCACCTTTCTGTGGGGTTGCTTTTAAAACTAAATGAGATCATTCTTGGAAAGTATCTAGCATAGATCCTGGTGTTTAGTAAGTGTTTAATAAAGATTGGTTTCCTGATGCGCCTCTCCTTGTCATTCTGTTGAGGCCAGCCGCATTTGAGAACACCTCTGTGTACACACACACACACACACACACACACACACATATATATATTTCATATTTATGTTGACTTCTTCCTAGGAAATGGGTTATGATCTAGATAAAATGGAAATGCTTAATAAATACTTGTTGACTTGAAGTGGATAATGAGGTTGATGTCCATTCTCCGGTGGGAGATGCTATGGCTGGGGAGACATTAACACAGAGAGAAGAGGAATATTATCGAGTCTTTACCCCACAGTTTCCTTTACATGTGTTTATCCCTGGGTAACAAAAGAATTCTAAGGTATACCTTCAGAATGAAGAAAAACAGTACTTTCTGGCATCACACAATGCCCTCCAGTTTTGGCCTTCAGATACATTTTATGTGGAGTAGATGGGCACTTTACTTGTGTTGGTTTGACACATTTGGGTTTCATATCAGATTTTAATTGACGAAAATCATTTTTCTGTTAGAGAATTTTGATGATCATTTCTAGTCTACCTTCCTCTACAGATGGGGGAACTGAGGCCCTACGAAGTTAAATGATCTGCCAAGTTATCCCTGAAAGTAAGTGACAGAACCGGGTGGTGTCCTCGGCTCTCCCAGTCTCCTCTCTGGCCTTCCGGTCTTTCCTGCATAGTCTATGGTGGTGTTTATCTGACCTGAATGCAGGTCAGCATCACCTGGGGAATCTTGTTAAAATACGCATTCTGATTCAGTAGGTCTGGGGCAGGTCTGAGTCTTCATTCTTACATGCTCTCAGTTGCCAGAATGAAACAGCCTTCAAGTGTTAACAGTGACTTCCTAGCATTTTGCTTAGGTGCTATGCAGACTTTAAGATTCACCTCTAACTGGCACGTTTTCAATCTCTTACCTTTTCTAACATGGATGCTCTCATTTGCAATGAATCTCCTCTTCTTTCCACTGATCAGAACCCCATGATTCAGCCAAGACTTCCCTCACTATTTCAGTCTCTCACTATTTCATTCATCTCCTCTCAACTCTCACAAATTAACATTTAATTATTGTCTTGATGTTTCCACAGATTGTTTTGTATGTGTTAACTTCTTTATAACTAGATCATAAGCCCCTTTAGATGAGAATTATAGCCTGACTTTTTACAATGCTGAATATGTGTAAATGGTTAATAAATATGCATAGGCTAAGAAAATCTTCCCACGTCAGTTTGAGTGATGCATGGTAATGAGGGATTGCTGACTTCCTTATTCGTGAGTGTATCCTAAAGTAAACGCCACTGTCATTATTATTATTTTCATCAACACTGCTTTATTATTATCTTCATCAACACTGCTTTATTATTATTACCTCTTTTTCCCCAGGTAGTCCGCTGGGTCTTTGCACAATGATGATTTTCTGTAGAATTTCTAAAACATCATTTGCTTTACTCAGTTGGTTGTAGTCAGTTGTTCTTAGCAATAATAATGACATGTTGAGAATCATCTGATGGGCTTTGAACACCCTGAGCAGAGGCTAGCCAAGAGCAGCTGGCTGGTTAATTGTGGCCTCCAGTCATTACCAGGAGAGTAGTGCCAATGAGGGAAGAAAAGTGCTGTAACTGCTGCAAAACGTATTTAAATCACATTTTTTGGTACAAATTCATAGTTTAAAAAATTAAGTAGCAATAAAATCCTTAATATGCCGACCATTTTCATGGGCTTGAAACAATAGACACAAAGACCTGGCCTGAAAAATCACATCCTCACCAAAAGCCTGTGAGGTTATTTGATGGTATGTGTGGCTCCTGCCTTCCAGAATTCTCTGTGGGTGATGGATGGGGATGGCCATGGCACTGCTGGCTGCATGAGCACCTGAGAAATGGCCGCTTGAAAAAGATCATTTTAAAACAGAGCCATTTGTGAATGACTGGAGTTTATGTTGGTTGCCCCTTTTTTATATGACTCAGAATATATTAATTATGTTCCTGTGCCTGGGGCCTTTCATGTCGAGTTTAAGTCGACAGTGGATCACAAGTGCCAAGTTATAAAATCCTGAAATAAGGGTTTCTCTTGGAAACCTTGGAACTATATGCTAGCAATTAGAAAGACTGACTAATGCTCTGGATGACCTCATCATCTCTTTTTTCCTTCAAGTTCCACAGCTTTATGGTCATGTTGCAATTAGTGATGTAGTGACAGAATGTGAATAGAATGTTGTCACTATGATGGCTGTTTCTACTGTCATTCTGACAATATTGTTGTTACTTCGTAGAACATTAAGGCCCTCAAGTTTCCTAGGTTTAGGACTGAACAACTCCGGGAATCTGAAAGATGATGCAAATAAAGAGGAAGACGGACATAATCTCGAAGGGAGAGAAAGGAGCTGGGAATGGGGGATCATATTCTAATAGCTCATCATCACCACATGAAACATACAATGCAGAGGTAAGTTCATGGCTCTGTAAGGTTAAACAATTCTCAGGAGGCTCACGTATTAGGAAGGATGTTGGAAAGTGTATGGCCAGTGACATTTCATTTTTGTCAGTTTTAGTGCTTGATATTTTAAAGAATTACCTTAATTAGATGTAGTTAATTCATACTTAAGTTGACTTCGTTACAAAAATTCTTTTCTGTGGTTCTCTGGCTTTCATTATTATTAGAACAAAGAATCAAATATTTTAAATAACTTCTGAGTTCTTGTCCATTAGCAGGTAGGGTTCTTGAATTTTGAAAATGAGATGTGAAGAGTGACAGTCTATATATCTCTAAAACATCCCCAAATGAATTGAAGTTTGTTTTCAACTCTGAGCTCCACTTGGCTACAAGATGATAGTTGTTGTTACTGCTATGGTCATATTTGCTGCCATTTTTACTGTACTCCTTTCTGAAACGTCAAGGCCCTAGAGTGCTGGCATGTTGGTGTATATGACAGAGCAGAGTCAGGAATCTGAGGACACCAAAGGAAAAATGGAAAAACTCCCACAAGGAAGAGAGAGATTATGCTTAAAATATGTATCTTTATGAAAACATGCCGAACTCTCCCTATCCATTACAACCAGATCCATTGCTTTAAAATGGTACCTTTATGAAGTCATCCCCTTATTCAAAAACTATGAAGGCTTCCCCATGCCTATAGCATAAAGACTGAATACTGCATTTGGGCCTTCAAGACTTGCCGCAGCTGGCCTTCCTCTACAACTCAAAACGCACCTGCCCCATTTTCACTACACGTAAGGTTCTTTATCTCTACGTTATGGCTTTCCTTCCTGATGACGTGGTAAGCACTTTGTTGTCAGAGATCTGCTTTATTTACTTTTATATCAATTAAAGCATCAATGTCTGCCTTTTTTGCCCCTTTCTGGAGAAATCATCTATGCCCCACTCCCTCCTTTGGGCCAAGGTTAACACAACCTCTTCCCTTCCTTAATCTTGACAAGGCAGCAGCTACAGCCCTAGTTGAGTCAGAGCTGCAAGTTAAACTGTTTGTCCTAGATCAGGCAGGTTGTATGCCAGAGATGAGTCCAAACCATGCTGTGCATTCAAGCCACAGACCTTTCCTCTTCCAGAGCATTGATCTGTGTTTTGCACGTAGGCTCCCATCTTGGTTTCTTTCCTTATCACCCCAGTGAATCATCTGGTGGCCCAGAATCACCATGCTCTTCACCTGCATTAAACTACCGCTTGCCTGATTGCACTCACACAGCTGCCACACCCTCCCCACCATTTAACCTCGTAAACTTGTTTTGGCCTTATAAGCATCAAGACCTGCCTAACTCTGCCCCAGCTGGAAACCATGCCTTGCATTGCTCAACTTCCTTTGTCGAGCATTCTGATCCTAGATAAGTATCTTTGCAAGCTGCCTAACTATTCCTGGATTCTAGAGTTTTGTTTCCCAAGCATATTCACATACTTTCCAACTGCATAGCGTTTAGCAGAAGGCAAAACTGTTGTTTCCCTAAGAAAATTTTAAATTCCTATTTCCCTGGAGACATAATAGGTAACATGCCCTGAAAATGTCCTGTGTGTCTATGACTTAGTGCACTGAATTCAAAAGAGTTCCTGAAGGGTGAAATCATTAGCATATTTTATAATATTCAAAGATCATTGACAATAAGGGAATTGTATATAACCTGCTAAATGTGTTGTTAATAGTGTTAGAAATTTTAAGTGGAAAAACAGGTATTGATAACATTTAGGATGAGTCAATACAGAAACTCTAAGTATTCTGAAATTCAGAAAATTTCACCTGGATTTGGTGTCTACTTAAATGATATACATGTCTCAAATAAGAATATTATTTCTGCTTCATGTTTTTGAGAGGAATAACTAATTGCATTATGTACCTGAGATTATTTTTATTTATTTACATCATTTGTTTTTATAATTACAGTATTTTTTTTTTTTAGATAGAGTTTCACTCTTTTGCCCAGGCTGGAGTGCAGTGGTGTGATCTCAGCTCACTGCAACCTCTGCCTCCTGGGTTCAAGCGATTCTCCTGCCTCAGCCTCCCGAGTCGCTGGAATTACAGGTGTGCGCCACCACGGTGCCTGACTAATTTTTGTATTTTTAATAGAGACAGGGTCTCGCCATGTTGGCTAGGCTGGTCTTGAACTCCTGACCTCAGGTGATCCACCCGCCTTGGCTTCCCAAAGTGCCGGGATTACAGGCGTGAGCCACTGTGCCCTGCTATAATTACAATTAAAAGGTGTCTTTTGGAGGATATAAGAAGAAAAACTATTAGTCAAAAAAGCAAAACATTTGCTATAATCATATATCCCCCAATCATAATGATTATCATTCTCCTCTCTTTCGCTCTCCCTTTCACGTCACCATACATATCATTTCTTACCAAAATTAAATCCTTCTTTACATACATTTTGTACCTAGCTTTTATAATTGGCAAAAGTCTATGAACATATTTTCATACTAACATATATTCATATTATCTCCTGTAATGACCCTATGCGGTTCCTTTCATGTGCGTCCATGTGAAGAGACCACCAAACAGGCTTTGTGTGAGCAATAAAGCTTTTAATCACCTGGGTGCAGGCGGGCTGAGTCCAAAAAGAGAGTCAACGAAGGGAGATAAGGGTGGGGCTGTTTTACAGGATTTGGGTAGATAAAGGAAAATTACAGTCAAAGGGGATTTGTTCGCTGGCGGGCAAGAGTGGGGGTCGCAAGGTGCTCAGTGGGGGAGATTTTTGAGCCACGATGAGCCAGGAAAAGGACTTTCACAAGGTAATGTCATCACTTAAGGCAAGGACCGGCCATTTTCACTTCTTTTGTGGTGGAATGTCATCAGTTAAGGCAGGAACAGGCCGTTTTCATTTCTTTTGTGGTGGAATGTCATCAGTTAAGGCAAGGACCGGCCATTTTCAGTTCTTTTGTGGTGGAATGTCATCAGTTAAGGCGGGGCAGGGCATTTTCACTTCTTTTGTGATTCTTAGTTACTTCAGGCCATCTGGGCGTATACGTGCAAGTCACCGGGGATGCGATGGCTTGGCTTGGGCTCAGAGGCCTGACAGTTCCTTGTATTGATTCCCTGTAGTACCACTAGTCTCTTATGAATGGATATCACAGGGACTCATCTTTTTGCTATTTTTAAAATGTTGCGAAAATATCCTTTGGTCTACATCTTTGAGATCTAGTTTTTTTTTTTTTTCCTGTAAATATGCAGAAGTAGATGACTGGTGCAAAGAATAGGTAGTTTTCAGCTTTCAGATATTTACTGCCAAATTGCTCTCAAGAAAATTTGCTTCATGTTATCTTCCCTATGGCAGGGGATGGATGGGACGGCTCTTTTCTGGAGACCCCACTGTAGTTCTATTGATTAACAGGGCTCTTGTAAATTTCTGTCAAGCTGACAGGCAAAAAATATTGTGTATTGTTTTATTTTGTTTATCTAATGTATTCGTTAATTTAACAGTTATTTGTTGAGTACCTATTATGTACCAGGAACTCTTCAAGGGGTGAAGGGAAAGTATAAAACAAGACAGAAGATTTCCTTTCTTCCATGAGGATATAATTCTAGTGGGAGAACCAATAAGCAAACCAGCAGAAGAATCTTAGACTGGGAGACGTGCTAAGCTGAGAACTGGGGCAGCCGGTGCCTGGGGAGCTACACTGGAACTGTGATTGTGAAACCAATTCAAAGAGGTAGCATTTACAGTGAGACCTGAATGACAAGAAGGAGCCAGATGTGCAGTGATTCTCCAGGAAGGAGTTCCAGGTATCGAGAACAGCTGGCATAAATGTTTGAAGGTGGGTATAGCAGCACTATTCACAATAGCCAGAAGGTGGAAACAACCCTAACGTCCATCAGCAGTTGAATGGATAAACAAAATGTGGTATATCCATGCTATGGAATATTATTCAGCCTTAAAAACAAATGAAGGACTGATACATGATAATGTCAGGCCTCCGAGCCCAAGCCAAGCCATCTCATCCCCTGTGACTTGCACGTATACATCCAGATGGCCTGAAGTAACTGAAGATCCACAAAAGAAGTAAAAATAGCCTGAACTGATGACATTCCACCATTGTGATTTGTTCCTGCCCCACCCTAACTGATCAATGTAGTTTGTAATCTTCCCACCCTTAAGAAGGTTCTTTGTAATTCTCCCCACCCTTGAGAATGTACTTTGTGAGATCCACCCCTGCCCACAAAACATTGCTCTTAACTTCACCGCCCATCCCAAAACCTGTAAGAACTAATGATAATCCATCTCCCTTCGCTGACTCTTTTCGGACTCAGCCCACCTGCACCCAGGTGAAATAAACAGCCATGCTGCTCACACAAAACCTGTTTGGTGGTCTCTTCACACGGACACACATGAAACTATGACTTGGATGAACCTTGAAAACATTAGGTTAAGTGAAAGAAGCCAGTCACAAAAGAAGCCAGTCACATACATATTGTGTGATTCCTTTTATATGAACTATCTGGAATAGATTAGTCCATAGAGACAGAAAGGAGATTAATCATTGCCAGGGGCTGGGGTGGTGGTGGAGAATGACTGCGTAATTTGTATCGAGTTTTCTACAGGTGTGATGAAAATGTTTTCGAAACAGGTAAGGGTGATTGTTGAGGACATTGCGAATGTACTAAATGCCACTGAATTGTATACTTTAAAATCGTTCGTTGTTATGCGAGTATTAGCTCAATTTTTAAAAATGTGCTAAGGTGAGTATAAACTTGCTTGGTGAGAACAGAAGGGCTGGAGTTAGGTACATGTGAGAATGAAAGGAAGGTAGATGTGAGTTTTCTCTCCCAGGAGCAGAAATCTTTTGCATCTACCCCTTTCCTAGTAACAGTGGCTCTTTCCCTAGATCCTGTGGGAAAGATGGCTTCCCACCTCCTCCCCGGCGATAGACTTGTCTTAACCTGCATCCCTCCCGGTAAGCAATGAGTGTATGCCTGGACCCTGGGGCAGGAGAGTTTGCTGCCCTCTGCTGGCAGATACGGCATCTGCTTCATAGGAGAGAAGGGTCTGGGGAAATAGGAAGTGTGTTTTCTCTCCCCAGCAGCTGTTGATCACTTCCTGCAGGCTGCATCATCCGGCTAACTTTGCGGAGTAGAGGTGGGAGATTTCTCTTCTGCCTCCTTTGTTCTGCCTGCAGGCTTTCTTGTGGGAAAGCAAGGTAGCCAGGGAGCCCACACTTCTATGAGTCTGGAGTTCCCGGCTATTCTATACTGACAGTCTAGTCCATGCTTGGCCTTAATGAATTTCTTAAAATTTTAGTTGATTTCTCCTTACTTGCTTGTATGCTGCCTACTTCTTTTTCTCGTGCTCTGTCGAAGATGAAATAGTTATATGCCTTGTCTGTGCTTGGGAGGGTTTACGTCTCCTTGGAATTTAGTTCACTTAGTGCCTAGATTGCTCAGCTCCAGAGAAGGTATGATTTTGTAGGTCATCTGTTTTTTTCTTATCGTTAAGTTTGGAGTGATATTAACTTATGGCTTTCTACAGTCGAAGTGGAAGTATGTGTGTGTGTGTGTGTGTATATATATATATATATGTTTGATCTATGTATAGATTTTCCACTCCAATCCATAGATCCAATCCACTGTTTTTCCACAGTGCCACTAAGTTTTAATTACTATAGTTTTATAATATACTTTAACCAGTAGGATAATTTCTCTCTCATTATTCATCTTTAATGAAAAAAAGATCTGGGTTATTCTTGTTTTTTTTTTTTCTTCTAAGTGATCAGCAGGATTATCTTTCAAGTTCTCCAGGAGATCTCATTGAAATTTTTATTGGGATTATGTTAAATATTAGAGTAGTTCTTTGTCAGCATTTTCAAATTCTTGAAGGACTATTTAGAATTCTAATTCTTCTTGGGTTAAATATGATAATTTATACTTTCTAAAATATACATTATCAAGGTTTTCACATATAGTAAAATATATTCACATTTTATAAAATATTTTCTATAGGATTTTAAAATCTATAGTTCTCTAGTTATATTTGTTTAAAATTTTTTTGATTTTTAGTTTATTTGCATATATCGTAGAGGTATATATTTATGGGGCACATGAGATATTTTGGTACAGACAGGCACAGTGTAATAATACCATCATGAAAAATGAGGTATCCATCCCCTAAGCCTTTATCCTTTGTATTTCAAACAATCCAATTATACTCTTTTAGTTATTTTGAAATGTACAGTTGAATTATTATTGACTATAATCCTGTTGCACAATCTGATTATATTTCATTTCTGATTTTTTATTCTACCTGATAAATCTTTCCAGAGTTTATCTTTTTCAGTATGCATTTTGCAAACATCCAGCTCTGAGGTTTATTCTACTGTTGCTTTCCTGAACCTCAACTTTCTCAGCTGCTAAGTTGAAGATAATAGTATTGACTTCACAGGATTGTCTTAAGGTTTTGATGAGACAATAAAAGTAAACATTTTGGGCTGGGCGCAGTGGCTCATGCCTGTAATCCCAGCACTTTGGGAGGCCGAGGCGGGCGGATCATGAGGTCAGGAGATCGAGACCATCCTGGCTAACACGGTGAAATCCCGTCTCTACTAAAAACTACAAAAAAAAAAAGAAAATTAGCCGGGCATGGTGGTGGGCACCTGTAGTCCCAGCTACTCAGGAGGCTGAGACAGGAGAATGGCGTGAACCCAGGAGGCGGAGCTTGCAGTGAGCCGAGATCGTGCCACTGCACTCCAGCCTGGGTGACAGTGCGAGAGAGCGAGACTCTGTCTGAAATAAATAAATAAATAAATAAATAAATAAATAAATAAATAAAATAAACGTTTTGGCATAGTGTTGGTCACATGGTTAAGATTCAAAAAATAATCCAATGATCATCACTGGATTCTGTTTTTAAACATATTCATTCTCCTCTTCCTCTTCTTTAGGTTAATTTTACAACTTTTATTCAAAAGCCTTGAATTTCATACTAATTTAAAGCTATTTATTTATTTATTTATTTATTTATTTATTTATTTATTTTTTCTCAGTGTAGGCTTACCCATATCCTATAAATTTAGCTTTGAGGGATAACATTAAAGTTTCTAAGCCAGGCATGGTGGCCTAGAAACTGTAACCCCAACATGTTGAGAGGCCAAGGCGGGTGGATCACCCAAGGTCATTTCAAGACCACCCTGGCCAACATGGTGAGAACCCATCTTTACTAAAAATACAAAAATTAGCTGGGCGTGGTGGCAGGCACCTGTAGTCCCAGCTACTCAGGAGGGTGAGGCGGGAGAATTGCTTGAACCCGGGAGGAGGAGGTTGCAGTGAGCCAAGATGGCACCGTGGCACTCCAGCCTGGGCAACAAGAGTGAAACTCTGTCTTAAAAAATAAAAATGAATAAAAATAAAAAATAAAGTTTCTGAATTGATTGTAATTAAAGCATTGATTTTCTTCTTGGGTCAACAATCATTTAAAATAATAGTTTTGAGAGATTTCTGTTTTGTTTTGTCCTAATTTTCAAATTCATTTACTATTTTTATTAAGAAATATGATCTATTTTTACTACTGAGCATTTATTGAGGTATTTTGTAATACCTCAAGATCAATGGAAAGAATCTTTATTCTCTGTTTGAATAGTACAAAGCATCATATATACTGACAGTAACGAATGAGAAATTATAAAATTTAACTTTCTTATGCTCTAAAGCTAAGGAAAAGACTTTTAAATGCTGATAGCTGAACGAGCAATTAAGTTTGGCTGAAGTGAGGCTGAACGAGCAATTAAGTTTGGCTGAGGTGGAAAACTATTTTAAAAATAAAGGCTTCATAGATGAGATTTGGGTATGAAGAAAGCTTAAACTTGTAAACAAAATAGGAAAAGATGAAAAAGGGCAAAAACAATATTAACATGTTTTTGTTTTGTTTTTTCCCCAAAGGATATAATGAGCTTTTCTCTACATAAATGAATCTTTTTGTCAGCTTAGGAAAAATTTCTTCTATTATATATGTCAGTATTGTTTTTTGTTCCACTTGTTCCATTATGTTCTTTGAGAACCCAAATTGTTTATGTTTAATTTTGTTTCTCTTTTCTATCTATAAACTTCGTCATTGTTTTCTTCTGAATTTTGGGAAACCTCCTTGAGATTTTCCTCTCTATCGCTCATTAGATTTTTCACATAGTCTTTCCCTTTGTTGACTCCAAAATGAATTTTATTGTTTTTATTTTAAGCCATTAATTCCCTAGTAAGTTATGCTCTTTTTTTTTTATCTATTGTATCTCTTACAAGTTCCTCCTCAGCTTTATTATTATGATTATTTTTGCATTATGCTGAGCATGCAATTTCCTGGAACTTTCTTCTCCATACTAGAGATCATTTTTCAAAGGCATCTTTTTCCTCTGAATTTTCAGAATGTTATTTTTGCTCTCTTGGTCTCTACTATTTTTGAGTGGGCCCAGTACTTTATTTTGTACCTTTTTATCTACACTTAAATAAAATATAGATTTGAGTATAGGTTACTCCAGTCCTGTTTATGACGTTCTCCTAAATCTATCCTATTGGACCTAAATCTGGTCCAATCTCTACACCCTCTTGGGGAACCTGTATACCACAAAAGGTATAACCTCTACAGCTGCTACTACCCACCCCACAATTGAGTATATACAGTAGTAACTCTTTTCACTAGTCTCAACACAACCAATCTGTACCTTAATTTCTTCTCTAAAACATACACAGTATTTCTCATGCTACTCTGAATGTTCATGGATAACAGGCCACTCCCTAGTATGTCTGTATAATTCTGATTATACTTACCAGTAATCACTTTGCTTGTTTCCCAAATTTGTTAATTCCAGTTGGCTGTTTTAAGAATTATATGATTTAATTGCATATTATGTAAATGGATGAATACATTTAGAATTAAGGAAATATCATCTGTGAAATACATATTTGGAAAAGTAATTTGCTAATAAATAATGCTGTCAAAATAGATGTCAGCAAGAAAATGGTGAAAGATTTAAATATGTAAAAATCTGTAAAGATTTTATACTTACATTGTTCCACAGAATATTGAGTTTTCAATTTTTTTAAAGAACTAAAATTTGGGATTATAGATAATGCATTACTCCAAGAAGACGGTAGGAAACTAATCAGTGGACTCATTATCAAACAAAAGGCTTTAACGAAATATTTGTGAATTACTTTGTTTTACATATTTAAGTTGAAATACTTAGAATATATGTTTCACTTTTCTGGTTTCCTGCTTTAACCAAGGAACAGACCAGAGTTTAGCAAATGCATGAGTTCTGCAAATAATAGTTGTTTCTTGTCTAGAATCTTTTGCTTCTTTTCTTTGTGTAGCACTTTACTTGTGGGGGTACACTTTTAAGATTGCAAATCACCGTCACCAATATGCCACTCTATTCTCTAACCTTTGTTTTCTGGGAGCAACTAAATTTTAATAAATATCATTTGACATGTAAAAAAAGTTTAAATTCAAAATAATAAATACATATGCATGTGTATGCACACTCACACACACATTCACACACACATACACACACACACACACACATGCATGAAGAGTTCTTGTAAACATTATTTTACCCAGCTCTATTTTTGTAAGGAAAAATGAAAGATATGACCCAGATTTCCTTGGGGAGAAAAGTTTTGGAATTAAACTACACAGGATATGCAAAATAAATGAACTCAAACAAACTGCAATGCAGTGGGAGTTCTTCTTTCATGCTGTAAACTCATTTGTCAAAATAATAGTTGCTATATCTACATGGATGACCTATATGGCCTCTCATTAACTTGGTTTGATTAGACAGCTAAACTATTTAGTAGAGTCTGAAGAAGATTCTCAATATAATTGGGAGCCCAAAGTGGATAAACCAACACTAAACAGTAAGAATCTAAATTCATTATTCAAGTAATTTTTGATGCACAAAACCACAGAAGAAATCAGGATTATCTCTGAGCATCTTTGTGCTGTGATAACAACCACTTATCTGTGTACGCAGATAAATCGCTAGAACATCGGATAGTGCAACGTATTTAATAATAATGTGGAAGAAGTTGCTCATAAGAGCTGATTATATCTGTTGATTTTCCTAGTTATTTGTGGAACACACTTAATAAGTGTTTATTGTTAAAGAACAATAGGAATAAAATCAATCATATATGTATGCTTTCAAATACTTATCTGTTCTAATTATTGGAGCCAATTTGAATTGCATCTTCTCTTTGGCAAATGACAGTTGAATTCATTGTAGAGGATACTCACATCTTTGACTCGTTAAAAATGATGACAATGGGCTGTTTTCAGTTTGTCTCTGTTGGTTGCCATAGTTTCCTAGGATACAATGACTCCCAGTTTCCATGGGCACACCACTGGCTAGGGCTGAAATGTTCTCTGTCATGGTGCAAGGGCAAATCTGGGAGCATCCTCTGTTTAAAACTGCATTTTTGAAAATTTCAAGATGGAGGCATTAATGAAAATAAAATAACAGCAAGGACTCCTTTTGTACAAACAAGGTACAATAATAAAGAAATGGTGATGGTAGGCAAATAGCCATAACAATGAAATTCATCAAGAAGGCAGATGGAAAGGGAAAGGGATAAAGAAGGAAGGGGGACACAGAGAAGGAGAGTCCGGAGCTTAGGGAAGAAACCACAGATGCTGTTTCAATTATTTGTATCACATGAGTGAAACAGAAATTTTCAAAAATGGCCTAGTTAGGGGCCATTTATTTAACAATAAAAGTACTTACTTTATTCTTTCATTTTATATTGACTCTAGCTTTTGGCACCTTTTTACCTCTTCGTTTGTGTGTGGCTCAATTAAAAGTAAACCAGCTCTTAGCTGAAGAACTCCTAATCCTGAAAGCTGTTTCCTTCAGTGTTAAATCAAGCCCCTGGTCTTTTCTACAAATTCTCATGCTCACATTTTTTGTTTTATGTATGGATTTCCTTTGCCTCTTCTTGCCCACTGTTCTCCAAGTTTTGTATGCCTTTCCTTTTTTTGTTTGTTTTCTGTGCTCTACAACCTACTTTCTCATAATCTTCATCTCAGCTGTTTTTTTTTTTTTTAAACATTACTGCTTTGTCAATGTGTTAGGTTCCCAGTGTATAGTTTTATGCTTTTTTGGGTCCTCTTTGCTGCCTGATAATAAGCTGCTGAGATAATTTACTAAGCTGTTTTTGCTTTTTTGGGAGGCTATTTAATGTGTATATTGCTTGCTGCCACTGAAGTTCATTAAGAAATACCTAGTTTATTCATTATTTGCATTCATTTATATCGCTTCATTGTAGGGGAGGAGATATATCTTTTCTGAACCCATCCAGATTTATGAATGGGTCCCTACAACAAAAGACAAATTAACAAAAGGGAAGCATGACATTTATTTATAATATAAGTTTTACATGACATAGGAGCCTTCATAAGGAAATGAAGACCAGAAGAAATGGAAGAACCCGTGTATTTTTTATACTAGCTTTGAGGAATAAGTGGATGAAATAGAGAAGATAATTGGATTTAAAAGTATGATTTAATGGTAATAAATCAGGACGAATTTAGTAAGAACTGTTTGTTCAGATTCTTCTTTGTGACCCTGTTATCTTCAGAGATAAGGATGTTACTTTCCTCTGCGTATAGGGAAGGCACCTCTCAAGTGAGGGTCTTATGGCCTGCCTCAGTGTATGGTCAGAGAATATTTTCTAGGATTTATGACCTGCATCAGGAGAGAAGGATGAGGGAAGGTGAAAGTGACATTCCTGCTTCTGTTTTCTCAAATGCCAAGGTGCCACATTTTGGGGGTAGTGTGTGCTGAATTGCATCACCGTAAAAATTTCTCTTCATTTCCAAAAAGTTGAAAAGATCCATTTTTCTTGAAGCTATACCTGAAAATAAAAAATTTCCTCTTTTTTAAAGAAATATCAGAACAATACAAGTGTGTTAGTGCCATTTATACTCTGCTGGGCCATGAGCTTGGAGTAAGTACATTGACTGTCTCCAAATAATTCAGAATTTTTTTGAAAAGAATGGAAGTAGCTTAGGATATTAAGTTAAAGAAGTTGATTGAAGAGCTAAACTTAGGTGTACTTGTATATGGGTTGTTCTCAAACTATAGTGTGCATCACAATTACTGGGATGCCAGCACAGATTGCTGTGCCCAATCACCGAATTTCTGGTTCAGTAGGCTTGGAGTGGATCCAACAATTTGTGTTTCTAACAACTTCTCAGGTGAGGCTAATGCTGCTTGTCAAGGGGCCACTCTCTGAGAAAGACTGTTCTATATTAGATAGAACACATTAATGTGGTCACTGAACAGTTAAGGAAGCTGCTAAATATGATTAAAAAGCTTTTGGAAACTCTCAGTACCTTAGGTGCTCTCTTCCTTCTAGTAAGAAGGGCATTCAGCCTATCCACATTGAAAATGAAGTAGAGAATTGAGGCTATTTTCAGAGTAATGTAACCACTAAAAAGCATGTTAACCTTGTTCTCTTGCCATTTTAGATGTTTAGGTTGTTTTCAAGACTATATTATTAAGATAATTACCTTGCTTTTTAATGATCTTATTTATGTTAATAATGTGGGTTTTGTTTTGTTTTTGGTTTTTTGTTTGTTTGACAGAGTCTCGCTCTGTCACCCAGGCTGGAGTGCGGTGGCGATCTCGGCTCACTGCAAGCTCCGCCTCCCGGGTTTACGCCATTCTCCTGCCTCAGCCTCCCAAGTAGCTGGGACTACAGGCGCCAGCCACCATGCCTGGCTAATTTTTTTTTAGTAGAGACGGGGTTTCACCGTGTTAGCCAGGATGGCCTTGATCTCCTGACCTCGTGATCCGCCCTCCTTGGCCGCCCAAAGTGCTGGGATTACAGGCATGAGCCACCGCGTCCAGCCGTTAATAATGTTTTAAAATAAGTTGGTTGGCACATCCATTGCTTTTGATGTCCAGAATGAACTTACCGTGGACAATTTTCAAATAGTTAGGCAAATCTCTCAGAACGTACATTACCCTGAAGTGAAAAAAAATTTATTTCACTAACAAATCAGATTCAGTAGTTGTAAATATTCCATAAACAATTATAGTTCATATCTAGAATAGAAGGCTTATTCGTATTATGAAATCTATTGATAATACAATATATTCTTGGATAAATGAAATTTAAAAAGCCAACAGCAACCAATCATTTAAATATTGCCAAAAAGCTATTTGGCAGTATTTGCCATGTATTTCTGATGCCAAAAAATGAGAAAGTAGGAATACTGTAGGTGGTTAGTTCTTTAACATAAGAAATGTATATATTCTATCAATCAATCAATCAATCAATCATCATCTGGCCAATCTAATCTAAAGACATATCTCTAACCAAAGTCAGAAACAAGAGAAGGGTACTCACTATCGCTACTATTTTTTACATTTTTATTGAGGCATAATTGATTTCTTTTATGATGAAATAAACTACACATATTTAAACTTCACATATTTAAAGTATATAAGTTTTGACATATGTTTACACTTGTGAAACGATTACTAGGTATAAAATAATGAACATATTCACTACCCCTAAAAAATTCCTTGCATCCCTTTGTAATCCTTACCACCTGCCGCACCTCACCCCTCTTGCCCTGGCCATTGCTAGAAAGAAGAGTACACACTATGGGATTCTACTTATTTACAATTCTAGAAAATGCAAACTTATCTATAGTAACAGAAACCAGATTAGCAGCTATTGCCATTATTTTTCACCACTGTTTGGGAAATACAGTAGCCAGTATTATTAAATATGAGAAAGAAAGAAAGAGCAAAAATGTTTGAAATGAGAAGAAAATAATTATTTGCATGAATATTATTGTTTACATAGAATATCCAAAATAATTTAAAAGATTAGGAGAATTCAGTAAGCTAGTAGCTTCTAAAAATCAATCTGTAAAAATCAATCTTTCCTATATGTAAATACCAATGAGATCATATAACTGAAAGAACGTGTTTCTAATAGCAACTAAAAATTAAAATATTTAGATGCAAAGTAACAAAAATTGTGAAGTTTGTATATGGAAAATTGTTTTAAGCCTTACTATACATGTCCATTTTGCCTAAATTAATCTATATATTCATTTAATCCCCATGAAAATAACAGTTTATTTTGCCTAGAACCTAGAACCTAAAACAATGCTAAAATCCATCTTGAAAAATATAGTTGTGGTTGTTAATCACTGCTATCTTGTAGGATCATTCTTTCACTATTTTTTCTTCAGGATTTTTCCAGCTTGTATTACATAACAACCACAACTATATTAAATATTATGGAAGCAATAAACACATCAAAGAAATGTAATACAGAGGATATTATTTGGGATAAACTAGGTAATAACAAAGTAACCCTGAAATCTTGAAGGTTTAACAGAATGAAAATTTCTTGTTCATTCTTCGAGTCTATTATTGGTCAGTGAAGAGTAGGGGGCTCAGATCTGTGTAGTCATTCAGGAACCCAGTGTAACGTTGACTCAGATGTTCTAGCAGTATCAACCCAAAATAGTTTTTCTTCAATCTTCCCAGCAGGGTAAAACAACTTGGAGAATCATGAATGTTTATTTCCTCTGTCTCAGCCCGGCAATGAAGTAATTAGATCAAAAATGGCCTTGCCTAACTGCAAAGGGGTTGAAAAACACTGGCTTCTACACACCCAGGAGATACTAGAAATGTCTGTGATAGAAAGTTCAGAAATAGCCCCCAATACATTTAGCAATACAGTTTGCAATATAGGCGCTATGTCAGATTTATTGGAAGAAAGGATATTACCTAATGCTTTGGTTGAAAGGCATGAAGCACTGAGCAGCAACATTTCTACCTTGTTCCTTATGCCAGCATAAATGCCAAATGAAAAAGAAGTTTGAAAAGAAAGGAAGTTCTAGAAGAAAGAAGAGACAAATCTAATTTTCAAGTGACAAAGAACTTTCTAAGCAAATAAAATAAAATTCATAGATAAGAATATGGACACCCAGAAGAAAACAGTGAGATGTTTAAGCTGGCAATTTGGGGAAAAAAAAAGAGAAAGGCCAATTTCAAACTCACTCATGATTAATATGTTAAAAAAGAATAAAATAACTTTTTTATCTAAAAAATACAAAATTTGATTATACCAAATATTAATAGTTGGAGAAATGCATATTTCATTGTCAGGAGTGCAGACATTTTTATTTTATCAAAACATGTGTATGTATATATATTAAGCATACGTAATATGTATATAAATTCTTTCCTCTTTTACTTAAAACGAATTATAAGAATCTAACAGTGGTTAGTTTTCAGAAAAGATCCTATGGGGAGTGTATCTACAGGAGGGGAAAGTTTTATTTTTTTTCAGTGTTTGATTTTTGCTAACCCTATATGCATACTGATTTTTTATGTTACTGTGAAGTTTATGTGGTGAGTTTTGTTTCTTTTTTGTATATCTTAATATTTAACAAAACAGTTAGAAATTATATATATATATAAAGTAACTAATAAAAACATTTTCTTCAACATCATTATTTTTCAGATAGTAAAGGTAAATAGGAAGAAAGTAAAAAGTGAAATTACAAAATGATAGGCTGCAGTTATATATGGAGTATAGTCTCTAATAAACTATTACAATCCTGACTCTCACTTTCTCTCACTTTCTTGGTGCATTTCCTATCAATTTCAAAGAAGTCTCATTAAATAAAGAATATATTTCTTTTTTTTTTTTTTTTTTTTTTTGAGGCGGAGTTGTGCTCTTGTTGCCCAGGCTGGAGTGCAATGGCACGATCTCGGCTCACTGCAACCTCCTCCCCCAGGGTTCAAGAAATTCTCCTGCCTCGGCCTCCCAAATAGCTCGGATTACAGGCATGTGCCACCAAGCCCAGCTAATTTTGTATTTTTAGTAGAGATGGGGTTTCTTCATCTTGGTCAGGCTGGTCTCTAACTCCCGACCTCAGGTGATCTATCTGCCTCTGCCTCCCAAAGTACTGGGATTATAGGCATGAGCCACGGCACCTAGCCAATAAAGGATATATTTCAAAGTCAAAGTTCTTTGGATAAACAGCTTTATGAACATTGATTTTTACTATATATATATATATATATATATATATATATATACAATTCATAGAGTAATTCCAAGATCATATGCGTGCTTCCACAAAATATCTATATAGGATATGTATTGATGTGGTATTTGTAATCACACAATCACAGAAATACCACAAGTATTTCTTTGGCACAGTTTAAAACATGGTACAGCCATAAAATGGAAGTGTTACAGCATTTAAAGAGTGAAGCAAATATATGACTTATATGAATAATACCTAGGCTACCGTGCTATGTGAAAAAACAGTGAAAAAGCAGTGTACAGCATACAATATTTGTTTAAAATAATATAACCTCTGTATGTACAGGCAGTGTGTGTGTGTGTATGTGTGTATAGTCTTATTCTCTAGGAATACAGTAAGTAACTGATAGCAGGTGTTGCTCTGATGAGAGTGGGAATGAGGATAGAAGATAAATGTATTATTCTTTGTTTAGCTTTTTATATTGTTTGATTTCTTTTGCCATATAAAATATTATTTAAAAAAGTGAACCAAATAACCAAAGAAAAGCACGTATGTTCTGCCTTTATTACCTTAGACATATAAGCAAACAATATTCAGATAAATACACCTTAATTTTTGAAATCTTGTCTTTCATTGACTTTTTGTAAATGGCGATGTCTATGTTTTTATGTGTGGAAGTCATATTACCTTCATCATGATGAAAATAACTCCTCCAGTCTACAAAGAATCTTATTCAGTCAAATTTCTTTTTCTTTAAACTCAATAATTTGAAAACAAATATTGTGGACAAATGCAGGCTATTAAGTAGTGAAAATGGCTGTTCACAGACAATCAGATAGTACACTTGTCCCCAAGGTCCCCACTTCCTGGCTCTTAGGCAAATCATGTCAACTGAGTTTCAGGCTTCCTCACCTCAAAAGTGGGCATGAAACACACATGCTGCCTTACAAGATTCATATGCACTATCTGTCAAGTGTGATACAAACATGTACGAAGAGGCTTTACAAACTGTGATGTTCAATTCACATGTAAAGAGTTAGTACTGATATTCCTTTAATGTCAGTAGAATGAATGCTCTAGAGATGTGTATAGAATATGGATATGTAGGATTAGGCATTAAAGTTTTGCCTCAAGCATATTCTAGTCCTGTACTCTGTTAGTTATTTTAGAGAAAGGGAGATAGAACAGCTACTTAATAAAAAACCAGGAAGTACAGTGTCCTTGGAGAAGTTAGAAATCCGAGTTCTGAAAGCTTATATGAAAGCCTCCCTGGCAGCAGGATGTTCATTCACAAATTGCCTCTACACCAAAGGAAAATCCAGGCATAGATCCAGAGAGGAATAAAACTCTATTAGAATTCAGTTACTGTTTATTTTGTTTAACTTTTTAACCCTCTGCTATTTAATTCCAGTTTTAATTACAGCGGAAGCAACACAAAAGCGAAATAAATTGGCTTTAAAAAATTCTTCATATATACATACCTGTCTATTACCAAAAAGTTAGCAAGAAAGATATAATGACACTAATTACCTTTTCGCTGTACTTGTCACATCGTGTTTAGTTTTCTCTTTTGCAATGGCCTTTTGTTCAGTAGCTCTGGAAAACTAGGTGATCCAGTCCACTTTAACATCCCTGACATCTTATGAGCAAATGATAAGCAATATTTTGGGTGACTGCTGGGGTAATTACAAATTTAGTGATAATATATGCAAATCTCATGTGAAGGAAATTATAGGTCACTGTTGTTTGTATCATGCCATTTCTGTGGTGATAAAACAAATTGCTGTTAATTACCAGATTATTACCATCCTTAATTTTGATAATTCTAGGCTATCAAAACAGTGTTTTGAATCACAAATCATATTATTTAGTTTTTCCAACAAGATGGTAGCACAGGGTTCCTCAATCATAATTCCAGCAAATACTTGAGAGTGTGTGTGCACGCGCATTTGACAAATTCATAGCTATTATAGAGTAAACAAGGATTATTCATGAGTCTTGGGAAGATGAGCAGTTTCCTTTTCACTGGCCAACATACATATTTCATTCCCCGAAAGCTTCACTTCTGAATTATTCTGCATAAATATTGCTCTTCTTATAAGCTTCCCTGTCCCCTGGAGAGAAGTGAAATGGAAAGCCAATGAGAGGGAGTTAAGGCATATTGGATAACATAACAAATTCTCAAAAGTTAAAACCTTACGGTGCAATCCACATGGTTGCTGGTGTTTCCCCAGTCATTTTCTCACTAAATGTTGGACAATAACATTGAAACTACCCTAGGAAGTGGATCAGACTGCATTCAGCCTCCAGCCAGCATTAAAACACCCATGCTTGGAAGGCTTGATTGCTATTGAGGGCCCTGGAATGACATGAATCCTTGCTGTTGTGGCACCATTTGTTGGTAAAAATGAAATTCTATGTTCACCATTTTAAGTGAGGAGGTAACATAAATTACGGTTGGCTCTCCTTATCCTTGGGTTCTGCATCCTCAGAGTCAACCAATGTTGGGTGAATAAAAGCAAAAACAGTAAATATAATATAGCAATAAAAGTAATATGAAATTTAAAAACCAATACAGTATAACAACTATAACAACTATTTACAGAGCATTTACACTGTTTTACGTATTAGAAGTAATCTAATATATTTTTATTAGATATATATTTTTTCTTTTTTTTCTTGTTTAGAGACAGGCTCTTGTTCTGTCACCCAGACTGGAATGCAGTGGTATGCTCAAAACCCTTGGCTCGAGTGGGCTCGAGTGATCCTCCTGCCTTAGTCTTCCAAGTTGCTGGGACTACAGGTGCATGCCACCATACCTGGCTATTTTTTTTTTTTCATTTATTTCACTTTTTATAAAGACAAGGTCTTGTTATGTTGCACAGGCTGGTCTCAAACCCCTGATCCCAAGCAATCCTCCCACCTCAGCCTCCCAGAGTGTTAGAATTACAGGCGTGAGCCATAATGCCCAGCCTAAACACGATTTAAAGTATACTGGAGGATGTACATAGGTTGTTTGCAAATACATATTGATGTGTAGGATTAGGCATTAAAATTTGCCTCAAGCATATGCTAGGTCTATACTCAGTTATTCTAGAGAAAGGGGAGATAGAACAGCTATATTTAATTAAAAAAAAAAAAGAGTAGTGTCATTGGAGAGGTTAGAAATCTGACTTTGGTATCCTAAGGAGTCCTCCAATGAATCCCCCAGGATACCCTGGGACAACTGTATATACCATTGACAGCTTTATTTGACTGGATATGGTTAGCAAGGTAATTACTTTATATTCGTGGCATTTAAGTCCATGTCTTTTCTTGTTTGAATATAATGATTGAAATAATTTTTAGTGTTTAGTGCTTGTGGGAGAAATTCTCACTTATTCAAGACTCAGTAACTGAGATTCAATTGCTCTGTTCGTAAGTGACTGAGTTGAAAAGAAAAAAAAAGAAACTACAAAACTCTTGTAGAATAATACATGTGGAAAAAAAAGCCACCTCATATAAATATAGCTAACTGTACTTGCAATGTCACTCATCAAAAAGGCATTTTAGTGCTTACAGAAGCTACATTTCAGTCTAATACTAATTTTTCAAACTTGAAAACTTTCTCAAATCCATAAAGACAACTCAGTGGGCTATAAACTCAACATGTTTTCAAAACTCATAGTTATTTACCCCTTACTGCAAAGAGACTGAAGTTGTTCAGGGAAATATTTAACTTTGGTATTGTTTATAAACAATGTGACAAATGCCTGTCTGCCTTTCTTTGTATTCCAAGGGCAGGGAGAGAACCTTCACCATTTAAAGTGTCTTCTTCCTCGCTTACCTGTTTTCTCACCCATGCTTCCTTAGTGTGTGTGTTTTTGAATTTTATGTATTTCTTATTTTATAGGACACTGCCACACCCCTACAACACTTTAGGTAAGAACATTTTGAAAGAAATGTGAATCTATGGATTCAAATCTTTTTAGATAAAAGTTTCTATGGGTTCATTAATCGATTATTTCTATCTTTGAAAATTTTCTTATCTAAATTGTTACTAGGGGTGTTGCCCTTCTCCAGCTGTGACTGCTGGGGAAAAATTTTCAAGAGTCCCTCCTTTCTCCCCAAACAGAAATTGCAGTTGTTGATTCAGACTAAATTTTAAAAAATTTTGATTCTTTGTGCCAATGCAATTTATATAAAAATGACTTAAAGTCTTTCAAGTTGTATAGAGCTTGCAATATTCTATAACAGTCACACTGACTTTTCTCTAGTTTGAAATCCCATTGATTTAAAGATAAATTTAATCTGTAGGTTAAATTTTTGAGGCATTCACACGTCTTGCTATAAGCTGTGTTTAAGGAACAACGTCATGGTCAAAAAGCTACTGATTTTTTTTTTTTTCAAATCTAAGTCTTCAAAGGAAATATGTCCTGACCCAAATGAATCTCCTCGGCCCTTTTGTGGAGTCTTGTGATACCTACACATGGTCAGATTGTTTGAGGAATCATGTAATTGGAGGGAACAAATTTGTACCTCACTTTTCAGCTTTAACTAGACAAGTAATTTAGTACAGCACATAAAGCAATGGCTAAGGAAAAGACGTTTCTCTAAATAATGTAAACAAATGTCTAATTAGAAAGCTGATGTTTTAGGCTAGATTTTCATCAAAGTTCACTAAATAATCATACAGAGGATTATGGAAAATTTGAGGGTCAATAATATAATTTCATACATTTTTGATGTAGTTCTACATATTTTAAGTATTCTTGAAATTTGTATTAGTAGGGAAATATCAGTCAAGAGTCATGTCTCCCTAAAAGGCTAAAGCTATATCTACCTTCAAAGATTGACAGATGAGACTTGAGGGCAATCAGTAAAAAGGTAAAATCTAGAAGGCATTGTTTCTCTTGAACTCCTGGCCTCAAGTGATCCACCTGCCTCAGCCTCCCAAAGTGCTGGGATTACAGGTGTGAGCCACCGTGCCCAGCAAGGCATTGCTTCTGAAACACTAGTATACATAGCCATCACTTCAGTGGCTTCTCTAAAATGTAGATCGCTGGGTTCTAACCAGTGGATCTTACACAGTGAATCTCGACTAGAGCCCAGGAACTTGGAATTTTTAATTAGTTTCCCAGATGATCCTGATAAACATGACTTATAGACTACTCTTCAGAGAAAATTCTCTAAGGTAAGAATAATTTGTACTGGAACTTTCCAGAATAAATATGACAGAAACACATGTCAGGCTTTTACTAAATAGATATACTAAGGTGTGTATATATACATATGTGTATATATATACACACACACATATATACACTCACGCATATACATATATATACATATATGTGTGTATGTGTATGTGTGCGTATATATATATAATGTCTATTGAAAGAATAAATGATGGAAGAAATACAAGAAAGAAGTTTCATCCCATTTATATTCTTAACAATGCGTCCACTGTCTAGTCCTGTTTATATCGTTAACAATGTGCCCATTGCCTTCATCCTTACTGTAGGGCACATGAGGGAGGCAGAGTTACCTCCTTCCATCTCTAAGATGCTGATGCCTAGTTATCTTCCAGAATAGATAAGCCCTGACAAACAGTGGATAGAATACATTTCCTCGCAAGCTTTATTTCTCACCAAGTCTACTTTGGTTCTTAGAATGATGGTTTTAATTCAAGTCTCCTGGTTTTAAAAACGATTCCTGTTTACAGACATCTGATAGTACCTTAAGCTCCCGACATTGGAAAGTTCTGCTTATTTGAACTGCAAAGGGAAGGCAGAATAGATGCCATGATTATTAGAGCCTTGGGTAATTCATGGTGGGCAATATCCTGACACCTACTTTAGCTGACTGTGATCTAAACATGGAAAGTCCTAAATATGCCTATGTAAATTCCAGGGAGCTGCTAAACTGTTTCTAGCGGTCCTGGTAGGCATTCATCTGAGACATTTTGTAGAGTGTCTGTAAGGCAAAGCATTTCTTCACTGGGTATGCATTTCCTATTTTGATGATCTCAGAGATGTTCTCATCAGAAAATTAACAGTGAATTACAGAGTAAATATTGTTGGGAACCATTCTTCCTCTGCCTTTCTACTTTCCTCTTGTGGAGAAGAGTGAGCAGATGAAAAGGTAGTCCAGGATTGTCTTGTGCGTCCTTCTACATCCCCAGAGAAAACAGGGCACTGAGTATCCCCACTTTGTGCCCGCAGGTTCTATGGAGCCTTGAAGTTCTCGGGAGCTTGTATCAAATGAATAAAGCTGAAGGAAGAGGGGAGAACAGGAACTGAAATGGATTTTACAGAAGGGAAGGGTTTATCATGCATTGAATGATGGTTGTGGCTTGATTCTCCCCAAGGATGTATGTTGTGTTGTTTCTGCATCAGCCAAGGCCATGACTCTGACTTCTGTCCTTCAGTTTGTTCTTCATAAGTCTGGCCAAGAGAAGGTAAAAAGAGACACTAAAGGACCTTGGTATCTGCAATTCTCATAAACCTGGCAGGAAAAGGAAATTTTAAAGAAATATTATATCTGGTTCAAAGTTACCCGTCAAGTCTGTGTCAGATCTTGGAGTAAAAAAACTAAAAAACTTTTGCTTCTCAGATCAAGACTCTAGCTATCAAAAATTCTCATGACCCTGTGAACTCAATGAGAGAATTCAATAGAAACTCTAGTTCTCATTCAGAAGACCATTTAACAGAGGTACACACTAGAAATTTTAATAGTTGAAAACTGTTGTATCTTGGATTGAAAAATTGATTTACAGTAGATTTTAATGCTCCCAGCAAAAGATTTTTGGCATTTTATATCCTACTGTTTGTCACTTTTTTGGTACTGACACAACCATAAATCTTGATTATAGCTTCATTTCAAGTTAATATAGACTCTGTACATGTAATCTTCAACTCCTTTTTCTTCTGAAAATTGAGAACGTATTAAAACTAACCTTAAAATTTCTGTAAAGCAAAAATATCAAAAGTAATCATAATGATATATCCTGTGTGATGAACCATGAAATATTAAAAGATAATAACCAGATTTGTGGAAGGCACACTATATATAAAGAAATATGTGGCTCCATGCAAGATTGACCATTATATTTCCAGTTAACATGCCTTCATATATTCTTTTTCTACTGTGTAAGAAAGTACTATTTTTTATTTAACTTTTTATTCTGAGATAATTGTAGTCACATACAATTCTAAGAAATAATACAGAAAGTTACTATGTATGTTTTACCCATTTCTCATAATGTAACATCTTGTAAAACTGTAGTACAGTGTGATAACCAGGATATTGCCAATGATATAATCAAGATGCAAAACATTTTCATCACCACAAGGATTCCCCACATTGACCTTTTTCAGCTGCACCCATCTTTCTCCTGCCTACTCTCACCCCTTAAACACAGGAAATCACTAGTCTCTTCTCCATTTCTATCATTTTGTCATTTCAAGAACGTTATATAAATGGAATCATACAGGAATTAGCCTTTTGAAACTGGCTTTTTTCACTGGGATAATTTTTGGGAAATTCATACAGATTGCTTAGTGTATCCATAGTTTATTCTATTTTATTACTGAATAGTATTCCATGATAAGGATGTCAATCAGAATGTTTAAGTATTCACTCACTGAAGGGTGTTTGGACTGTGTCCGATTTTTGGCTCTTGTAAATAAAGCTGCTATTATCATTCATATACAGGTTTTGATTTCTCTGGGCTAAATTACCAGGACTGCAAATATTTGGTCATCTGGTAGTCGCATGTTTAATTTTTGAAGAAACTGTCAAACTGTTTTCCACAGTGGGTGAACCATACTACATTCCTACCAGCAATGTATGAGTATCCAGTTTCTTTTTACTTCTAGTGTGATTAGGAGTTTACAATCCCCACTAGGCTCCACTGATACTTCCCTTGCTGGTAAGGATAGCAGTGCCTTATTACTGCTCCCTACATGGTCTCTGCTGACTAGGGGGGGACATGGGATGGAGTGGGGTGATCTGATTACCATTAGATGGTGGTGAAAGTTTATCAGGCCTCCTCTGATACCACCCCAGTGGGGAGAGGGATAGACATCTCATTGCTGCCAGGCAGGGGTGGAAGTTCAGGATCTCCATTCAACCTTATCTGATACCTCTCTAGCAGGAAAACTGGGATGCCTCACTATAGAACTTCAGCTCTGTACTTGGCCTCTTCTGATATGGATGCAGATTGGGACATAGTTTTCTGTGGTGTCTGGCTAGAGTAGGACAGTTATTGTCAAAGTTTTCATGTCTTGCTAGGCTGTCCTTTTCCTGGTCCTTTGGCTTGAACAAATAAGTTTTCATTGGGACTTTTTGTTTTTGGTCTGTGGCTGTTGACCTTACTGCTTGATATGGTTTGGCTGTGTCCCCACCCAAATCTCATCTTGAATTGTAGCTCACACAATTTCCATGTGTTATAGGAGGGACCTGGTGGGAGGTAATTGAATCATAGGGGCTGGTCTTTCCCATGCTGTTCTTGTGATAGTGAATAAGTCTCACAAGATCTTGATGGTTTCATAAGGGGGAGTTTCCCTGCACAAGCTTTCTCTTTGCATGCTGCCATCCATGTAAGACATGACCTGCTCCTCCTTGCCTTCCACCATGATTGTGAGGCTTCGCCAACCATGTAGAAGTGTGAGTCCGTTAAACCTCTTTCTTTTGTAAATTGCCCAGTCTCGGGTATGTCTTTATCAGCAGCATGAAAACAGACTAATACACTGAGTTTCTGGCTTTTTCAACCCATCTCTGGGTATATGCAGCAAAAAGAAACCCCATAGAACTCACCACTGTAACTTTCCATGTGTTCTCAAGATCTCTAGGCAGAAAACAGCAGAGAGGATAGCCTCTTTCCAACTTTCAGAGTTTTCTTATGTTTGTTTTCTATATAGGATATACGGCTATTAGTTGTACTTTGCAGGAGGCATAAGGAAAATTGCATCTACTCCATTTTCCTATCAGTGGAAGTCCTCATACATTTTTAACAAACATATTAGTTCAACTTTCTATAAGATCGTCAAGTAATTAGCTTGATTCCTTCATTCACCCAATCAAAAAGCATTTATTGAGTTTCAAGTCTGTACCAGGTACTAGACTAAGTAACAGAATACAAAAATAAGTAAGATGCAGTCCAGGCCTCGTGAAGTTCACAGTCCAATAGATCATCAAGAAATACCAAAACACCAAACCAAATTAAACCAAACCAACAAAAACCAATTACAAGAACATAATAACAATAGTCATAGTGATATGCTCAAGACGTCATTTTTGGTAAGATGTCCTCTCAAAACTCTAAACTCCCACCCTGTGTCCCTTATATTCCAGCAGTCCTGGAATGATGTGATACATGGCAAAGGCAAGTTCAATGGATATTTTTTAGACCTCTTATCGGAATATTAAATGGAAAAAATTAACATAATAATGGCATTACAATTTTAAGTCAGATTATGGCATATGGAAGCTAAAAATGCTCCTTGCTGGCAACGTTTCAATCTCTGGAAAAACCTTTAAGTCATTAAAGGTAGTTGACAAGTATTTCTGGTCTGACTTTCCCCTAGTTTCTTTTTTGTGCTCTCCGATGCAATGTTTCTGGCTTTCTTGTCTCCTCCCAGGCGGCAGATGTGGGCATCACTGTTTGCCCTTAGTGATCCTCGAGCACATACTTGTGAATTTGGTTTTTAGAGTGTTCGGAAATTGATGACATATATTATCAGAAGAGGTGGTGAAGCAAAAATACTGTAGTTGTTAAATCTCTGAGTTTCTTTCTTTTTTTTTTTTTGTTTTACTTTTCTCTGAAGATAACCCCGTATGATTTCCTCCAGCCCTACCCTGTTCCTTCAGCACTTTCCCATTCCTATTCAATATCCATCTTTTTCTTTCATGCTGTCTTTTGTAGTCATGAACCAGGATCCTCTCCTGGTGAGAGTGGCCCTCACTCTTGCTCAATCTAGCATACTTAGTAACACATATGCTTCCTGAATTTTCGTGTTCCTGCATATTCTACTTTCAGTATCTTTGCAAATCAGTACCTGAACTAGAAGAGTTTTTCAGAAAAATGCATGTTTCCTTTTAATTCCAGAGTCTCTAATTCTATTTCTTTTCTTCCAATTCAGAAAATTTTATTTCTTTATAATTTAAAACCATTATTCTGTAGTTATACTTCTCTGAGTTTGTTATAAAACCAGAGCCTAGGATTGTTTGGGTCTTATTGGCTCCCTGCCCAATATTCCCCAGTTAGTTAACTCCATATACAACAACCTTGATAAATGATATAGAATATTATACAAGCAATGCTTTCTCTCTGACCTCCTCATGTTTGGGAAGATCGTAGTTTTAATGTCTTTATTCTTTTCTTTGGGAAATATGTGAGGTCTGAGTATCTGTCTCTTTGCACTTAACATTTGCACCCAATTAAATGCTCAGCAAGCAGACACAAGGGGAAAAAAAAGGAAGAACTGATAGCTACTAGGACATACATGAGAAAGAAAAGGGCAAAAGGGAAATTCTGCCTAGTAAATTGTCACAGCACATCACTTAACTAAAGTGGCACTACTTGAGAGTAAGCTTTGGCTACTCAGAGAGGTCTTCCTAGAATTTTCTGTTCTCATGAAGATCTCTTCAGGTAAGTGTAGATTTCATCAGAATGAATAACTTTACCTCTGAATGGGTACTTGCTGTAATGAATTTGTTTTGCATATCTATTCCTATTAGGCTAGCGTAAAGTAATACTTAGGTGTTTTGAAAATCAGCTTGGAAAGAAAATCTCTATGCTTATGTTTACAAGAACGACATGCTATATTTTACAATGTTTTTTTAGTTGGTGCCAAAAATAGTTCAGCTCTGCAATGAGGCACTGGAATCAGATTTGATTTAGCATGACACACAAGCTAAAGAAACCAAGTCCTCAGCATTGTTGCTAGCAGAATGAGGAATCCACCATTCTAAACTTTTAATTAGTTGATAATGCTTAAGTAGACAATCGAGATGTGATTTTATCATTTGCATTTTGTAATGGTTTTCATTTTGACCAAAGTTTTTAGGTCTGCTCCAATTATTGCCCTAATTCCCTCATGCCTACTATTATTATTCCTTAGGTCTCTAAAAAAACATATGTAGGTTAAACTGCTATAACAAAGAAATTCCCACATGTATAATGGTTCACACACAATAGACATTAAATTCTTGCTCATATCACAGGCTGGAGTTGGTAGTTAGTAGGTGGCTTTTCTCCAAATTATGATTTAGAATTTGGATTCCTTCCAACTTTTGCCACTGCCATCTGCTAGAAACTGGTTAAAACTGGCAACCGGCCAAGAGAGATACATCCACTCTTAAAACCCATGCCCGGAAGTGATGCACATTATTTACACTTGCATGCCATTAGTGATAACTAAGTCACTTAACCCAGCCTAACTTCAAGAGAGACTGGGAAATGTATTCCAGCCATGTGCCCCAGACATAATCTGACTATAATGGAAGGAAAAACACTGGTCTCTGCCACATGTCTACAAGTTTTTCCTTTAAAAAAATCAGCTATACTTCTGGAGATTAGTCTTTTAGGTGCATATCTCTAGTAGAAGTTCACTAGGATTTTCTATGTTCAAACTTCGGTGCAAATAAGAGATCTCCCTTGGGAAATGATATGATTCCTTTCCAAATTTTGATCAGATTTTGCATCTAGATAAAAATGACCATGAAGATGTTAAATCAAAGATGTGTACTTTTATTTTCATCACATTTTTTTGAGGCGTCCCTGAGCATTTTGTCTGAAAAAGGCCTGTGGTATCACACCCATGAATTTGAAGGATTTGAAAATTAAATGTGTAACATGAATTCAATTTTTGTTGTCCATGAAACTGATTCTGTCAACAATTAATTATTAATTATCATTTGTTTTTAAGAAACTATTAAATGACTAGTACTGTGCAAGGTGCTAATGGAAATGTAAAGACTCATCCTGTGCTCTGAAAATCCTCAATATTGGGTTCAGAATATGTGAAAACGGTGGAAGAGACAAACAAAAACACAGAAAGTGATTTCACGGACAGGCCTAGCATTAAAATTTGTTACAGATTTAGTAAAGCGGCACATCCATTGACCTCATATTACATATGACATGGAGTGTTAAGACGCATAGGTATGTCACAGGAATTTGCCAGCTCTGATAGGTCTGGTATTTGTATGTTAATGAAGTGAAAAAGATTCAACTCCATTGGATTGACTTAAAGATTTTCAAGAGTCAAAGAGCAGTAAGAAAAAGTCACCACATCAAGAGTGATTCTCAAATAAATCCTGATATTAAAAACAGCTTCCACCATTAACAGTACATATTTACGGATAAAGTTTTAGACATTTGTTTATATTATATTAAAAACTTATATGTTATATGTTTAAACTGGTCTGCAGATCTCTTAAGTGACAACATTCATTTTGGATAGATCTGTAATTCATAAAAGTCTTCTACTCTTGGAACGGTATACTCTTTGTTACCAGAAAAGACTGCCCAGTGTGGTGACTCGGTTAGAAGTTTAACTCTCAGTTACCTAACAGAGGGCACAGTTCCATCATTATTATTATTTTTAAATTTGCCTTTATTTATTAATTTGATGTACTAGTAAAGAAAAGGAGAATCTTTTTTTGTGATAGGCTTTTTTTTAATCGAGGTGAAATTCACATGACCCACAACCACTTTAAAGTGTACTATTCAGTGGCATTTAGTACATTAGCAATGTTGTACAACCACCACCTCTCTCTACTTTCCATAAGTATTCAATCTCCATATCCCCCTTACCCAGCCCTCTGCAAGCGTGAGTCTCTCCTGTCTCTATAGATTTGCCTATTCTAGACATTTCATATAAAAAGAAGCATACAATATGTAATCTGTAATCTTTTGTGATTGGCTTCTTTCACTTAGTATAATATTTTTGAAATTCATACAAGTTGTTACGTGTGTCAAAACCTCATGCATTTTTTATGGCCAAATAATATTCCATTGGATGTTTATACCACAATTTGTTTATCCATTAATTTATAACAGGATTTCATTATTGAGGCTTTATTAATTACATACAGTATGGCTTAACTTAAACAATGACACATTTTGTGCAGCACAATTCCATTTTATTTTTAAAAGTACATACACACATAAAGAAAGAAAAAGAGAATGAAGGAGGCAAAAGAGAAGTAAGAGACAGAAAGGAAAAAACACTTGGAAGGATGTATTTCAAAATTATTTTCTGAATGTTTGCAGTCAGCATACATTAATTTTATATTCAAAATAACTGTCAGTAAGCACATATACAATATCAAGTCTATAAATTGCAGCATTTTATTGCATGCAGGCAGTTTCCAGGCTTTAGTGTGGGAAAGAAGAAATCAAGCTGAGATTTGCGGTCTCACTGAGTTGAGGAGGCAGTGATCAGAGAGACTAACACAGCTAGAACTGGTGAGGCAGAATGCCAAAATGATAGGAGCTACACAGAAAGAGACCTCCATAGATCTTCAGAGGGATCACCTAGAGTCTTTGGCTCAATATTGATCTGCACAAATGCGACAAGGAATTGCTTGACAACAGAAGAACAACAGAACACAAGAAAGAAATAGATACAATAATTTCCAGAGCTCACACAGAGCTGATAATTGTTTGCATTCTCAGCAGCAGAGTGAAATAAGCTCATAATCCATGGGCATCAAATAGCAGAATCTTCAAAAGGATATTGCCTTAGAAGTAATATACTTAGGAGTATATTAGCCCTAGACTAAAGACTGGTCTAGTCTCTCCCTAAACAAAGAATAAAAGAAAGCCTAGAAAGATCCAAATGATTTCAAGTGACTTAACTGTATGCTCCACCCTTAAAAAAAAAAAATCCAACACAAGTTAAAGTAATATAATATAGCAAACAAAAATGTAAAATTAATACTGTATTGCATCCAATTACACATTTCTTTGTGGTTTTCTTTGGGTTTATTTTGTTTTGAGTTGATTGGGCTCCTTGTATCTTGGGATTAATATTTTATTTTATTATTATTATTTTTTTGAGATGGATTCTCTCTCTGTCACCCAGGCTGGAGTGCAGTGGCACGATCTCGGCTCATTGCAAGCTCCGCCTCCCAGGTTCATGCCATTCTCCTGCCTCAGCCTCCCAAGTAGCTGGGACTACAGATGCCTGCCACCATGCCCGGCTACTTTTTTTGTATTTTTAGTAGAGACAGGGTTTCACTGTGTTAGCCAGGATGGTCTTGATCTCCTGACCTCGTGATCCACCTGCCTTGGCCTCCCAAAGTGCTAGGATTACAGGTGTGAGCCACCACACCCTGCCGGGATTAATATCTTAAAAAATCACATTTGAGAATATTTGGACTATTATTTGTTTTCTGCCCATTTTTCCCTCTTCTCTGCTTGTCCTTGCAAGTATGTTGGACTACTTGGCATTATTCTCATGTCACTGAGATTCTGTTCATTTTCTCTTAAGAATGTTTTATTTCTGCACTTAAATTAGGATTTATTTTAATTGATCTGCCTTCAAGCTCACTGATTTTTTTTCTGGTATCTTTGATTTGTGTTTAATAAAATTTTCACTTCAGATATTTTATTTTTCAGTTTTATAATTTCTATTTTTAAAATATAATTTCTAATTTTCTGTTGAGATCCCTCATCTGTTCACTCAACATGTTCATCTTTTCCTTTAAATTCTTGAACATATTTATAATACTTTTTTAAATGAGTTTATCTGTTAATTTCAACATTGGTGTCATTTCTATAATTTTTTTCTATTGACTAATATTTTCCCCCTAGTTTTAGTCACATTTAGGTCTTTGTTTGCCTCATAATTTTAAAAGTTAATGTTATTTACTATAGGCTGTGGAGGCTACATTATTGAGAATCTCAGTTGTGTTATCTTCATTTAATAGAGTTGGGTCTTCTTCTGGAAGGCAGTGAATTTATTGAAGGATCTTCTTGAACTCATAAAGTCTTGTTTCTTGTTTTTTTAAGGCAATTCTAGAGTAGTTCTTCTTCTAAGGTTAGACGAGCTCATTTGTAAGGTGTATTCTTATTGGTATCTCAACTGAGTATTCAGCAGGTTCAGAAATATCTCTCTCTACAAAGGATGGTCGGAACTCCAACATCTAACAGCACTGTGAAATCTCCAGAATGTGTTTTCAGCTCCTGAATCCCAGAAGCTGTTTTGTGCCAAGGCTTATGGAATATTGCCTACATGGACATGCATAGCTTAGTATTTAGCTAGACTCAAGGGGGCCTTTATGCAGATTTCTGTGCAGTTTTTTTCCATCACTTTGTGGTCTGACAAATTCTAGCCTTTTTAGCAGCCCTGAATTCTAAGTCCTCTACCTAGCTAGACCTCTCTTGTCTGTTGGAACTGTCCTTTTCTGTACTACGATTTTGAGAGTAGCCCTAGGCAGAAAGCCAGGGTAGGTATGGTGCTCTACCCATGTTTTCTTGCTGTCAAGGTTGATGGCCATGTACTATTAATTGTGCAATGGCTGAAAACTGTTGCTTTACTTAGTTGTGTCAGGTTTTATAGTTATTTACATTATGAGTTATGATACCCATTGGACCATGATAGCCAAAATTGGAAGTTGCTTATTTACTTTTGTTTTCCAGACAAGCTAACATTGCATCCAAATTTCTTCACTATTTATTATGTTCTAGAATGCTCTTGCCTCCATCTTTCCTTGGTCTTGTCATCATGCAGATCTCCATTCAAATGTTACCTTCTGTGATCACCAGATCTAAAGTATGAGCTCCTCTAGTAACTATTTCAGGACACTTTTATTTTCCTCATAGCCTTCATTACCACCTGTAATTACCTTGTTTCTTTATTTGTATGTCTTAATCATTACTGGGTTTTTCACTAGCATGTTAACTCCTTAATAGCAGTGACCTTTTCAAACTTGTTTACCACTGCACTCCCAGAGCTAGTAGAGTGACTGGCACTGGTAGATGTTTAAGAATGCTGGTTAAGGGCAAGGTGGCTCACACCTGTAACCCCAAGCACTTTGGGAGGCTGAGGCAGGTGGCTCACCTGAGGTCAGGAGTTCAAGACCAGCCTGGCCAACATGGTGAAACCCCATCTCTACTAAAACAAAAATACAAAAATTAGCTGGGCATGGTGGCAGGCACCTGTAATCCCAGTGACTTGGGAGGCTGAGGAAGGAAAATCACTTGAACCCAGGAGGTGGAGGTTGCAGTGAGCCAAGATTGCACCATTGCACTCCAGCCTGGGTGACAAGAGTGAAACTCCATCTCAAAAAAAAAAAAAAAAAAAAAAAAAAGAATGTTGGTTAAATAAAGGGAGACAGCAGAAAGTTGCCAAAGTCCTTAAACCCTGGATTAACCAGGTGTTTAGTAAATACCCCTGGCTAACGTGCTATGGAGCAGCTCATGTGAAGCAGGTTTAGGTTTCAGATGTCTGAATAGGCTAGTTCATTCTGAATGTTCTTGAGGGTTCACCCTTTCATCTGGCTTTGGCAAAATGTGCTCACCTTATGTTGAAATTGAGCATAGCATGCTTTTTGTCAATTTATTTCATTTTATTTCATTTAGTAATTCATATTTTAATAATATTTTACAGAAACATACGGTGTATCAGAAAACCACATTCTGTAACTGGATGTATTAGCAAAAATTTTATGAAGCTGTCCTCATGATTCAATGATTATTTCTGCTTTCTGAATAAATCTTGGCAATTAAATAATTAATATTTGGCAAATGTAATTTTGTTTATGAAACTTCTGTTTAAAGTTTGAAGGATAAGGAAAAAATCAGAAATATTTCTTAAACTAAAAATATAAGTAAAATCTAAAGTAATTTCAATGTTTTCTGCTACTATATATTTTTAGTTATTTATCCACAGAGACTAAAAATCTATTTTACTTTTTTGCTTTTTTCTGAATTTCTAGTTTATCCCTCCATAAAGTCATACATTTTGTTTCCTTGTATGTCTGATCATTTTAATGCTCTTTCCAAATGAAATTATTTTCCTGTTTTAAATAACTTATATGCTTATAAAGTCACTTATAAACATTTATTTCACATTTACATTTGTTTTAATCTTTTAAGACTAGGTACTTGCAATGAATAGAAATCAAATAAAGATATATAATTTTAGCACATCCCATATATTTTGTCTTAAATGTCAATACAGAAAATATTGGAAACAACTTTTGGTCACAAAATAAATCTCAAAAGGGTAGGAATGTGCTACAATATTAGAATATAAAGAAAATGATTCTAAGTTTCTATATCATAATTTTCCTTGCAGTAGATTTTAAAATTAAGAAGTATTCTTTTCAGAGTAGTAAAATGGAAGAGCCTATAAACATCTATGTAAACTAGTGCTTTAAGAATGTACAACTACAGGCACAATTTTGGCTTTCGTCTATGTATTAAATGCCTGGGAGATCAATGAGGGCTTTTGTAGCATCTGTTGAAAAATAGTATGTTATGCTTGAGACATGCTGAAGAAATTGGAGCAGTATTTTCAGCACTCGTCTATGACTTGATGAGAAACAATAAGAGCAACAATATAAGATGCATGTCAAGAAAAGGAGGGTTTTAAAAGGTTTGAAAATATTGACATTAATTGTCTTTGAATAAGTTTAGGGAAGCAAGGTCTTCTTAAAGTTTTAATGTTAGAGCACTGAGATGGTGCATAGATTCTCCTCACAGCATGATGAGCCAGGACCAGATGCGCTTATGGAACAAGTTTCCTTAATGCACATCACATGGAAAACAATTTTCAGAATGTAGGTCTTTGTTTCATAAAGCATCCATTTCAATTAATATAAAACCAGAGTCAGATTTGGCAATGATACAGCAAATTAGATTCAGCACACTCTGTTCTTGGTGGAGACATACCCCCAAAACCCTGAAACTGGAGTTTTATTAGGAATTTTACATTCTTTGTCTATTATGTATTTGGTTTTAAAATTCAGCAGTTGTTCCTCTTTCTGAAATATTATCTACAAGGGTCCTAGTTTATCATATTTTAATAAATACAAGGCTCATTAAAAAGGTTGAAAATGGATCCATGTGGCATGTAAAAGACAAATGGGAAGTGTTGCATTTCGATCTCCTTCAGTCATACTGAGAAACACCTCCAAGCTCATTTATTTGTCATGAGATGACACCTATTTGAGAAAACTGGATCATGCCTGTCAGTACGTCATAGACATTAAACTACCACCTAACAAATAATCTATAGTTCCTGATAACTAACAAAGCACATCCACGTGACCCTCATGGTGGAAGGATTGAGGATCCTTTGTGCTATGCCTGTTTTCATATGTACTTTCCTCCTCCATATTAGCTCTCTAGAATTTTGTGCAGCAATGCCAAAGTTCTCTAGTTCAGGAGCCTAAACAGAGCTATTCATTGTTCTTTTATTCTTTATTTTCTTACTTTTGTTGATTGGTTAATTCTAGATGAGATGTTCAATGTTCCCACTGAGAAGTGGCTATTAGGTAAGGATCTTGGAGACTTGAGGGTACTGGTCACATGGGTATGGAGGATTCCATACTGCATTCCAGGCTGAGGAAGTGGCAAGTGCAAAGACCCTGAATCTAGTAAATATCATTGGTCTTAGATTATGCATCATTTATTAATTCATGCATTTTCTTATACATATATCCACTTATTTAACATCTTGTGCATAGTTACTATTTATAAGGCTTTGGGTTAAGCATAGGAAAAAACTGAGGTAAACCATGCATACTAACTATATTAAATAATATAAACTTTTAGATTCAAATGTAAGTAAAACATGGATAGTGGTCAGTTTTTCCTCTGCTCTAAACACAACAGGCTTTTTACTCTTCCCAGCACCAACCATACACTTCATGCTTTTGTACCTTTTCATTCTGCCTAAAATGTTATTTCCCCATTAACACATGGTTAATACCCTGACTGCCTTCAGAATGTTATTTTAAAAGTGGCTTTTCAGTAAAGACTTTCTTGGTCACCTCATCTAAAATGTTACCCCCTACAATATTATTTTCCATTTTTCTGCTTTATTACTATAATTTTATACTTAGCATGTTTCATCTAACATGCTGTACATTATATTTATTTTGTTTCTTGTCTAACTCCTTCACTAGAATGTAAACTCTATGAGGGTGAATTTTTTTGATCTCTTTTGTTTATTTTTATTCCTCCAATACCTAGAACAGTTCATGACATATGATAGAATGCTCTGTAATATTTACGGTCAAATGGGTAAATTTGTTCAGTGAAAAATGCAAAGTGCAGGACAACATGTAGAGTTTTGTGTGAAAAGCGGTGAAAATAAGTGTGTGTGTGCTTGTATGTACACAAAACACCCCTGCAAGGGATCATGAGAAAGCAAATCATTGGTTAAATAAAGGCTGAGAACAGTGTATTTGGAGAGGGAGATTGTTCATTGTATATTTTAAAATACATTTCAACTTCTAACTATGTGAATTAAATATTCAAAACATCAGTTAAAAGTAAAATAAAATACTCACAAAAAAATACAAGGTAGAGAGTAGCAAGCACAAAGAAAAAGCGGATAAAGGGCTAGGTGATTTCTAATGAGGGAAACACAGAACAGAGTTGGCTCTGAAGGCTGAGTGCTGGGTGGGCACTACATGACCCTGGAGGAAACAACCCGGGTGAGGAGAACAGCATGAGTTGTCCAGATGCAGAAAAGACAGGGTACAGCTCTGGAAACAGAGGTAGTTTTGTTCAGCTGGAATCAAACATTTAAAAAACTGGAAAAAAATGTATCAATAGTTGAGAAAAAAATTGTGGAGGCCTCAATTGCCAGGTTACACAATTTGGATTTGGAATTGTCAAATAAGTTCACTCAATAATAATAACATGATATACACCCTAAAATTCTATGGTATTGTTAAGGTGCAGATGAACAAGAGTAGACATACATTAACTTAAGAAGCTAGATAAGGCCATCTTGAGAGGAGAATAGTAGAGGGACAAATTAGACATTTAATATTTTTACAGATTGGTATTTTTCTTACAAAAATTATGATACATATTAACTACAAAAGTATTTAATCAATATGACATAAATATGGCAAAATTACAGTCTTTACTGTAAATCAGTTTCTCAGAGGTAACTATGTCCTTATAGATACATGTTTACATTATTTTTCTGAATTTAAAAAATAAATATATGCTACTTTAATGATGGGGTTCACATTGTGTATACTGTTTTTCAATTTAATTTATTATTTTGGCATCATTACATGCCCATTTGTACAGGACTAAGACATTCATTTTATAATATATGATGTTCTATTAAGGGGACATATAATTATTTTAAGCAGTTCAATATCAGTAGATATTAGGATTTTTTTCTGTGTTTTTGTTAAAGACAATAAATATTTTCAGTTAAAAATATCTTCAGATATTGCTATATTTTTATTGCTATTGCCCTTAAATTTTCATTGTGTTCATGAAGTTGATAGGTATTTGAAAGCTAGCTTCTATTACAAATTACTCAATATAGAAATTCTAACAATGTTAGAGAAAAATTGAGAACCAATTTTGTGTTTTAGTTATTTATTGGTATAACACACCGCCTCCAAATTTGTTTTTTCTTAACATCAATTTGTTATTTCTTTCTGCTTCTGTGTGTTGACTGAGCACCTGTAGGCATTTCTCATTTGGAATCATTTATGCTGTTGTAAATAGATGGCACCAGGGTCTGGAGTCATCTGAAGGCTTAAGTGGGCTGGTGCCTAAGATGACCTCTGCATTCATAGTCAGGTGCCTCACTCTCCATGCTTTCACACTTTTCACTTCCTCTCCATGTGATTTGGCTTTTTAAAGAATGTGGTCTAGTAGTGTACCTCATATATGGTAGCTAGCTTCGAAGAAGCAAGAAACAATTCACCAGGCCAGTTAAGGATTATGCCCAGAATTGGCATAGCATTACACCTGTCACATTCTTTTGGTTAAAGCTGTCACAGAGCCCATCTAAGTTCAGTAAAGTGGAGAGACTAATTCTCGATAGAGGAGTGGCAAATTCAGATCACAGAAGAACGTATGCGATGGGAGATCTTGTAATGATATTTTGGAAAAATACTATCTGCCATAGTATGTTATGTATGTTCTCTTAGGAGTAAAGTTTCTACTTCACCTTTTCTTTTTCTGATAAGAAGCCATCTGTGTTACCCACTTGAATTATGGCTACAAGATGCACCTGGTACTAGTTGTTTACCCAGTCATTGTGTTGTTTGTGCTCAAGTTTCTCTACAGTTTCTCTCTGTATGTCATGCATACAAGTTGTAAAAATGTAATAATTCTTTCAGTAAATATTTATTAAGCACCTACTGTGCACCAAGTCCTTTCATCTATCTACAGAGATGAACATTATACATTTCACATTTTCAAACTGTCTGTCTCACAAATGAAGTAGGAAAAACAGATACCTAACCAAATGTAACAAAGTGTTAAAGACGCAATGGGAGAAGATGTCCTTTCAGAGTGGGTTGGTGTAAAACTGGGAGAGTGGTCATCAAAAGGTTAATAGTGGAGATGTCAGAAGATGAGGCTTGCAGATAAATTAGAGTCACTAAAATCTGCTGATGAGATTTGAGACTCATCACAATGGTTAAAGTGTGGCAAGGCATTTGAGATAGGGAGAAAAGTCAGGAAGATATAAAACAGATGGACAGAGGGGACACGAATGGTTTTACATTCTAGAAAAACAAAATATTGTAGCAGTGATATAGAGAATGAATAGGGGGAGTATAAGATTAGAGGCAATATATTATAGTACAGTATATTTCTTGGTGAGAGGTAAAGCCTAAATTAAAAATAAAAGGGAGGCAAAAGAATGGAGATATGATACAGACACAAAATGGTTTAGCAGGTAAATTTATAGATTTGTTCATTGACTGCTTGGGTGTTAGGCTGAGAAAGAGAAGGGAATCTAGGCTGACTCCCAAGTGTCCCAGAGGGCACGTGGTGCCTGGAAATGCTATACACACACACAGAAAGATGCAGGAGAAAGAGAAGAATTTTAAGAATCTGTTATTGAAGTCCATGGAGAATCCAGGTGAAAATGTCCTTCATTCCATTCAAAGATCTTAATCAGGACATATAGATTTGAGACTCATCAGCAAGTAAGTAGCAACTGAATGTATAAGCTCAATTAGCTCCTGATATGGTTTGGCTCTCTGTCCCCATCCAAATCTCATCTCGAGTTGTAATCGCCATATGTCCAGGGAAGGAGGTGATTGGATCATGGGGCAAGTTCCCCCATACTGTTCTGGTGATAGTGGGTGAGTTGTCATGAGATCTGATGGTTTTATAAGTGTTTGACAGTTCCTCCTTCACATGCTCACACTCTCTCCTGCTGCCTTGTGAAGAAGGTGTCTGCTTCCCCTTACACCATGATTGTTAAGTTTCCTGAGGCCTCCCCAGCCATGTGGAACTGTGAGTCAATTAAACCTACTTTGTTTATAAATCACCCAGTGTTGGGTAGTATCTTTATATTATCTATACTGGATACAAAAGCAACTGTGGTTTTTGCCATTGAAAGTTATGGCAAAAACCACAATTACTTTTGTACCAACCTAATGGCAGCATGAGAACGGACTAATACAGCTCCTGTAAAGGGAGAATGTATTAAAGAGACTGAGCAAGGAAGACAACCAGGCAAGAGTGTAATAGGGAAATGGGTAGACAGAGTTGCAGGATGAGAGTAGTGTGCAGTGTACTAGTTCAAGAGAAGTCAGACAACGTAGGTCAGCAAAGAGTCCATTCCATTCGGGCATTAAGAGACACTGGTACCTTTGCCAGAGGCTGTTCAGTACAGTTTTGTCAGCTAAAGACAGTTTTGGGTCAAAAGGGTGGGGGAGAAGTGAGACAGGAGAAACGATTTTAAAATTATAGCGTTGTTTTCAATACAGCCATGTGTTAAATAACAATATTTCAGTCAGTGATGGACCACGTATATGAAAGTGGTCCCATAAAATTATAATAGAGCTAAAAATCCCTATCGCCTAGTGACACTGTAGCTATAGTAACATCATAGTGCAATGCATTACTCAAGTGTTTGTGGTGATGCTGATGTAAACAAACCCGCAGCACCACCGGTCATATAAAAGTATAGCACACAGAATCATGTACAGTACCTAATACCTGACAATGATAATAAATATTTTACTGGTTTATGCATTTATTATACTATGTTTTTTAATCATTATTTTAGAGTGTACTCCTTTTACTTACCTAAACAAGTTAACTGTAAAACAGCCTCAGGCAAGTCCTTCAGGAGATATTTCAGAAGAAGGGAGTGTTATCATAGGAGATGACAGCTCTGTGCATGTAATTGCCCCTAAAGACCTTTTGGAAAGTAAGTTGTGGAGGAGGAAGAGAGTAATATTGATGATCCTGACCCTATGTAGGCCTGAGCTAATGTGTGTGCTTTTGTCTTTGTTTTTGTCTTTAGTTTTTGTCTTAGTTTTCATTTCTGTCGTTAAGTGATGCTAGATTGTATTTACTTCAATATTTTGATTTATTCCACTTTTAGTGGTATTCTTTTTATGTCTAAATGTGCAACATACTTTATTCTGTAACTCCATTACATACAGCTTTAAGGCTGACTTATTTCCTGATAATCAGTTTTCTCTAAATCTAAAAATAGTATATATATGTGGGTTGATTTGTGAACTACATTTTTTCACATGCTATGTTAGCATCTAGATGAACTTAATTCCTTGTCTCAACAAACTTTCCTCAACATGCTTAAAATGTCTACTTTAGAAAATCATTCTTACAGGTTTAAGTGTTTTCATTCTTATGTGACCCTCCTTAAAATATAAACTTTCTTGGTTGATATAGCATCTTATGAATGAAATTGCATTGAGAAGGGATAGGATAGACTGTGGTGGGAAAGGATATAAACTTTCAGTATGAGCATGGGAGGATGGGTTGCACTGGGGCATTTGGAAAGTAACTTGAATTCCCAGAAATAGTGTAACTTCTGCTATCTAAATTCTGATAACATTTCCAGCAGGGAATGAAATAGGGGAATAGTCTTTACTGAGTATCCACTGTGTTCTCACATGTATGTTATCCCATTTTGTAGTCACAAATATCCTCCAGGGTAGATATTATTATCCCTATTTACAGATGAGAATATTAAGGCCCCTAAAGGTTGAATTATTTGCTCAGGTTTGCATTGCTCATTAAAGAGTGAGAATTTGAATGAAAAATTTTCTATACCCTTTGCACTTTCGAATACTTAGGCTGACCCTATTCCTACCAACATGTGAGACTTACCTACATTCCTGGGTTTTTTGTTCCTGTGCCTCAGATTAGAACTGAAAGTCCTCCATCTTCTCCTTCTCATACATTTTATTGTATCAGTCAAGATTCTTTTGGTTGCTAATAACAGAAACTTAATTATGATGGGTTTAAGCAGAAAAGGCGATTTATTGGCTCACATAATTTAAAGTTCTGAAGGATATTGAAATTTAGGTATAGTTGAATTCAGGGATCACAAAAAAAGGTTGTCAGGAATTTTTTTTTCTATATATGGTCATTCTTTTCACTTGTATTGGCCTCTTTCTCAGACAGGGTGTCCCCATATGGTGGCAAAGGTCACCAGTAGATGCTCCAGGTTGACATTGTACTAGTTGAGTAGAACCAGATGAAAGAAAATGTCTTTCCGAAAACTCTTCAAATACATCCTGCTATTGTTCCTATCTGACTGTCAGTTTCAGTCACATGCCCATCCTTGAACTAATCCCTGGGATGTCTGGGGGGTGCTGTTCTCAGTGGCTGGCTTGAGTGGACATCCTCTCATGAGGCTTAGCTTCACCCAAAACACTGCAATCAGAAGTAGGGGAAGGGTGTTTCTCCACAGGAAAATGAAGATGCTAATAAGAAAAAAAGGGGAATAGAATCCTGGACGGTCAGAAATGACAGATGTCCACTACTCATTTTCACATTATTATCCCCCTTGGGCCTTATGCTCTAGTCAGTGATAAAGACATGATTATGAAATAATTTTCTAATTTGCACATTCCTACCTGTTGTTTCCCTTCCACTCCACCAGTTCTTTTCAAAGACTTGATCTCAGAGCTTTCTCCATCTTTACTCTGCATTCTGAAAGCATTGAGAGATTTGCTCATTTTCTGAATTATATTTTGGTAAATGTTCTTAGGTTGTTTTATATATATGTGTGTGTATATATACGTGTGTGTGTGTATATATATATGTATATATATGTGTGTGTGTGTGTGTGTGTGTGTGTGTGTGTGTGTATGACCTTTTCCATATATACTAGAGCAGGGGCTACCTCTTATTTTATTTATGTAAGTATTCAAAGCCCAGGAGATAGGAATCTTCACAGTAAATAGATTATAATTTGTCTGGAAGACAATCATCCTCAGCCTTTTTCCAGGTTACTCAATGAAACTAAAAGGTTGAATTTAGGGAAAGTCATTTATTAGAATGCTTTGTGGTTATATTGGAAGAAAATAATTTGAACCCGCCAAAAGGTATTTGAAAATAATTTGAACCTACCCTTCCATTAAGATACTCATTCATTCATTCATTCATTCATGCTATGTTTTGTTAAAGATTTTTTGGGCCGTTCCTTAGAAGGTTTCATATTTCTAACTGATGAATGAAGTGCAACTCCACAAAATTCCACCTTTACTCTATCTTTCAACTTCAGTTCCTCTTCTTTTCTTCCTTGATGCTTCTCCCATGCATTATCATTCTTCCTTCCTTTTTTCTTTTTGTCCCACCGCATTACTCCTTTCCCCTTGTAGCATTCCTTCTCCATTTCTTGAGTTAATTAGCACTATAATTAAATTTTATTTGACTACAGCTTTTTAACCAATCCTTAAGAGATAAGTAGCAATAAAAATTATTGAAATTTCTCTGTTATTCCTTTGTCCAGGATAAATTATGTTCACACCAAGTGAGTGGAAAATAGGTATCATTAAGGGCCTTTCTTTTTCTTTTTCTTTTTTTTTTTTTTTGAGATGGAGTCTCAGGCTGGAGTTCAGTAGCTCAATCTCAGCTCACTGTAACCTCTGCCTCCTGGGTTCAAGCGATTCTCCAGCCTCAGTCTCCCGAGTAGCTGGGATTACAGGCACCCGCCATCATGCCCGGCTAATTTTTTTGTATTTTTGTAGAGACAAGGTTTCAGTATGTTGGCTAGGCTGGTCTTGAACTCCTGACTTCACGTGATCCACCCGCCTTGGCCCCAGAAATCGCTGGTATTACAGGCTTGATCCACCGTGCCCGGTCAAGGCTCTTTCTAGAAACAGAATCCAAAGAAAAAAAGCAAATTAGTATAGAAATTCTCATGAGCATCTACTTGGTAGTTCTGTATCACACAGTGAATATGAGAAAAAAATTTCTTCCGACAAGTTATTTACAGGGCAGCTTTTATTTATTTTTATTTTTACTTTTAAATTATACTTTAAGTTCTGGGATACATGTGCAGAATGTGCAAGTTTACATAGGTATACACATGCCATGGTGGTTTGCTGCACTATCAACCCATCATCTACATTAGGTATTTCTCCTAATGCTATCCCTCCCCTAGCCCCCCACCCCCCAACAGGCCCCAGTGTGTGATGTTACCCCCCCGTGTCCATGTGTTCTCATTGTTCCCATTTATGAGGGAGAACATGTGGTGTTTGGTTTTCTGTTCCCGTGTTACTTTGTTGATGGTTTCCAGCTTCATCCATGTCCCTGCAAAGGACATGAACTCATTCTCATCCTTTTTTATGGCTGCATAGTATTCCGTGGTGTATATGTGCCACATTTTCTCTATCCAGTCTACCATTGATGCGCATTTGGGTTGGTTTCAAGTCTCTGCTATTGTGAACAGTGCTGCAATAAACATACATGTGCATGTGTCTTTATAGTAGAATGATTTATAATCCTTTGGGTATATACCCAGTAATGGGATTGCTGGGTCAAATTGTATTTCTGGTTCTAGATCCTTGCGGAATTGCCACACTGCCTTCCACAATGGTTGAACTAATTTACACTCCCACCAACAGTGTAAAGCATTCCCATTTCTCCACATCCTCTCCAGCATCTGTTGTTTTAATGATCTTTTTAATGATCTGACTTTTTAATGATTGCTATTCTAACTGGCATGAGATGGTATCTCATTGTAGTTTTGATTTGCATTTCTCTGATGACCAGTGATGATGAGCTTTTTTATATATGTTTATTGGCTGCATAAATGTCATCTTTTGAGAAGTGTTTGTTCATGTCCGTTGCCCACTTTTTTTTTTTTTTTTTTAAGATAGAGTTTCAGTCTTGTCGCCCAAGCTGGAGTGCAGTGGCACGATCTTGGCTCACTGCAACCTCCAGCTTCCGGTTTCAAGCGATTCTTCTGCCTAAACCTCCCAAGTAGCTGGGATTACAGGTGCCTGCCACCATGCCCAGCTGATTTTTGTATTTTTAGTAGAGACGGGGTTTCACCATGTTGGCCAGGCTGGTCACGAACTCCTGACCTCATGGTCCGCCCACCTTGGCCCCCCAAAATGCTGGGATTACAGGTGTGAGCCATCACTTTTTGACGGGGTTGTTTGTTTGACAAAAGCAAGCAATGGGGAAAAGATTCCCTATTTAATAAATGGTGTTGGGAAAACTGGGTAGCCATATGTAGAAAGCTGAAATTGGATCCCTTCCTTACACTTTATACAAAAATTAACTCAAGAAGGATTAAAAACTTAAATGTAAGACTTAAAAACTTAAATGTAAGACCTAAAACCATAAAAACCCTAGAAGAAAACCTAGGCAATACCATTCAGGACATAAGCATGGGCAAAGACTTAATGAATAAAACACCAAAAGCAATGGCAACAAAAGCCAAAATTGACAAATGGGATCTAATTAAACTAAAGAGCTTCTGCACAGCAAAAGAAACTGTCATCAGAGTGAATAGGCAACCTACAGAATGGGAAAAATTTTTGCAATCTATCCATCTGCCAAAGGGCTAATACACAGAATCAACAACTTAAACAAATTTACAAGAAAAAAGCTTTTCATTAATAGCATGAAAAAAAATCCCCTTCATAATATCTTCATTCTAAGCAAAATATTCCACCACGTAATTTCATAATTTCATGAATTTTAGTATAATTTGTTAAAAAATTATTAGTATAAATTATTTATTTGCTAATACCAAAATAAAATTAGACTAAAAAATTCTTTTCTTGTATTACAGCAAATCTAAATGAAATGGAATGGTTTGTGTTGTTTTATTCCTTTCAAATATTTATCAATCTGGCAAAAAAATACATCCTAACACTTTTTCTTGATAAATCCTGGTTCTAATATTTTTTCTTGTTTAATGTCTGTACAACAACTGAATTGTTGTATAAAGAGAAATGAGGGCCGGGTGTGGTGGCTCATGTCTGTAATCCTAACACTTTGGGAAGCCGATGCAGGCAGATCACCTGAGGTCACGAGTTTGAGACCAGCCTGGCCAGCACTACTAAAAATACTAAAATTAGCCGGATGTTGTGATGCACACGGGTAATCTCAGCCACTCAGGAGGCTGAGGCGTGAGAATTGCTTGACCCAGGAGGTGGAGGTTGTAGTGAGCCAAAATCACGCCACTGTACTCCAACCTGGGCAACAGAGTGAGGCTGTCTCAAAAAAAAAAAAAAAAAAAGAGAGAGAGAAATGAGAAACTGTTTAAATTTGCATCTTAGTTGCCCATAAAAATTTGGTTTTTATTGTTTTATTATTGTTTATTATTTAAATTACTACAATTATTTTATAATTGTTTATTTCTTTTCATTGTTTTATTGTTTTATTTTGGCTTTTAAAATTCTAATTTTATTGTGCTTTACTGCAAAGTTATTGTAGATGTATATCTGTTTTAAATAAAAGAAAAATAAAATGAACATATTATAAAGCAAGGCAAGCTTCAGAACAAATCTCAAGTGCAAATAATTTTCCTGTTCTCCTACTGAGGAAGAGAAAAGTAGGAATTGAACCAAATAACACTGCCACGATATTATGGTGATGTCCATGGCAGTGATCCTGGTGGTGAATTGAGAGCAATTTATTTTTTATACAGGATATTTAACCTTTCCTGACAGTATGAAATGCTTCATAAAGATATTTTCCTGTATTTAGTCTCTAATATCTCATGCACTAATATCCCAGAGAGCAAGTCTATGCAGGACCTAAAGGGAGAGATGAAAATGAATGGACATAACGCTTGCCCAACAAAGTTTATAGTCTTGTTGGAGTGGCTGTAAATTACCTTTATTTTTGATTATTTTTTCTGCCTTGACTTGAGAAAATCCCAGCTAGGTAATTGTAAAAGCAAAGCAAAATAAAACAACACTCTACTCTGTTTTTGTTGCCTGGTTGAAAAAGAGAGAATATTTTAAAACATATTTTCTTTATTTTCCCTTAATATTATTGTAGTATATTTGTGTATATAATGATATGTTATAATATCATATGATAATCCTATATAATACTAGAAATAATGTATGATATACCATATATATCTATGATAATACTATATGATAATACTATGTATACTATATATAATATCTATGATAGATACATGAGAACATGTCATATGATACTATATATGATAATACTATATATAATATCTATTATATGATAGATGTATTATATATATTATATGTATATATATTTTTGTGTGTGTGTGTGTGTGTATATATATGTGAAAACATATATAATTCACATATATATATTTAGAAACAGAGTCTTGCTCTGTCTCCCAGGCTGGAGTGCAGCAACATAATCATTGCTTATTGTAACCTCGAATGCCTGGGCTGAAGCAATCCTCCTGCCTCAGCCCAGCAGGTAGCTAGGACTACAGATGTGCTTCACCACACCTGGCTAATTTTTGTTATTTTTTTGTAGAGAAGGGGTCTCGCTGTGTTGTCCAGGCTAGTCTCAAACTCCTGGCCTCAAACTATCTTCCCAACTCAGCTTCTCAAAGTGCTGGAATTACAAGTGATAGCCACCATGCCCAGCGTGTCATAGTACAACTAACACTCAGTTCTTTGCAAAGCTTTTGTCTCCCACAGTTGAGAATGGTCCTGAAAAGATATATACAATTAACATAATGTGGCCTATAAGATGATAATCATATTGTATCAAAGCAAAAGGAACACGCACATTTCCTATACGTTGAAAAGGTGGTCTTGCATTTTCTATGCTGAGACCAGGAGTAATTTGTATATGAAAGTTGCTCACAACACATGCATGCATATGCACAAATATTCAATAAAGCGATCACTGAAAATAATTTTTTTGTAGCAGGCATTTACAAACAATGGCTCAAAATTGTGTGACAATCTCAGTGGTCCTGTGGCCATATCTAAAGATGCCCAGAGCCATCCTAGATTTCTGCATGGCCCTCAAGAGATGGGAGACCAATAATCTTGGAGATACTGTTGAAAAGTGCATGTAGAGGCTCAAAGTCAGTACAGGACAGAACTCTCACAAAGGATCAGAAAGCCTTAAGAAATACACAATTACAGGTTTCTGTTGAGAGGAAGTCTTTTAGCCATTTTTTATTGTTACACAACTGTTTTTTAAACTAACCAAAGACTTCCCCTGCATTCCATTGGTGCTTTTATGTACTTTAAAATTTTATTAAAAAATTTTACATGTAAGTATATGAAATAAACGTAAAGATCAACTTCAATAAAATGAGTTCATTCAGTTCTTCATTTAACCAACTCCTCTTAATGTAAAAAATATATAATTCACATTCCACAGATTTATTTTACCACCAGATTTGAGATAAATCCACACTGCTGATATATCTGTTCTGCCTTCATGCCCAGAATTTTCCCCAGTGGCCTGAAAAAATGAGAGCAGACCTTCCTAGAGAGCCTGTCCTATGACCAGGGACTTACACACAGGCGGACTCATTCTGAATCTCTAGTAATTAATTATCATCAGTTGTCTCACTGACAGCTGGGGGCCACATTTAGCCAACCAGCTGCCCTGCATTGTACAATGCTATATTTGTTCTAAGCCCCTTGGGTGATTCTTGCTGTATGTAAAATAGCAGCAGTTGTAGTACCATTTGCTTCCGCATAGATGCTTTATGACTTGTGTGTCAAGACTATGGCAACCCTTCAGGACCAATGAATGCCTGGTAAATACCGTGAGATGACTCCTTGGCCATGAGCAGGGAGAACAGGAAATTATTAAACCACAAGTGGAAGTAAAATAGAACACCCAATAAAATGGCATTAAAGTGTGAAGTTAGTTCAAGTCTTATTTAATTATTTTGCTTATTAGGGATTTTATATAGAGATTTTAAGTGGAAGTTCAAACCCTCAACAAGGACCCCTGTGAATGTTTGTGCCCAGCTATAGAAAATAGTCTGGGGCAATACATGTCTTATCAGGCTGTGACAAACATAATTAACAGAGCCTAGCTGGTTACTATATCTTATTGATCTATGAGTTAACAGATGATATTCTGTCTGCAATATCCGGTGCCCCTATCTGTTTCTTTATATATCCACAACATACTCTTTTGTAATATATCAGAATGAATCTGAGCCTTGGAAGGAACACAGTGGAGTAAGAAAATCCTGAATTTGGTATGTTATTCAAACAAAACTTCTCAGACTTAAGATGCCAAAGGCTAATAGATTCATAATCTTAAAGAAAGTTCAGAAAACTGGATGCTGTTTTTGTCCTGAATTTCCTTTTGGTGTTTTTAACATGAACCTATGAAATGATTTTGAATACTTTACATGTTTAGCAGAGACTATTTTTCTATTCCTGGAATGCCCTTCAGATAAACTTCTTGTTTATCTCTTTGTCTGGCTCCTATCTTCCTGGGAGTTTTCCCTTATGAATTTAATATTAATTCAAATGAATGCAGGACTGGAGGTGGGAATTAGTCTCAATTCTGAATAGGGGTCAATTCTGAGTTCATACCAGCTCTATCATGTCCACATGTTTTTGACTTGATCAGATTTATCAGAGGCCAGATCTAGTAGTGTTTGTTCTGGGACTGACTAGTTACTGCTAGTCTCTTTTTTGAAGTGATTGCTATCATGGACGTCAAAATTTATTAAAGCTCAATTCATGACAACTTTGTAGTTAACACCTAAACATTTTTTTTTGAAATCCAATAACAACAGTGTGCATAAGGACCCGTAATTATGATATATTTTTGTGTATATGTGTGTGTACATGTGTATATATTTACTAATAGTGTAACTAGAAACTTGGTTTCAAACTGTGTCTATAAACTTAGATTCACATTCTTGAAGACTTCTTTGAACTATTAGTCACTTAGGATGTTAGTTGAAAAAGATATCATCGTACTAAAGCAGTCCTAGTAGTCACTGCAATTTTGCTCATCTTTTAGAACTTCTTTTCCTAGTTTCAGTTTGACATTCCTCTGACATGAATTTGAAAAGTATATCTTAGCTTTGTAAAATTCACATCAACATCTGTTCACCACTATAAAAGTTTATAGTTATGTGGAAATTTAAAATGTAAATCAGATATCATTTTCTGTTACAACTTTCGATTAAAAAGAAATGGCTAGATTTTAAGGGAATCTATGTTAGCAGAAGGATTCTCAAATAAATACCTTTTTACGGTAGAATCTAAGTTCACGCTAGCCAATGTCATTTTTCTCTTTTGGTGTCCTTTTGTGTTTTTGACATACAATGGGAAACAAGAGCCTTCTCCAAAATACTGCTAGTAGAAAAAATTAAAACTTGGTAATACAGGGTAATCTCCTGTCCTAGTCTACATTTTCTTAGGGATGATAGTAGTGTTCCTGAGGAAAGTTGAAGGCTAGTTCTTCCACTTTCAAACTTGCTTCAAATTTCTCCATCAAAAAAGAGAGGTTTCTCTGACCTAGAATGAGGTAAACTTCAATAATGGGGACAATGTTAGTGAAAAGGCTTTACACACTGTTAAGTGATTTACAAAACTACCTCAAATAATAGAAACTCAATAATGGCTTTGGAATGAGTGAAGGTACAGAAGGAAAACTGCACAATAAAAGCAGAGAAAAAAGTCAGACCCTTGCTATGAAAGAGAGGCTTTTTATCCAATGGCATTGTAAGTTATTTACTCTTTTATTCCTCTTAACAAATGAAATGTATTAGGAAAATTAGTGTTCAGACAATATGTTAAACTTAAGGAAATCAGAACTTTGTGAGTAATTCATCAGCATCTCACATGCTTGAGTGTTGGGAATTTAAAAATAGAAGAGTGCTGAAATTTATGGCATCTAAAGTTGAATGTCTATAATAAGTAAAAAATAATGTCATGGAGTCTTTCATTTTCAGTTTTCACAATTCAACTTATCTACAAACCTCTTCTGTTTTCATTGTAAATAGTAAACCTAGCTATCACTGTAAAGTCAGCTAATAGGTAAAAATGCTCATTTATCACATTTTGATTCTTTGACTCCAATCAGTAAGATAAATGAACGGACTTTGGTGTCAGAGATACCTACCTTTGCAATTACTCTCAGCTCTGAAAGTGTTTCTTCATCTGAAAGTGGTCATAATGGTACTTATCTTTTAGAGTTGTTAAGTATTAAGATATGTGATATGTGAAAGGTGTTTCAGTCCGGTGTCTAAATGCACAAGAAATGGTGGCTATTATCAAAACAACTTTCAGTGGTCCTGTCTGGTTAGGGTGACCATGTAATTTATCATCCAAGACAGGGAGCTTTTGAGAATAAAAGCAGAAGCTACTCATAATTACATTAGAACACGAGGCATAAACCAGGACTATGGGCAAACTGAGAACCATAGTCATCCTATTACTGACATATCCATCCTAAAGTAGGGTAGGCTTGCTAGACATGAAAGAGAAACAATACATAAACCTCTAGTTTAAATGTGACAAACATTGCAATTTGAAATTTTTTCTCCCCTTTTAATTTATTTGTGTTATTGCATGAATTGTAAGATAATAATTAAGAAGTGAGAACTGTTTTGTTGGTTTGGAATAGAGAGGCTCTGCTGTAGGACAGAACTGCCTTAGACACACACACAAACAAACGAAAACCTTAAAGGTGAACTGATCTCATTTTACATATAAAGAAACCAAGTTGAGAGAGGATAAATAACTCAATGAAATCCACAAAATTAGCGTAAGGGACACTACAAGTACAGTCTGAGTTTGCCCACTGTCTACTTTCAATCTCATTATAAAAATGGAGTGCCTGTCCCCTCCCATCTAAATATCCCTTATAATGGACCTTTGAATGAGCTCTGTCCATATTAACCAGAAACAATCTATACTTATCAGTACTGTGTTCCGCCCCCAGACATTTAAAATAACTCAAAGCATGCCTAGATGTATGAGAGGTTGGTGATTTTCACCATAAAATATATTTATTTTTGGCCCTGATGAATTTGTATTTACAATGTCTGATATTTAATTGTTTTAAATGAAAGGTGTTAATTTAGATCAGAGACAAGAATGAAAGAAGAAGGGTGTCACAAATTAAGATTTGGAGCACTTTGATGAGGATTTTAGATTATTTGAAGGTGTGAGGCTTGATAACCCAAAGAGATGAAAGTAAACAATGGAATTGGAAGAGCATAACATATTTCAGAGTAATAAGAGCTGACATTTATTGATTACTAGGTATATGGCAAGTAGCATAATGCTTCATATGGATTATTTAATCTTTGAGGTTGTCATATAATATAGATAATATCATTATTCCAACTTTAAAGATAAGGAAACATTAAAAAAATAACAAAATGTTAAATAGATATCCTTAAATGTGATTATGTAAACTATTATTTTATGTAGTTTACTTTGTTCACATATACCTCAACCTGTACCAAACAACAACAGCGCAACATTTAAGATGACTTGCAAAGATAGATAAAATACAGCATAATAAAATACATTTAAAAAAAGACAATGAGGCAAAATGACCATATGTTAGGAAAATAGGAGGAGCCAGAGACAGAAGGGTAGACAAAACAAGCAATAAAATAAGCACATTTGCTAAATATTGGCCACATTAAATCCAACATGAATGAAGAAATAGTAAATTACAAGACTCATGAGGTCCATAAAGTAAAAATAAAGCAACTTTTGGAAAAACTCTTTTGCTACTGCTATTGAGACCAGAGAACATTTTCTCTAAGGAGGCCTCATAAATGATAATAGTATTAATCACTAACATTTAATTCAGTACTTTGCTTCCGTTACCTCATTTAATCTTCATAGAAAACTGGTAGTTATTCTACTTTTAAAGATGAGAAAACTGAAGCACAGAGAGGTTAAAGAAATTCCTTAGAGTCACACAGCTAGTAAGAAGCAGAACTGTGATCCCAACCCAGGTCTATCTGGGTCCCCAGCCAGGGCTTTTATACTAAATCACATCAATTCTTGCAAGTTTCCATGCAGTGTACACTGGAATGAATTGGAAAGGGATTTTCCTGTTTCTCACCACTCCCCACAATAGGCTGCAATGAAATCATTCCAGGCAGAATTAGGCAACGACAATTCCATTGGTAGTCAATCTAACCAACAGTCAAGGATGGATGAAGCTGGAAGTCATCATTCTCAGCAAACTAACACAGGAACAGGAAACTAAACACCATGTGTTCTCACTCATAAGTGGGAGTTGAACAATGAGAACACATGGACACAAGGAGGGAAACATCACACTTCAGGGCCTGCCATGGGACTGGGGGCAAGGGGAGGGAGAGCATTTGGAAAAATAGCTAATGCATGTGGGGCTTAAAACCTAGATGATGGGTTGATAGGTGCAGGAAACCAACAATGCACATGTATACCTATGTAACAAACCTGCATGTTCTGCACATGTATCCCAGAACTTTCAAAAAAAAAAAAAAAAGAATGTATGTCTCACGCTTAATTCTTTTTAGGACACAGCCTTAGAACAGAATGTCACAGTTTGCTGGACAGCCTGTTATGTTGTGAATGGATAACAGGGATGGGGTGAGGATCACCTAAGTCCCCTGGATAACTAGTTGTGTCTTGGATAGCCATAGTCCCAGGCTGGTTGCTTCAGGTCTCATAAACTTGCTCAGTGATCTAAATAGATGGCAGAAACCACGATCTTCAGCTGTCGTTGCTCTTCCAAAACTACCTGAGCCTGGCCAAAGGGGTGCTACCACTTTGCCATCCATTCTAGCCTCCAGTTGTAGAGCATAACCCTTGCCCATTTGTAAAGGGCTCCATGAAAATATTGGAGCTGTTTGTGTTTCTGTACACAGTCCAAGTGTGGCCACACAAAAGTGGGGAAAGGAGAGTGAGGGACAGGGTAGGGAAGGGGTATCTGGCAGGTGCAGTTCAAGTAAACACATAAATATCTCTCTTACATAATAAATACTTCTGTTTGTGACTGAATGTCCTTCTGAGTTGCAGCGTGATGACTAACATACTGCAAATGAGAACTTCATTAAAAAAAACTTGGTATGAAAAAGTGTGATTGGATTTGAGATTCATTTCTACATTACATTAGATAGTAGAAGAAAAACAAGAGCTGAAGCTGCTTGAATAAAAAATGCCAACTGTTGTCAATCTTTAATTGGATATGAAAAATAGCCCTGGACTTCTTTTCTTTTTGTTACCAGCTTTCTTGAGGTATAACTGATGTACGATAAACTGCACATATTTAAAGTGCATAATTTGACAAGTTTGACTTATGTATATACCTGCAAAACCATCACCACAATAAAGAGTGACCTTATGGATTATTCTCAAAAGCTCCCTCTTGTCCCCTTCTCTTCTACCCGCTTGTCACTCACCTTTTTCCTGGCCAGTGCCGGTCTGCTTTCTGTTACTGTAGATTAAATTGCATTTTCTAGACAAGAGTTGGCAAACTACATGGCCTGTGGACCAACTGCCTGTTGTTGTAAACAAAGTTTTATTGAAACACAGCTGCACTCATTCATTTATGTGTTGTCTATGGCTGCTATTGTGCCATAATACCAGAGTCCAGCAGTTGCATCAGAAATTCTATGGTCTCCAAATATTTAATGTCATGCCCTTTACAGAAAAAGTCTATTAACCCTCATTCTAGAGTTCACATAGGTGGAATCATAGGGTATGTACTTTTTTTTTTTTCTGGATTCTTTAATTCACTATAGTTATTTTGAGAGTCATCCATGTTGTTGCATGTAACATAGCTTTTTAATTTTATTACTTTTATTTTTTATTACTGGGCAATAATCCATTGTATGACTATACCAAGATTTGTTTATTTATCTACCTGTTGATGTGCATTTGGATTTTTCCAGTTTGGGGCTATTATAAACAAAGCTTCAATGGACTTTCATGTGCAAGACTTTGTTTCGCCATACTCGTTCTTTATTTTTAGATAAATGCCCAGGAGAGAAATAATTGGCTTATAGAGTAGGTGTATGTCTAACTTGACAAGAAACTGCTAAATAGCTTTCCAGTTGATAGATCCATTTTTTTTTTATTCCCATCATCAGTGTATGAGAGTTTCAGCTCCTCCACAACCTTACCAATGCTTGGTATGGTCAGTCTTTTAAATTTTCACCATGTTACACACTACTTTGTGCAGTGGTATCTCATTATAGTTTTAATTTCCATGTTATTCATTACTAATAATGTTGAACATGTTTTACTGTGTGTATTTTCCATCTGTGTATATAAATGTATATATATATATGTATATATATATATTTTGGTAAAGTCTCTATTCAAATCTTTGCTTATTTTTATTTGGCTGTTTGTTTTCTTATTGTTGGGTTTTGAGAGTTCTTTATATCTGAATACAAGTCCTTTGCCAGATATATGATTTGTAAATATTTTATTCTAGCCTGTAGTTTGTTTATTTTCTTAACTTTTTTTTTTTTAATTTTGAGACCAGGAGTTTTAAATTTTGATGAAGTCCGATTTACTGTTATATTCCTTATGGATTATACTTCAGATGTTTTATTTAAGAAATCTTTACCTAGCCTAAGGTCACAGAGACTTTTCTCATGCTTTCTTCTAGAAGTTTTATGATTTTAGGTTTTATATTTAGATCTGTGATCCATTTTGAGTTAATATTTATATATGGTGTGAAGTATGGATAGTTGTTTTTTTTCTTTTTCTTTTTTTGGCATGTGGATATTTAATAGTTTCCTCACCATTTGTTAAAAAGACTAGATGAGGCCGGGAGCAGTGGCTCACTCCTGTAATGCCAGCACTTTGGGAGGCTAAGGCGGGTGGATCACGAGGTCAGGAGTTCAAGACCACCCTGGCCAAGATGGTGAAACCCCGGTCTCTACAAAAAATACAAAAATTTGCCGGGCGCAGTGGCAGGCACCTGTAATCCCAGCTACTCCGGAAGCTGAGGCAGGAAAATCGCTTGAACCCAGGGGACGGAGGTTTCAGTAAGCCGAGATCACACCACTGTACTCCAGCCTGGGCGACACAGTGAGACTCCGTCAAAAAAAAAAAAAAAAAAAAAAAAGACTAGATGATAGCGGACTAGATGCAGAAGATGGCTGACTAGATGCAGCTGCCACCGAGGGACCCGGACAACTGGCACACTCCTAATAGATCTCCGGAAGACAGTGACAGTGGACGGAGGGAAGACACAAGCTGAGCTCAAGGAAGAATCTGGGTACCCTGCAGAGCCCTACTGTGCACCTGGACTCCTTCCTGACATCCAACGACTACTCCTGGGAGAACGGATGAGTTGATCCGGAAATTAGCAACCCGCTCTCACTACGGGCTTCTGGAATCACAATAGCAGGAGACCCTTCCACACCATGGACACTTAAGTTGTCAGGGAGAGCTGCTTCGAGAAGTGGTAGGGGCAGCACACCAGCTGATGCGGAACCTAGAGCGTTTGGTGCTGAGCGTCTGTAGCAGACATGGCCAGGGACGGCCACCCCTCTAGGCTCTCTTTGGCTCCCATACGAGACTTTAGCCCTAGGGGAACAGTGGGGCCTAACTCTACAGCGCGGTCTTGACCATCAGACGGGGCTGGTCCGACCTGAGGGGTCGACTGACCCCTTCTGGGGCTTCAACCTGGCTGTGCCTGCTTTCAGGGCAGCCTCAGGTGCCCTGGTGACCTGTACCATAGCTCCTGTGCTGGTGGAACATGCCTGGCTGACAGAGGGCTCCAGCGGGGTGGCCCCTCACAGCCACGCACCAGCCTGCTTACTCCCTCCACTCACTGCAACTTCCCTGGGCCCATGGCAACCTTCTACATCGCTTTGCTGGCTCGTGTGTGCGTGGGCAGGTTTTGCTTTCCCTGCCCTACCGATATTAATATCAAATTAAATAAAAAGAGTTAGTATCTCTTTTTATGTTAGTATCAAGGTAGATATCATTGAAAAGAATATTATCGGGGCAAAGAATGTAGTTTCATAATGATAAAGAGATCAACTCATCAAGAAGACATAAAAGCCCTAAATGTTGATGCATCTAATATTAGATATTCAAAATTAATTAAGCAAAAACTGATTCAAATATAAGGAGGAATATGTAAATTTCAATAACTGTAGTCAGAAATTTTAATATTTCACTCTCAATAATTAATAAGAAAACTAGACAGAAAATCAGTAAGAACAGGCCTGTCAACTAATTTTATCTAAATGATATTAGTGATGTCACAAAATACTCCACACAAGTGCAGAAGAGACATTGTTCCTAAGTGTACACAAAACATTTACTAAGACAGACCATAATCTAGATCAAAAAACAAATATCAATAAATTTAAAAGAATTTAAGTCACATAGAAATATGAGCCACAATGAAATTACAAAAAGAACGCATAGCAGAAAGTTCTCTAGAGAATCTGTAAGTATTCAGAAACTAAACAACACACTACTAAAAAACTCATAGGTGAAAGAAAAGATGAAAATAAAATACAAAACATTTTGAACTTAATAAAATAAAAAGATAATATGTTGGAATTTGTTTGATGCCACTAAAACTGTACTTCGGGTGGACGAGTTAGTAATTATTGCCTAAATGCTTACATTAGAAATGAAGAAAGAGCTCATAGTAATGACCTCAACTTCCACCTTAAGAAACTAGAAAATGAAAAGTAAATTCAATCTAAAATAAGAAAGAAAAACAGAGATCAAAATTGAAATCAATAAAATTGAAAATGGAAAAGCAATAGTGATAATTAACGGAACCAATTTTTCTAAGAATATAAGTAAAATAAGTAGACCTCTAGCTACAGTGATCAGAAAGAGACAGGATATAAATTACCAACATCAAGAATGAGAGAGGTGATTTCACTACACATTTACACAAATAATCAAAGGATAATTAGTGACTGTTATGAATAACTTTATACCAAGGAATTTGACCACTTAAAGGAAATAGACAAATTTCTGGAAAGACGCAAATTACCAAAGCTTACTCGAGAAGAGATAACCTAGTTAGACTTGTATCTACTTAAGAAAGTGAACTTATAGTAAACACATTTCTACAAAGGAAAACCTAGGCCAAGATCATTTCGCTGGTGAATTCTACCAAGTATTTAAGAAAGGAATTATACCAATTAAACATAAACTTTTTCAGAAAATTGACAAGGAAGAAACATGCATAGCTCATTCTGTGAGGCCAGTATTAACCTGATGCTAATATCAGGCAAGGACATTGCAAGGGAAGATAACCATAGACCAATATAATTCATGAACATAGATGCAAACATTCTAAAAAAATTTTTAGCAAATCATATCCAACAATATATAAAAAGCACAATACATTATGACAAAGTGAATTTTATACCAGGAATTCAGGTTTGGTTTAACATTAACAAATCAATCAATGTATTTCACCATATTAAAATGCTGGAAAAAAATTAAAAGAAAATATTATCTTGGTATATGCAGAAAAAGCATTTGACAAAAATCTATCACTTATTTCTGATTAAAAACAAAACAACAAACAAAAAACTCTGAGCAAACTAGGAATAGATCTTTCTCAACCAGATAAAAGACATCTACAAAAACAACATCAAAACTGGCTAACATTATACATAACTGTGAAAAGCTGAGTGATTTCCTCCCAAGATCAGAGAAAAAGGCAAAGATGTCTGCTATTGCTATTACTACTTCTAATCAACACTGTACTGTGGGTTCCAGCCAGTGCAATCAGGCAATAAAAATGAATTTTAAAACATCCAGATTGAAGATGTAGAAACAAAAGTGTCTTTGTTCACGGATGACATTGTCATATATCTAGAAAGTTAAGTGGAATCTACACAGAACCACTAGAACTAAAAAAAATGAGTTTAGAAAGTTAATTGGAATCTACACAGAACCACTAGAACTAAAAAAAATGAGTTTAGAAAGTTGACAAGATCCATATATAAAAACCAATTGTGTTTCTATATATTAGTCACAAAAAAAATTGAAATTTAAAATAAAATATAGCATCAAAAATATGATGGGAACAAATTCAACAAAAATGTGAAAAACCTGTGTACTAAAAACTACAGAAGAGTGCTGAGAGAAATTAAACTATTTAGTAGAATCATAGGTCAAAAGAGTCAATACTATTAAGTATTGACTTGTTGCCCAGGCTAGAGTGCAATGGCACAATCTCGGCTCACCGCAACCTCCACCTCCCAGGTTCAAGCGATTCTCCTGCCTCAGCCTCCTGAGTAGCTGGGATTACAGGCATGCACCACCACCCTGGCTAATTTTGTATTTTTAGTACAGATGGGGTTTCTCCATGTTGGTCAGGCTGGTCTTGAACTCCCGACCTCAGGTGATCCGCCCCTTGGCCTCCCAAAGTGCTGGGATTACAGGCGTGAGCCACTGCGCCCGGCCCAGCAGTGTATTTTCTAAAAATTGACAAGCTAATTTAAAAATTCATATGGAAATGCAAAGAACATAAAGTATCCCAAAAAACATTAACTAAAACAAAGATGGAGGGCTGGTTCTTCCTGATTTAAATACATACAAATCTAGAATAAACAAAAGAGTGCAGCATATTGTGTAAAAATAAACAAATAGATGAATGAAACAAAACAGAGGGTCTAGAAATGTTCCCATGCATATATAGACAATTGATTTTTAACAGAAATGAGAAAGTCATTTCTGTGGATAGCCGTCTTTTTTAACCTTTATTTTAAGTTCAGGGGTACATGTGCAGGTTTGTTATATAGATAAACTCGTGTCATGGGGGTTTGTTGTATAGATTATAAATTGTCACCCAGGTATTAAGCCTAGTACCCATAACTTATTTTTCCTCACCCTCTCCCTCCTCCCACCCTCCATCCTTTGATAGGCCCCAGTGTGTATTGTTCCCCAATATGTGTCCATGTGTTCTCATCATTTAGCTCCCACTTATAAATGAGAATATGTGGTATTTGGTTTTCTCTTTCTACATTAGTTGGCTAAGGATAATGGCCTCCAGCTCCATCCATGTCCCTGCAAAGGCCATGATCTCATGCCTTTTAATGGCTGCGTAGTATTCCATGGTTTATATGTGCCACATTTTCTTTGTCCAGTCTATTATTGATGGGCATATAAGTTGATTCCATGTCTTTGCTATTGTGAATAGCGCTGCAACGAATATACACATACATGTGTCTTTATAATAGAGTGTTTTTTTTTTTTTTTTTTTTTTTTTTTTTTTTTATTGATCATTCTTGGGTGTTTCTCACAGAGGGGGATTTGGCAGGGTCATAGGACAACAGTGGAGGGAGGGTCAGCAGATAAACAAGTGAACAAAGGTCTCTGGTTTTCCTAGGCAGAGGACCCTGCAGCCTTCCGCAGTGTTTGTGTCCCTGGGTACTTGAGATTAGGGAGTGGTGATGACTCTTAACGAGCATGCTGCCTTCAAGCATCTGTTTAACAAAGCACATCTTGCACCACCCTTAATCCATTTAACCCTGAGTGGACACAGCACATGTTTCAGAGAGCACAGGGTTGGGGGTAGGGTCACCCATCAACAGGATCACAAGGCAGAAGAATTTTTCTTAGTACAGAACAAAATGAAAAGTCTCCCATGTCTACCTCTTTCTACACAGACATGGCAACCATCTGATTTCTCAATCCTTTCCCCGCCTTTCCCCACTTTCTATTCCACAAAACCGCCATTGTCATCATGGCCCATTCTCAATGAGCTGCTGGGTACACCTCCCAGACGGGGTGGTGGCTGGGCAGAGGGGCTCCTCACTTCCCAGTAGGGGCGGCCGGGCAGAGGCGCTCCTCACTTCCTAGATGGGATGGCGGCCGGGCAGAGACGCTCCTCACTTTCCAGACTGGGTAGCCAGGCAGAGGGGCTCCTCACGTCCCAGATGATGGGCGGCCAGGCAGAGAAGCTCCTCACTTCCCAGACGGGGTGGCGGCCGGGCAGAGGCTGCAATCTCGGCACTTTGGGAGGCCAAGGCAGGCGGCTGGGAGGTGGAGGTTGTAGCGAGCCGAGATCACGCCACTGCACTCCAGCCTGGGCACCATTGAGCACTGAGTGAACCAGACTCCGTCTGCAATCCCGGCACCTAGGGAGGCTGAGGCTGGCGGATCACTCGCAGTTAGGAGCTGGAGACCAGCCCGGCCAACACAGCGAAACCCCGTCTCCACCAAAAAAATACGAAAACCAGTCAGGCGTGGTGGTGCGCGCCTGCAATCGCAGGCACTCGGCAGGCTGAGGCAGGGGAATCAGGCAGGGAGGCTGCAGTGACCGAGATGGCAGCAGCACAGTCCAGCTTCGGCTTGGCATCAGTGGGAGACCGTGGAAAGAGAGGGAGAGGGAGAGGGGGGAGAGGGAGAGGGAGGGAGAGGGAGAGGGACGAGACTGAATACCTTCTAACATGTTTGTTAGCCATTTAGGTTTCATAATCTTTGCCTTCCCTGGTGGTCTAGTGAGTAGAATAATAATATCATCTAGGCTGGAATGCGGTGGTGAGATCTGAACCTCAACCTCCTGGGCTCAAGTGATTCTCTCACCTCAGCCTCCTAAGCAGCTCAATAGAGTGTTTTATATTCCTTTTGGTATATACCCAGTAATGGAATTGCTGGGTTGAATGATATTTCTGTCTTAGGTCTTTGAGGAATCACCACACTGACTTCCACATGGTTGAACTAATTCACACTCCCACCAACAGTACATAGGTGTTCCTTTTTCTCCACGACCACACCAGCATCTGTTATTTTTTTACTTGTTTTTTCCTTTATCATTTTAATAGGTTTTGGGGGGAACAGGTGGCGTTTGGTTTCTTGAATAGGCTCTTTAGTAATGATTTCTGAGATTTTGGTGCAACCATTACTGAGCAGCATACACTGTACCTAATGTATAGGCTTTTATCCTCCACCCCCTGCCCCATCCTTTCCCCTCCAGAGTTTCCATAGTCCATTGTATCATCCTTACGCATTTGTGCCTTCATAGCTTAGGTCCCACTTATGAGTGAGAACATATAATGTTTGGTTTTCCATTTCTGAGTTATTTCACTTAGAATAATGGTCTCCAATTCCAACCAGGTTGCTTTGAATGCCATTATTTTATTCCTTTTTCTGGATAAGTAGTATTCCATGGTGTGTGTGTGTGTGTGTGTGTGTGTGTGTGTGTGTATGTATATATATCTCACATTTTCTTTACCCATTTGTTGATTGATGGGCATTTGGGCTGGTTCCATATTTTTCCAATTGCAAATTGTGCTGTAGGTGATAAAAAGTCTTAAGACAGCCATTATTAAAAGCCAAAATTGACAAGGAAATTTGGTTACTTCTGTGTCATACAACCATTTTACATAAAAATTATAACTATTAATAACATACACTAAGTTATATCAGAATTATAGAAGTTTCTTATAATTTTGGAACACATACCAATAAAAGATTTATACAAATGCAGTGCCCCAAAAAGGCAAACACTATTTCATATTTGACAATACTTCCTCTATGACTTTTATACTGAATAAGCCAAATTTCACCTCTTCATTAGGGCATTATTGATGCCAAATCCAATTCTTAATAAAATGTTATAGACAAATGTATTCAGTCTTAATCAGTCTGACCATAAGGTAAGATTCTTATAATCATTTTATAACCCTTTACAAATTTTTGTTAAAGAGCAGATCGGTGCTCCAAGAAAAATTCTGTTGTACTTTTATTTTAATGTTCAGTTTACAAATAAACTGAATAATATCCCTTTAATTTTAGCCAATATGTTCACTCATATAATTATGTATTTATTTATTTTTTTGAGATGAAGTCTCACTCTTTCACCCAGGCTGGAGCGCAGTGGTGCAATCTAGGCTCACTGCAACCTCTGCCTCCCAGGTTCAAGCTATTCTCCTGCCTCAGCCTCCCGAGTAGCTGGGGTTACAGGTGCCCACCACCACGCCTGGTTAATTTTTGTATTTTTAGTAGAGATAGGGTTTCACTATGTTGGCCAGGCTGGTCTCGAACTCCTGACCTCGTGATCTGCCCGCCTCGGCCTCCCAAAGTGCTGGGATTACAGGTGTGAGCCACTGCACCCTGCCCATAGTCGTCGTCATCGTCGTTGTCTTCTTCTTCCTCTTCTTCTTCTTCTTCTTCCTCTTCCTCTTCTTCTTCCTCTTCTTCTTCTTCTTCCTCTTCTTCTTCTTCTTCCATTTCTTCTTCTTCTTTAAATCCTTTTAAATTTCTTATTACCTAACTCTAGCCATGCCAAATAGCCAATATTTCTGTGCTCAGGGAGAGGAAAATTCAAGACCGTTTGTGGAGGGGAAGACAATTAAAAAATGAGAAAGGTTGCCTAAATATCAAACCAGAAGAGTCATTCCTTACCCCAGTATTAAACCTGGGCTTCCTTTGTAAAATGGCAATGCCTTAACTGCTGAGCTACAGCATTAGGCGGTTTCCATTGCTTTTCTCAGAAGGAGTCCACAGCAGCCAATTTTGAGCTTGCAATGGCTTTTAACTACTCAAGATAATTTTGAGAGCTCACTATGACATAAACTCCAAAATTCCTGTTTCCTGGATGACAGAGACCAAGAGAAAGTACTGCCATGGGGTTACAAGGTCAAGCTCCCAAGGACATTTTTCAACATGTGGTCTCTGGACACAATGAAAGAATGGACAGTCACTCTGAGTAACAGAAAAGATAGAAAAAATAAAGGAGAGAAAGAGAGAAAAGCATGGCCTACAGCAGAGTGGGGAAGGTGAGGAGCTCAGGGAGGCCAGAGAAAGACCCACCCATTTCAGCAACACTAAATCAAAAGTTCAGGCAGCTGCTTGTTGGTTGTGAAGGGAACTTTTCCAGCAGTCCCATCAGCTCTCAAGTTTCCCCTTTTGGGGAGAAAAAGCTCCTCATGCCCTGTAATCCTGTACATGCCTAATCCTGTCACCCATAGCTGTCAGCAAAGAGTGCAAGGCAGATTAATCCAAAGAGAATAGTGGTTAACCCATCCCGTAGTGCCAAACCCATTCTTAGCTGAGAGGGCCTTTACTGAGAGGGTGGCCTCTAATCCCCTCTGACATTACTAAGTTGGGCCTTGAACACAAGTTTGGTCAAGCGTCCTTGACTTTTATTAAAAAGGCCTTTAATCAACTCTGTCTTAGGAGAGACTCTAACTCCCTTTACTTGGGCCTCTAACCTAATCCCATCCTTTACCCAGGTACCCCACCACTTATCCAAAGTCAGCCCATCAGTGCTGCAGTCTATTTCCTTTGGGTCAGGGGTCTCCTCAGTATTGTCCCTTCGGGGTTTGCCAGAAAGAAGTTACTGGAAAAAAGGGGTCCCAATCTAGACCCCAGGGGAGAGTTCTTGGATCTCTTTCAAGAAATAATTCGAGGTGCGTCCATAGAGTAAAGTGAAAGCAAGTTTATTAAGAAAGCAACAGAATGAAAGAACAACTATTCCATAGGCTGAACAGTCTATTTTTTTATTTTTAATAATAGCCTTTCTAACTGGTGTCAGATGGTATCTCATTGTGGTTTTGGTTTGCATTTCTTTAATAATCAGTGGTGTTGAGCTTTTTTTCATGTGCTCATTGGCCACATTGTGTCTTCTTTTGGAAAGTGTCTATTTATGTGATTTGCCAACGTTTTAATTTTTTTTTTGTAAATTTGTTTAAGTTCCTTGTAAATGCTGGATATTATACTTTTGGAGTTGTTTTGTTTTGTTTTGAGACGGAGTCTCGCTCTGTCACCCAGGCTGGAGTTCAGTGGCGCAATCTCGGCTCACTGCAACCTCCACCTCCCGGGTTCACGCCATTCTCCTGCCTCAGCCTCCCGAGTTGCTGGGACTACAGGCACCCGCCACCACACCCGGCTAATTTTTTGTATTTTTAGTGGAGACGGGGTTTCACCGTGTTAGCCAGGATGGTCTCGATCTCCTGACCTCGTGATCCGCCTGCCTCGGCCTCCCAAAGTGCTGGGATTACAGGCGTGAGCCACAGTGCCCGGCCTATTGCTGGATATTATACTTTTGTCAGACATGTAGTTTGCAAAATTTTTCTGCCATTCTGTAGGTTGTGTGTTTACTTTGTTGATAGTTTCTTTTGCTGTGCAGAAGCTCTTCAGTTTAGTTAGATCCCATTTGTCAATTTTTGCTTTTGTTGCAATTGCTTTTGGTGTCTTCATCATGAAATCTTTACCTGCGCCTGTGTCCTGAATGGTATTCCGTAGGTTGCCTTCCAGAGTTTTTATAGTTCTGGGTTTTACATTTAAGTCTTTAATTCATCTTGGGTTAATTTTTGTATATGGCATAAGGAAGGGGCCCAGTTTTAATATTCTGCATATGGCTAGCCAGTTATCCCAGCACCATTTATTGGATAGGGAATCCTTTCCCCATTGCTTGTTTTTGTCAGGTTTGTCAAAGATCAAGTAGTTGTACATGTGCGGCCTTATTTCTGGGTTCTGTATTCTGTTCCATTGGTCTATGTGTCTGTTTTTGTACCAGTACTATGCTGTTTTGGTTATTATAGCCCTGTAGCACAGTTTGAAGTCAAATAGCATAATGCCTCCTGCTTTGTTCTTTTTGTTTAGTATTGCCTTGGCTGTTCAGGTTCTTTTGTGGTTCTACATGAATTTTAAAAAAGTTTTTTCTAGTTCTGTGACAAATCTCTATGGTAGTTTAATAGGAATGGCATTGAATCTATAAATTGCTTTGCCAGTGTATTAGTCCATTTTCACACAGCTATAAAGATACTACCTGAGATGGGGCAATTTATAAAGGAAAGATGTTTAATTGACTCACAGTTCTGCATGGCTGGGGAGACCTCAGAAAACTTACAATCATGGCAGAAGGTGAAGAGGAAGTAAGGCACATCTTACCTGACAGCAGAAGAAAGAGAGATCGAGGAAGTGCTACACTTTTAAAACCATCTGCTCTCCTGAGAACTCACTATCAGGAGAACAGCATGGGGGAAACCACCCCCATGATCCAATTACCTCCCTCTAGGTCCCTCCCTCAACATGTGGGGATTACGACTTTAGATGATATTTGGGTGGGGACACAGAGCCAAACCTCAGGAAACTTACACATGGTGGAAGGTGAAGGAGAAGCAAGCACCTTCTTCACAAAGTGGCAGGAGAGAGAGACAGAGAAAGTGAAGGGGAAACTGCCAAACACTTTAAAAACCATCAGCTCTCATGAGAACGCACTATCATGAAAACAGCATGGGGAAGCCATCCCTATGATCCAATCACCTCTGACCAGGACCCTCCCTCGACATGTGGAGATTACAATTTGAGATGAGATTTGGCTGGGGACACAGAGCCAAACAATATCAGGGAGTATGGCCATTTTAATGATATTGATTTTTCCTATTCATGAGTATAAAATGCTTTTCCATTTGTTTGTGTCATCTTTGATTTCTTTCAGCAGTGGTTTGTAGTTCTCCTTGCAGAAATTTATTACTTTCCTAGTTAGCTATATTCCTAAGAATTTTATTCCTTTTGTGGCAATTGTGAATGGGAGTTTGTTCCTGATTTGGCTCTTGACTGACTATTGTTGGTATTAGGAATACTAGTGATTTTTGCACACTAATTTTGTATCTTGAGAATTTTCTGAAGTTGTTTACCAGCTTAAGAAGTTTTTGGACTGAGACTATGGGGTTTTCTAGATATAGGATTAGGTGTGCAAGCAGGAATAGTTTGACTTCCTGTCTTCCTATTTGAATACCCTTTATTTCTTTCTCTTGCCTGATTGCTCTGGCTGGGACTTACAATACTATTTTAAATGGGAGTGGTGAAAGAGGACATCTTTGCCTTGTGCCAGTTTTCAAGGGAATGCTTCCAGCTTTTGCCCATTCAGTATGATGTTGGCTGTGGGTTTGTCATAGATGGATCTTACTATTTGAGGGATGTTCCTTCAATACCTAGTTTATTAAACAGTTTTTAACATCAAGGGATGATGAATTTTACAAAAGCCTTTTCTGCATTGATTGAGATAACCATGTGTTTTTTTTTGTTTTGTTTTGTTTTGTTTTTTGAGACAGAGTCTCACTCTGTCACCCAGGCTGGAGTGCAGTGGCATGATCTCGGCTCACTGCAAGCTCCGTCTCCTGGGGTTCACGCCATTCTCCTGCCTCAGCCTCCCGAGTAGCTGGTACTACAGGCACCTGCCACCACGCCCGGCTAATTTTTGTATTTTTAGTAGAGATGGGGTTTCACTGTGCTAGCCAGGATGGTGTCGATCTCCTGACCTCGTGATCCGCCCGCCTCGGCCTCCCAAAGTGCTGGGATTACAGGTGTGAGCCACGGTGCCCAGCTAATCATGTGGTTTTTGTCTGTATTTCTTGTTTATGTGATGAATCACATTTATTAACTTGTGTATGTTGAACCAACCTTGTGTCCCAGGAATAATGTCTACTTGATTGTGGTGGATAAGCTTTTTGATGTGCTGCTGGATTTGATTTGCCATATTTTGTTGAGGATTTTTGCATCAATGTTCATCAAGAATATTGACATAAAGTTTTCTTTTTTTGTTCTATCTCTGCCAGATTTTGGTATCAGGATGATGCTGGCCTCATAGAATGAGTTAGGGAGGAGTTACTCCTCCTGAATTTTTTGGAATGGTTTCAGTAGGAATGCTACCAGCAATTCTTTGTCATATGGTATAATTCATCTATAAATCTGTCTTGTCCTGGGCTTTGTTTGGTTGATAGGCTATTCATTATTGATTCCATTTCAGAGCTCATTATTGGACTGTTTAAGGATGTAATTTCTTGTTGTTTTAGTGTGGAAGGGTGTATGTGCCCAGAAATTTATCCATTGCTTCTAGATTTTCTAGTTTAGCTATATAGAGTCATTAATAATATCCTCTGAGGGTTATCTGTATTTTTGTGTGGTCAGTGGTAATATCCCCCTTGATGGTTCTGGTTGTCTTATTTTGTATCTTCTCTCTTTTCTTCTTTATTAGTCTAGCTAGCAGTCTGTCTGTTTTATTAATTAAGAAAAACAGCTCCTGGATGTGTTGATCTTTTATTATTTTGTGTGTCTCAATCTCTTTCAGTTTAGCTCTGATTCAGATTACTTCTTGTCTTCTGCTAGCTTTGGGATTTGTTAGCTTTTGGTTCTCTAACTCTTTTAGTTGTGATGTTAGGTTGTTAACTTGAGATGTTTCTAAGTTGTTTTTTTTTTTTTTTTTTTGAGAGGGAGTTTCGCTCTTGTTGCCCAGGCTGGAGTGCAATGGTGCAATGTCAGCTCATTGCAACCTCCAACTCCTGGATTCAAGTGATTTTCCTGCCTCAGCCCCCCAAGTAGCTGGGATTACAGGCATGTGCCAACACAACCAGCTAATTTTGTAGTTTTTAGTAGAGACAGGGTTTCTCCATGTTGATCAGGTTGGTCTCGAACTCCCGACCACAGGTGTTCCACTTGCGTTGGCCTCTCAAAGTGCTGGGATTACGGGCATGAGACACAGTGCCTGGCCTCTAACCTTTTGATGGGGCATTTAATGCTAGAAATTTCCCTCTTATCACTGTGTTGGCTGTATCCCTGAGATCCTGATATGTTGTATTTTTGTTCTCATTAGTTTCAAAGAACTTCTTGATTTCTGCCTTAATTTCATTATGTACCCAAAAGTCATTCAGGAGCATGTCCTCATAATTGTATGGTTTTGAGTATTTTCTTAGTCTTAATTTGATCTGAGAGAGTGGTTGTTATGATTTCAGGTCTTTTGCACTTGCTTAGGAGTGTTTCATGTGTGATCATTTGGCCATTATTAGAGGATATGCCATGTGGCAATATATATTCTATTGTTTTTGGATAAAGAGTTCTATAGCTGTCTATCAGGTCCCTTTGATCCACTGCTGAGTTAGGTCCTGAATATCTTTGTTAATTTTCTGCCTCAGTGGTCTAATACTGTCATTGGGGTTGAAGGCTCCCACTATTACTGTGTTGGAGTCTAAGACTCTTTGAAGGTCTCTAAAAACTTGCTTTATGAGTCTGAGTGCTCCTGTGTTGGGTGCATATATATGTAGGAGAGTTAGGTCTTCTTGAACTGAACCCTTTACTATTATGTAAAGTCTTTTTTTGTCTCTTTCAATCAAAGTTAAAGTCTGTTTTTTCTAAAATTAGGATTGCAACCCATGCTTTTTTCTATTTTTGATTTGCTTGGTAGATTTTTCTCCATCACTTTATTTTGATCCTATAGGTGTCTGCATTTGAGATGTGTCTCTTGAAGACAACATACCAATGGGTCTCAGTTCTTTATCCATCTTGCCACTCTGTGCCTTTTAATAGGGCGTATATCCCATTTACATGCAAGGTTAATATTGATATGTGTGATTTGATTCTGCCATCATGATGTTGGCTGGTTATTACGCAGATTTGTTTGTGTGGTTGCTTTATAGTGTCAGTGATTTATGTGTTTAAGTGTGTTTTTATAGTGGCCAGTAGTGGTCATTTCTTTCTAAATTTAGTGCTTCCTTCAGGAGCTTGTGTAAGACAGGTCTGGTGGTAGCAAATTCTCTCAGCATTTGCTTGTCTGAAAAGGGTCATATTCCCCCTTTGCTTATGAAGCATAGTTTGGCCAGATATAAAATTCTGGGTTGGAATTTCTTTTCTGTAAGAATGTTGAATATTGGCCCCCAATCTCCTCTGATTTGTAGGATTTCAGCTTAAAGGTCCACTGCCAGTCTGATAGGCTTCCCTTTGTAGGTGATCTCACCTTTCTTTCTAGCTGCCTTTAACATTTTTCTTTCATTTCAACTTTGGAGAATCTGATGATTATGTGTCTTGGGGATGATCTAGTGAAATGGATTGGTGCAAAAGTAATTGTGGTTTTTGCACTGTTGAGATTTGTCATTTGATATTGGAATATATTTTTAAATAAATGTGTTTATGTTATACATCATTTTAATGCACATTTCTCACTTTATTTTTTTGTTAATGACTTATTGCTTGCTGTTCATTTAATATTTATTTTAGACTATCAAGATGATGTTAGACAAAAAGTAAATTTGAGTGATTTTCCCATTCAAGTTCAAAATAAGTCATAAAGCAGCAGTGTCAACTCACAACATCAACAATGCATTTGGCTCAGAAACTGCTAATGAACATACAGTGCAGTGGTGGTTTAAGAAGTTTTGCAAAAGAGATGAGAGCCTTGAAGATGAAGAGCATGATGGCCAGCCATCAGAAGTTGACAATGACCAATTGAGAGCAATCATTAATACTCTTACAGCTAAATGAGGAGTTGCCAAGGAACTGAATGTTCAGCATTCTACAGTTGTTCAGCATGAGAAGAAAATTGGAAAGGTGAAAAAGCTCAATCAGTGGGTGCTTCATGAGCTGAGTAAAAATAAAAAATTCATCTTTTGAAGTGTTGTCTTCTCTTATTCTATGAATGATAATAAACCATTTCTCTGTTGGATTGTGACATGAGATGAAAAGTGGATTTTATACAACAACTGGTGACAACCAGCTCAGTGGTTGGACTGAGAAGAAGGTCCAAAGCACTTCAAAAAGCCAAACTTGCACCCATAAAAAGACTTGGTCACTGGTTGGTAGTCTGTTGCCTGTCTGACCCACTACAGCTTTCTGAATCCTGGCACAACCACTGTATCTGAGAAGTATGCTCAGCAAATCGATGAGATGCACTGAAAACTGCAATGCCTGCAGCCAGCATTGGTCAACAAAAAGGGCCCAATTCTTCTCCATGACATTGCCTGACTTCACGTTTGCAACTAACGCTTTAAAATTGAACAAATCGGGCTACAAAGTTTTGCCTCATGTGCCATATTCACCTGATCTCTCGCCAAACGATTACCACTTCTTCAAGCATCACAACAACTTTTTGTAGGGAAAATGCTTCTACAATCAACAGGGTGTAGAAAATTCTTTCCAAGATTTCATCAAATCCCAAAGCACGGATATTTATGCTACAGGAATAAACTTATTTCTTGACGGCAAAAATGTGTTGATTATAATGGTTCCTATTTTGATTAATAAAGATGTGTTTGAGCCTAGTTATAATGACTTACAATTCATGATCCAAAACTACAATTACTTTTGTTCCAACCTAATATCTTACTAAGGTTCTCTGCATTTCCTGAATTTGAGTGTAGGCCTCTCTAGCTAGGTTGCGGAAGTTCTCATGGATGAAATATGTTTTCCAAGTTCTTACACTCTCCCCATAGTTTTCAGGGATATCAATAAGTTGTAGATTTGGTCTCTTTACATAATCCCATGTTTCTCAGAGATTCTGTTTATTCCTTTTTATTCTTTTTTCTCTATTCTTGTCTTCGGGTCTTTATTTCAGAAAGCCAGTCTTCAAGCTCTGAGATTCTTTCCTCAGCTTGGTTTATTCTGCTATTAATACTTGTAATTACATTACAATATTCTTGTAGTCTGTTTTTCAGCGCTTCTGTGTTGATTTTCTTCTATACTGGCTATTTTGTCTGTCACCTTCTGTATCATTTTATTGTGATTTTTAGCTTCCTTGGATTAAGTTTTGATGTTCTCTTGCATCTCAGTGATATTTATTCCTATCAATATTTTGAATTCTATTTCTGTCATTTCAGTTATCTCAGCCCAGTTCAGAACCCTTGCTGGAGAGGTAGTACAGTCTTTTGGAGGAAAGAAGGCACTCTGGCTTTTTGAGTTGTTAGAGTTTTTGCACTGGTTCTTTCTCACCTTTATGGGCTGATGTTTCTTAAGTCTTTGAAATTGCTGACTTTTGAATGTGTTTTTATTACTTTATTTGATGACCTTGAGAGTTTGATTGTGGTATACAGTGGGTTCAGTTGATTGGCTTCATTTCTGGAAGATTTTAGGGGGACCAGTGCTCAGCTCCCAACTCTTGGACTGAATTCTGTAACTCTGGGGAACTTGTATCAGGCTCTGACTTTGTTATCTGACTCCTCAAGTTTAGGGATCCACTGCACTGTGTGGGGCTGAGGTGCTTCCAGATTACTGGTCACTACACTCTGATGGGTGGTGCCAGCCAAAGCTTTTGTAGTGCTGTATCAATGAGATCTATTCTTGTTCGCATGTGCCAGTAGCAGCAGCAGCAACAGCTTAGCAGGGTGCACGCTCATCAGCTGCTGCAGGGTGCTAACAGTTGCCAGGCTACCTGCCTACATGTAGGCATTCACAGCAGTGGCAGTGACAGCATGACTCAGGGGGGTGGGGATGCCTGCTGCATCTGTGCACGTGATCATGTTGGTGGTGGTGTCAGCATGGGTGAGGGACACGGAAAGACACAGGTCTGTGTGCACTCTCTGTGCCCCCTCAGGCAGGGGTGATTGCTCAGGGCAAGGGAGGGTCCATTCTTCTCGGTGCCTAGTTTCACTCATGTAGCTGTGTTTGCACTGAGGTAGAGTTCTGGCTGGGTCTGTGACCCCAAAGGCTCTGACTGCAATGGTCTTATGTTAGGTCAACAGGGATGGCATGCATTCCCACCACAGCACTGGCAAGGCAGGGCGCATGCAAGCAGATATATGTTTTGCAAATATTTTCTCCCAATTCATATGCTACCATTTTATTTTGTTGATTGTTTCTTTTGCTGTACAGAAGCTTTTTAGTTTGACACAGTCCTACTTACCTATTTTTCTTTTGTTCTCTGAACTTTTTGTGTCATGTCCAAAAAGTCATTGCAAAGTCCAGTGTCAAGAAGCATTTCCCTTATGTTTTTTTCTAGGAGTTTCAGATCTTACATTTATGTCTTTAATGGATTTTTAATGAATTTTTATATATGGTGTAACATAAGGGTCCAATTTCATTCTTTTGCATGGAGATACCAGTTTTACCAACACCATTTACTGAAAAGACTATCATTTCTTCATTTGGTTTTCTTGGGGCCCTTATCAAAAAGTAGTCAGCTGTATATTTGCTTAGATTTATTTCTAGGTTCTCCATTTTGTTCCCTTAGTCTATGTGTCTATTTTATGCCAGTATCATACTGTTTTGATTACTATAACATTCTAACATAATTTGAAATCAGGAAGTGTGATGCTCCTAACTTTATTCTTTTCTCAAGATTGCTTTGACTATTTGAGGTCTTTTGTGGTTCCATATTAATTATAGGATTCTTTCTATTTTTATGAAAAATGCACCTAATCTGTTCATTATTTTAGGTGGTATGGATATTTTAACAATATTAATTATTCTAATTTATGAACACAAAATATCTTCCCATATATTTGTGTCTTCTTTAATTTCTTTTTATCAGTGTTTTATAGTTATCAGTATATAGGCTTTTTAGCTCCTTGGTTAAACGTATTTCTAAGTATTTTTTTATTTATTGTAAATGGGATTGTTTACTTGATTTCTTTTTAGATAGGTCATTATTGGTGAAAAGAAATGCAATTGATTTTTGTGTGTTGGTTTTGTATCCTGCAACTTTATTGAATTTATTTATCAGTTCTAGTAGTTTTTTTGGAGGATGAGGGGAGGGTTATTTTTGACTGGATGCCAAACATTGTAAATTTTATTTTTTGGATGCTGAATATTTATATATTCTTAAAAATATTTTTGTATTTTATTCTGGGAAATAGTTTGATTCTTTTGAGTACTAATTTTAAAATTCTTTAGGTAGGTCCAGAACAGGGCTTAGTCTGAGGTTGATTGTTCCGTACTGTGAGTCAAGACCTTCCTCATTAGTCTATTCAATGCCCTGTGAATTATTAGTTTACTTTGATTCTTTCAGATGGTTTCCTCCCTGGCTTTGGGTAGTTTTTTGTTTGTTTGTTTTTTGTTTTGTTTTATTTTGTTTTTGCATATATACATTGGTCAGTACTTTGCTGAATACTTGTAGGGGACCATTCACAGATCTCTGATGTTCTTTCTGTATGTAGTTCTCTTCTCTCTGGCATTCTATCAATGCTCTATAGCTGCCTTGATCACCCTAGATTCTCACCTCCATTTCTTCAATTCTGGGAGTCCTCTGAGTTAGGCTTTGTCTTCTTTTTCTATTCCTCCCCCTGAAATTCTTTTAAGGCTGTAGGTTGGGGCACTGAAGGGCTCACCGTTTTTTTTTTTTTTTCAATGTCTCTCAGATATCGCTATCCTTTGTTGTTTTATGTCCAGTGTCTTGGATATCATTCTTTCATCTATTTTTTATGGAATTATTGTTTGTTTCAAGTGGGAAGGGAAATTTGGTTCCTGCTACTTCATCTTGGTTGGATTTATATTTTTTGTTACCTATTTGTACAAATAAATTTTCTTGTTGATGGTGACTCTCAAGATTTTGAATACATCATTATTGAAAAATCTTGACCAAGGATTGTATCTAGCCATTTAAAGCATTAAACTTAATATTGAAAAACTGTATTCATGAAAACAAGCTAATGATTTTCATTAAATATTTTAAAATATTTTATTTGGACATATTATTCACATTAATAATTATTAGCTTCTCTAGTACTTTGCATTTTGTGCTTATAATTACACAAGAAAATGTAATGAATTTTAAAATCAATTCCAATTTAGATTCCCTTAAATCCCTCTAGTTTTCCACAGAGTGCTATACAAATATTATACTTTTTTATTTGTACCATTACATGAAAAATGTTTGGAAGTGTTGACTTTAAAAATCTGATTCCAGCAGCAAGCTGTCTCTCTTGAAAAATGTCTACAGAAATCCAATTTTATATATAATTTGGGGGCACCTTTAGGACTTCCTGAAAAACGATTCATGGGCTTCTTCATTCAAGCCTTTCTGTTCTAGTGAAAGGAGGGACTGCAGGCCAGCCTTCACTAATATTGTCTCTCTCAGCTGAGCATTTGAAAAATATTTATTAGGACTGAATTCAACTTTAAGAGTAAAAATGCATCTTTAGCAAGGGCTGGGTTCTACTGTCAATACTTACAGCTCAAGTCATGTACAGTTAAATTTACTTTTGAAAATCTCTTGATTCTCCTGTAAAGTGAAATATCCATGTTTGTGTATACAATCCTATTTTGTGATTCATAAAGATGCTGAACTTTGAGAACCCCTGAGTTTGAAGGAAAAAAGGGAATTTCTATATATAGATGTTTGGGTTACTATTACTGCCTAAGCTTTTCAGTCTCTAGGTTAAATAGGATAAATAAAGTTGGAAATGTCTAATGTGCACCTGAAGGTACAGGGTTTAGTTGGAATCATTTTAAGTGTAAACATCTATAACCTAAATACATGTAAACAGATTACTTTGTTATCATGAGGATTGAAGTATTGGAATCTTATTTTATGAATATTGGTGGAAGGTGAAAGTGGTTTGTATTCTAAAGTTAGGGTCGGGTTTTTTTTTTTTTTTTTTTTTTGGTATAGAGAGAATTAATTATCCTTAGTAAGCTTAGCAATTTGAGAGCTCCCAATGTCGACTGAAATATCATTGCAAATATCTATAATATTTGATTCACCCCTAAGCATGAAATAAAGCATGACCTCGTAAATTTTGAAAGTCTTTAAAGTTCAATGTTTTTTATATTTTAGGACATAATAAAGTTCAAATGCCTTAAGAGTTAGGTATGTATATGTCTATGTAACTTAAAAGATAAAATGTAAAATCTAACCACATAATTAATATGAGTAAAAGCCACAAACTTTTCTGAGCAGAGGATTCCATAATATGCCCTAAGATACTACTACCTCCTTCTAAAGTTTTGAAATCCCCTTTTACGGGGAATACAATAACGACTTCAGTTCAGTAGTCAGAGGAATAAGAAGACTCTCTCTAATTGTGAGAAAAAGAAGAATTGAATAGCCATAGTTTACTGGGGTCTTCTTTCATAAGAATGCATCTTATAACAGTGGGTTAATTTAGAAATATGCACAAATGATAAAAAAATGTACACGCCTCAAAAGATTTCTTGTTTAGGGATACACATGTATATGCTAAAATATTATGCACAAGAAAATAGGCAATGGCAAGACAAACTAAAAAATATTTGAGTACTGATGGTGCTTGGTTATTTCTGGCCCGAAGCAAAGTGATAGGCTGGGGATGGAACCCATAGATAGAGTCAGTGTAGGTCTCACTATGTTCTACTTTTTGACTTGGGTGATGGGTTTACAGATACTCATTTTTATTACTATGCTTTACAAGTAATATATTCATTACATCCATTCTTTGAAATAGTAAATATTAGATTTAAAATAATAATTAAGGATGTTATAAACTTGAGGAAAAAATTATACTATTAATATTTTTGTGTTAAAATATTATATTATTGATATTTTAAGTAGTTATAAACATGTAAGAGAATATGTCAGAAGCTTGGCAGCCCCTTACTGCTAATGGAAAATGTGTAACTGAGTAATTGATTCAGTATTCTGATGTTCAGAAAGTTTACCAAGTGAATAAACAGTGTTGAGATATTAATATTATTAGATTCAACATATTTATAAACTTAATTCATTATATTTATGAGTTACTTAATTTGATATTTGTGTTTATTAAGTCAGAGAAAAGAACTTTAAGAAGGAAGTAAAAGTCATAAACTCAAGAAATGTATTTAACATGTTTGAAGATGTGTGGCTAAGACTTAATACAACCAAATATTATTCAAAGTACTTAAATAACTGCTGAAATCTGTTAGATTTATAAGTAGATGGTATCATTGGTAATCTAAATTTCTAAGCTTGAGGAAGAATCAGGATTTTTAAAACTTTTTTATTTTAATAAATTTAACAGTAATGTTTAAACTAAAACTAAACTTCCAATCAATGTTTTCTGGGAATAAAATAACATATTCATAACACGTATTCAAAATATATTTAGATAACTTTCCCAGATAAGTGCAGAATCTTGGTCTTTAATAATCATTAAAGCTGGGGTAGGGTTGAAATCATCGTATGACAATGTAGTTACCTGAATAGAAGGACAGAGTAATTTCCTAATGAGAAAGCCACTTTCTGCTAGGAGATGAGTCAATCAATTCTAGCATGCTTAGTCAAACCTTCCTTAAAGTGAGTTTGGGTTCATTGTGATGCAAAGATATACTGTAATCATGGCCTCAAATTTTATAACACAAAGGAAGAATGCAACCTCTTTGTCCTGGGGAAACAATTCAAATTAGCTCTTACAAAATAGCCACCTCCACTTTTAAACCATGAAAATAACATAGACTATTAATGAAGACCAACTCAAAAGTCTACTATTCAAGTCAATGAATTAATGAATAAGTTGCTATCATAAAACTATTAGCCATTACAGTTAAAGGTGAGGTCTTTTCAAAAGGATGACACTGGTTTTAATATACAGCCATGCACTGCATAATGTTTTGGCCAGTGACAGACTGCACAGATGATGGTGGTCCCATAAGATTATTATACCATATAACTTTTTAATATAATATTGTATTTATTATTTTATTGCTACATTAGAAATGAAAATAAACTGTGAGAAGCTGCAAAAATGTGCAACCTCATGAAGATTATGGAGAACGGAGGTGCCCACTGTAGAAGGTTAAAATTGCCTTATCTTGTAGGGGGTACAAGGACTATATACACAAAGGGCATCAATGGTAAGATTATTGACAGCATCTGCCATCTGGAATTTATGCATCAATGGTAAGTTTAAAAGTAAGCTTAAGGACTGGGAGCGGTGGTTCATACCTGTAATCCCAGCACTTTGGGAGGCTGAGGAAGGTGGATCATGCAGTCAGGAGTTCGAAATCAGCCTGGCCAACATGGCAAAACCCCATCTCTACTAAAAATACAAAAATTAGCTGGGTGTGGTGGCGGGCACCTGTAGGCCCAGCTACTTGGGAGGCTGAGGCAGGAGAATCACTTGAACCTGGGAGGCGGAGATTGCAGTGAGCTGATATCGCTCTTGGTGACAGAGCAAGAGTCCGTCTCAAAAAAGAAAACAAAACAAAAAAGTAAGCTTAAGGAAACATTGGCCACTTCTGACCTCTTAGCCAAGGTGTACAGATGAGAAGACAATGGAAAATCTCTAACATTTCTACAAACGCACTGGTTTACAAAACCGAGACTCTCAAATGACGTTGAAATTTGCCCTTGGGAGGAGATCCCATTTTAGAATGTTTGAATATACTCTTTCTCCTGCTGGATAGTTTCCTGTGGCAGAAGAGTATTTTTTTCTTTGTTATTAATTTTCTTCAGTTTTTCCCTGTCAAACTTCCCCACTTTTGACATGTCTGGCTTATAACTCATCTTGACTAAAGAAAGCCTGTTGTTCACTCTGGACTAGATAGCAGCACCATATTCTTACTGTGTTTTTTCTATGTTTAGGTAGACAAATAGTATTGTGTTCCAATTGCCTACTGTATTCAGTGCAGTAACATGCTGTACAGGTTGGTGGCCTAGGAACAATAACCTAGGTTAGTAGAGTATGCCACCTAGGTTTGCATAAGTGCAGTCTATGATTTTCACACAATGACGAAATCATCTAACAACACATTTCTCAGAATGTGTCCACATCATTAAGCAACATGAGACAGTAATTGTTTTGTTTCTGGCTGCTATAAATGACAACATCAGCTGTTGAACAAGGCTGGTCTTGATTGTAATCATAAAAGTAAAATTTGTAAATTTAAAAGAAAAAAGCTTATATTTTCTATAGAAGGAAGATTTACATCCAAAATTGTTATTAAGTAAGTTACAAGTTTAAAGAAATGGGCATAATTTAGGTTTCAGATGGATCCCTTTTGACTCTCAACCCAGGAGCGGAGAAGTTTACAGTAGAGAAAATCTTGGGCTAGCTGTTACTTTGTGTTGCAATTTTCTTAGATTTTCTTGGGTCTTTTACTTAAAGACTTAAGACATTACATAACAATGAGCTTGGAAATAGTGTTTTTCTCTTTAATATATAATTCTCTTATGCACATACTTAGTTTGCAGTTGTGGAGTCTATAATTCAGCTCTGCAATGACATTGGTGGGAGTATTAAGTAATGAGTGCAGAGAATTGTACAAATGTAATACAACTATTAACTTTCATCCTGAAACTTCAGATCTTTTATAAATTACATTGTCATCACTAGTCACCTACGAAGTTAAAAGACCTGTTCTACAGTAAGAGACAAAGAATTGAAGAGACTTGCTGAAGGTCACCGAAGACTGAGGTTTTTATCACTTAAGAGGCCAGAATTTATAAGATTTGAACATGGATGCCTACTTTGAACTCAAAGGAAGAATGGTTTACTCTTTGGGAAGAATCTGGAGATCAATTCCTGAATGTAGGGATGACTTCTATTTAGTCATGGGATGAGGATAGAATGTAAACATATGTTTAAGCATGAAATGGATTGGGGTTACCTTAAGAGCCAGGTATTATGCTACTTAGGAGACACAAAACTATATGATGAGTCAGGCTATAGTGTGTATTTGGAAGATAGAGGGAGTGGTTGACAGAGAGAGAGAGAGAGAATGAGAGACAGACAAAGAGACATATAAAGAGAATGAGAAAATAATATTCTCTATAATTATGCCAAATTATTGACATATTTTCTTAAAAAAAAATTCACAGATCACAGTTATAGAAAAATGCATTGCTGTATTTTTATCCAAGTGTTCATTATATAAGGATAGAAAACTGTTCATTTAATTATATGAATAGCACTTAACGTCATGTAATCTTGTTTGAAGACTTATTTATTTGATCTCCTTTAGACAAAGTGACAATTCGATTTTCTTTAGCTTTGTTAGAAAACCCTTCATCTTCTAATTATATCTTTTGGTGCATGAGTAGACACAGAGCAATAGATAACACACTGACAACTTGCAGACCTAAGGGTGAATATCTATTATCACAACTCCTAGAGTTTAGACCAAACATTAGTGAAATTGATGTGTTTTTCTAGAGATGAAGTAGCAGAAAAGACTTTTTAGAAGAAAGGACTTGTCTTCTAAAATATAGGCAGCTGTTGAAAGTATTTAGACTAAAATTAATTAAAACAAATGCATAATAAAATAAAATAAGCAATAGAAATATGCTCCTCATGAAGGATAAAGTTCCTAGCTTTGTATGTGAGCAAAATGTACCGTCTTGAAAATTTTTCTAGGAGAAATGAGAGCTAAATTTTCAGCTCTGGCAGAGAATTTTAATTATCAGAGCAAGCTGAAGATTTAATGGATATACCTCTAGAATGTGAGTAAAATAAATCATGTTCCCCAATGACCGATTTCAACTTAATTTTCTGCTAGAAGTGAATAGTCCTGAAATTCTGATTACTCTTATTTTAGTGATGTCCAGTGTCCCTGCATTAATTTAGGGGTATCAGTCATTATTGTATTCAAAACAACAAATACAACTTAATGCAATGAATCACCGAGAATGACATAATTTATAGTGAATATCAAGATCTGCATCAAGGTTTGCTCAAACAATAAAGATTCATGACTGTGAAATATAAACTGTGGATAATAAATTTGTAACTTGAGGAAATTTTCATATAATGCTGTGGGAAAAGGTATATCAAACATTAAAAAATGAGTGTATGCTGGTGTTCTTAAATAAGGGGAGAAATCAAAAATCCTTTATTTCTTCGTAAAACAAAGAACTTTTATCATACAGTGCCTGTGACCTTAACCTCAAGAAAGAAATGAACATTACCTTCCTCTGCTTCCCATCCCTGCAATCAGCTTTTTTTTTTTCTGCCAAGGATAAAATCTGTTGTCAAATTACCCTATTGTCCTGAACAGTGGACAAATAATAGAAAAGCTTTGAACTCATAAAACATGTTTCATCCACAAAGTACAAAACACTTCAAAAAAGAATAACTCATACATTCACATAATCACCAAATCCCCTCTTGCTGGGGTGGTGATGGGGGTAGGGTAAAAGTTATAATTATGTGTTCTACTGTATCCAGGGAAAAATTAAACTTAGAAAAGTAAATATTCTCAGATAAGGAAGGATTGAAAATATCAATCCTTCAACAGGACTCAAAGCTTATTAAACTCAGTGATGGGCAAGTGGTTGAATGTGGATTTGGAAGAAATGGGAGTACACTAGGATTGGGACTGGGTGAGAGAGGAGCCTCAGATGACTCTGAAGATTGCACAAATGCCTCATTTCAGTTGTGCACTGGAGATGCTTCTTGGCCTCATCTTAGCACCAGCAATCCTACTGCTAGGGCAGTAGTCCTGCCTGATGTAGCACTGCTGACTAACCTTGGATATGTGCTTCTCTTTCTCTCTCTCTCTCCCTCCCTCCCTTTCTCTCTCTACAGTGTGTGTGTGTGTGTGTGTGTGTGTGTTGGTGTGTGTGTTTGTGTGTGTGTTTAGGGGTGGGTAGTGGTAGTGGTGATGTTGGATTTGATTGGGTCCAGACCAGGAGGAAATCCTGGCATATGGTAGGCATTGGCCAGGGGTGCCAAATGTCTGGGCCGCATCAGCAGTCACCGTGCACCTGCAGCCTTCCAGGCGCTCTGCTAAGCACAGGGCTTACTGTATCTCCTTTAGTCCTTACACACCCTTTAAATATGTATTATATAACAGAAGAACTTTGCGGAGGCCATATGTATTTCAGGATCAGGGTCTATGATTTGAACTCAGTTCAGTGTGACTCCAAAGGCAGTGCTCTCCATTCCGTGGTGGGATTTGTCCATCTCATTTGGTAACTCAGAGAGTTCTGATCCACAGCACTAGGTCTATTCTAAGACAAGGCAGTCTCATCCATCTGGCAATGGAAGAGAAAATTTAGTATCTTATGACCCCGAAGTCATGATTCAGAAAACTATAGTTTAGATACTAAACATGAATAGGTCATTGTGACTATTTTATTGTGATGATATTCAAATATATGACATTTTCTTTAGTGTTTTTTGCTTTTTTAATGGAATTATAGGGAACTCTATTTGTTCCTTACTCAATAAGCATTACAACCTTTTTTTCTTTCTAGTAGAATTTCAATTTTATTTAGGTATCAACCCTTTTCCAGTCAACCTCTTTGACTCAGAGGATGCTAAATCCAAGCTTAACTTCAGATGTGGTTTCTGATTGATTTACTGGTGGTAGTCCCATCACCACTAGCAACAATTGGTCCAGGAACCCAAACTTGAGCTAATCATTTAATTACAACTACATTGTATTCTTAGTCCAGGCATAGGTACTGATGATGTAAATTGGCCCAGTTCGTTTGAAATGAAGAACTTCAATTGCATAATTGTGGAAGTCTCTCTTTTCATTCTCTGGATGCTGCTATAGTTGTCACTGGCCTCTATCCAACAATCTAAAATGAACACAAAATTTCAGTTCAACAGAAGAAACAAGTCCAAGAGCCCTATTGTACATCGTGATGACTATGGTTAATAACGATATATTGTATGCTTAAAAACTGGTGAGTAGATTTTAAGTATTCTCACCACACAAAACATGACAGGTGTGTGAGGTAATGCACATGTTAAATAGCTTGATTTAGCGATTCAACAATGTATACATATATCAAAGCACCATATTGGATACCATAAATATATGTAATATACAATATATTGTACACCATAAATATATATTTTATATATTTATACAAATACATATTCAGCACTGTATACATATAACAAAGCATCATATTGTATACCATAAATATATATAAATATTATATATAATATAAATAAACATATATAAAATATATATAATATAAATAAACATATATATCATATAAAATATTATATATAATATAAACATATACATTATATATAAATATTATATGTAATATAAACATATACATTATATATAAATATTGTATATAATATAAACATATACATTATATATAAATATTATATATAATATAAGTAAACATATATATTATATATAATGCTTTGATGATGCATACATTGTTGCTTTGATATATGTATACAATGTTGAATCATTAAATCAAGCTATTTAACATGTGCATTACCTCACACACCTGTCATGTTTTTGTGTGGTGAGAACACTTAAAATCTACTCAACAGTCTTCAAGAATATATATTATATATAATATATACTATATTATATATAGTATTAATTATATATAATCATATATACTATATTATATATAGTATTAATTATATATAATCATATATAATATATTATATATAGTATTAATTATATATAATTATATATAATATATATATTTATATATAATTATATATTATATATATCATATATAATATATAATTATATATAAATATATATAATATATATAATATATATGATTATATATTATATATTATGTATATTTTATAATACATTATATATTATATATTATATAATATATAATATATTCAGCATCCAGAGAATGAAAATACATTTTATAATATATTATATATAATTATGTATAAATAATTATATTTTTATATAATATATAATTGATATATGTTAAATATATATATTATATATTATATATACTTATCTATATATAAATATTTATATAATATATAATAAATATATATTTTATATAAATATAATATATATAATTATGCAGTTGAAGTTCTTCCTTTCAAATGAACTGGGCCAATTTACATCAGTACCATGCCTGGACTAAGAATACAATGTAGTTCTAATTAACTAATTAGCTCATGTTTGGGTTCCTGGACCAATTGTTGCTGGTGATGATGGCACTACCACCAGTAAATCAGTCAGAAACCATATCTGAAGTTAAGCTTGGATTTAGCATCCTCTGAGTCAATATATATATATAATATATATATATTTTTTCTACTTGTCAATTAAAAAAACCAAACCTAGATGATGTAGTGAAAGGCAGGTCAGGGAGAGGAAAACAACCTGGGCTTTTTATAGTCTCTCTGAGTCACTGAATCAGCAAAATCTCAACTTTCTGTTTTTTTATGAGAAAATAAATGTGTTTACTGTCTAAATCAATTTAAGTCTGAGTTTACTTTTACTTTCAGGAATGAGCTTCCAAGCTGATGAGAGAATCTTTCATTTTTTTTCTTCAAAATATGAATGCCAATATTATCTGGTTAATCATAACATTAGTTGGAATTTGGAATGTAACCATTTTAAAAGCATAAATGTAAATATTTATGTAGACTTTTTACATACATTTATGTATAAATATGTACATGTTATATAGAAATATACATAATATACATGGCAGTTAATTATGTTTCTACATTCATTTTTGTATAGGTAGGGCATATGTTATTAATATTTTATATTTTAAGCTCTTAGAATATAGAAACTATAGTTCTAATTATTTTTTCTCTAAGATTCCCACTATAATCTTTTTGGTGATAACTAATGCATTCTGAAATAGAGGGTCTCAATTAGCCATTCTGACAATCTATCCAGTTCTCAGGAGTCAATAATCTGAGTTTAGACTGAATGTTACAAAATATGAATGAGAAGAATAAATTATAAATTTTGAGGTTAAGTCTAAGTCATGTTCTAGTAGAAGGTACAAAACCAAAAGCAAAGGGGAAGAAATGCAATGTGTTTGAAAATCAGTGAGGGTTCTTTTTGTCTTTGACTTGCCTTAAATTCCTTGTTTGAATTATGATAAAATCCTGTGGGTTTGATCTGGTCATCTCAACTTCCTGTCCAACAGCACTTTCTGCTTATCCCAAAGAAATATTCAAAAGGGAAGCAGGAGGTTTCTAAGGCAAAAACCAAAATGTGTTTCAGTTTCCTTGTGTAGTTTGAAGCACTGAAATCATGTAAATGTATTCAGAAGATCTTTTTTGATAATTTAGAGACCATGCTTTGTAAATGATAAGCAATACTTTTTAAAACATATTTAAAAACATTTCAAACCAAATCTACATAAATAAAAGGCTATTAGTTACCTGGCAAAAAAGGCCCCTCACCATTTGCCAAAAATTACTTTAATATTTGTGGAGCCCCTGATGCCTCAAGAATCAGGATTCCAAAGTTTCATAATGGCTGTACTAAGGCAGAATCACTTTCAACTTAGGGAATTCTAAAAATTAAGAGCCTGGAGCCACTTAGGAGTTCCTAAATATAGAGTTTGAAAAGGACTAGAATTTAATAATGTCCATGAATTAGACGAGTTTGTTGCACGATGGATAAGGAGGATGTCATACATGTGTATAGCATAGGTAGATACACTACCAAGCCATGGGGTAGTTTTGATATTATAGCAATTGGTGAACTCCAGGGAACATTTTCAAAAAATCCTACTATATTAAAAGTGGACTTAAATTACTACATTAACTTCCTCACTCCACCTTATACAATGTATTACTTTTCATTTCTGCATCATATGGATTCATGGTGGAAACAAAATTTGATGCAGCAATGCCCTTAAGGCAGACAATCAAATTAAAATGAAACTGGAGGATAGGTCTAAGCACCCACTAGCAAAAAGGTCTTAATAATTTGCTGTTACCACTCTGGAAAACAATTACTTTACCAGCTGACTAGTTATTTTAAGTAGGAAAAGTCCAGTTTAATGTTTTAAAAATTGAACAATGGCAATACATTTGCAATACATAATATTAATGATAGGTATATTCATCCTGCTTTCCCCTAGATGTAGCCATATTAAATGAAATTCCTCCTATATAACTGTAAATTTTAATTTCTTACCAAGCCAAGCATGAAAAATTATTTCAGGTGGTTATTAGAAATATGTAGGGGCTCTTAGAATTGCTCAACTAAAGTACCAGTTGGCATTTATTACTGCTCTTGTTACAGAATTTTGTTATATTTCTGACATTTATCCCACCATTTATTTGTGAGTGGTAAGAAATTAATATATCTAAATGTTAGGTCTTGTGGTAAGATGTATTTATAATTTCATTATTTGAGGTGGAACAAAACACTAATTTGGAGTTTGGAGAGCTTTGGAATATCAGAAAAACTTGCAAATCTGTATTTTTCTTATCTCTAGAAAATAATGAAAGGTCTTCATTGTGATATAACCTGTTTGAGAGTAATGAAGTGATGTATTTGAAAACAATTTTTAAAAGTGCAATGTGCTATATACTATTGTGAGATTTTATTTACATACTTGAGAACTAGCATGGTCTATCAGTTTGAATGCTTTCAGCTGCAAGTAATAGAACCTGCAGTTTCAAATGGCTTAAACATAAGGATATTTAGTATCTTAATTAACAACAAGTCCATGAGTAGGGTAGCTACAGGGTTTGCTAACTCAGCAGTTAAATGGCATGGTCATGGATCCACTGAAAATGTACTTTCCTTTTATAGAATCTTCCTATTCTTAACTGGCCAGCCAACTTGCCTCGTGATCAAATACGGCTACATCTTTCTAGGAGTTTGATGCCTTATACAAGACTTTCCTTGAGTCTCTTTGAAGAATCTATGAAGCCATTCCCTGAAATCTTTATCTCCTTGCCAACAGAATTCTCTTCATGTATGCCCCCTTCTTAAGTTAACCATTGTTAAGAAACACTGGATTTAAATGGTTGGTTTAGGCTCGCGGGTCCCTCCTTTCTTCCCCTCTGGCCCAGGACTGGGAATCGGGAGTCAGCCTTTACTGACTGTGCACAGCAGTACTGAGACCCAGGCTGGGGCAAGGAAGAAGGAGAGGTACTGACCCTTGTGTACAGACCAACAAATGTTGCTAAAAATGGCCTTAGATACAATCAGTTCTGTGTATGTTAGGGTGCTTTATATTTTTAGCACAACAAAGCTCTATGTAAATTAGCTTGATTAACAAAGGAGTTTTATTAGCTTAATAACTGAAAAGTGCAGAGTTCCAACTGATATCAGGCATAATTATATGCAGATGTTGAGGTGGTACTCTCACGGTTTCAGTCCCTTTTTGTATCAGCCTCTGGATTGTGTCCCATTCTGTAGACTGGCTTCATCGTTGTCTTCAGTCTGGCTTTTCAGCAGCAACATTGACTGCAGTTGTTTCAATTTTACACCCTTATACCACGTTATCTAGAGGAAAAGAGAACTTCTAGTCATTGTAGAAAAGAGAAGTTTAGATCCCAGGAACTCTAGCAAATGTCTTCTCATGGCCCACTGGTTCTAACTGGGGTCTGTACTCATTCTTAAACCAATAGCTGTGACTAGGGGGTGAAATCTGCTCATTGGTCTAACTTGGCAAGGGCCCAACCCTGGAGTTTAGGCAGGGTCTGTAATATCTAGACCTCAACACAGATCATGGGGTTGGTTGGTTCGTTGGTTGGTTCCTCAATCACAAGGAGACAAGGGAAATGGATGACAGGGAGGCTGTCAGAATATGTCCAATGTGTAGTTAAATTACAGATAGCAAAGTTGACACACATAGACATCAAAATGGCCTGTACCAGCACATGTTGATTATATACAGTGCCAGAATGTAGGACTTCTAACTCTCAAGGAGGTGCTTCTTCCACTATGCCACAATTTTTTCCCTTTATCCTTGAATATTGTCTCTCATCATAGTCTGTTTATTTGTTTACTTATTTATTACAGTCTTTATGAACAGTTCTATTGGAGACAATTTTCCATATTTGCACATTACATATATTTTCTTAGAGCTGAAAGAGTTTTGGCTCCCCATAAATTGAGTTTTCCAGACATAAACATCGTTTCAAATCTGCTTTGTGCAGAATGTGCTTGTGGTATTCTTCTTAATTTGATGTACTTTAGGAAATATAAAAGAAAGTTATGGTTTAACTCTTTTCCTATTGAAATAAACCCCTTCAAGACTCCCAACTATAAAAAGAGTATATATATTTTATTATATTCACAAATGCCTTTATGAATGAAGCTACAGTTAATAATCTCAAATTAATGCTTGTACATTGGTTTATAAAAATGATTATCATAATTTACAATCTGTTTGACATTTATTTTACATTGCAGCTATAAGGTATATTCTGTTGCCTGACAGCTTGACTTGTAGAGGAAGACATTACATGTGAAGAAAATCTCATTTGGCTTCTTCCTTTGGTCTTAACTATTTGCTTGGAAAACCCATGGGTAAATATCTAGCTATGATTCAGTTCAGACCAGCAGTTCTGTCATTTAAAATAAAGTTCTACAGTGGGTTTGAGAGAAAATTCAGCACACTGAAGAGTGTTACTTATCACAGTAAGGACAGTGTGACTTTATTACTTAATAAGTGAATACAACAGCTGGATTTTGGACTTGGCATATTTGGAGTAAACTAGATATTATGACAAGCCTGTGAATCTTTGTCAGGGGAACCTGGATTTTGGTCTCAGCGAGCTACCAGTACACTTTGAGGCCACAGGCAAGTAGCTCATTTGTCACATAAAGAGATGGCAAGGGACTGCTGGTTGTCACATACTTTTCATAGCATAAACTTTTAAACAAAGACAACTTTACGTGGAAGCCATTGCATAAACAAATGCAAAAATGTTCCAGTTGAATCAATGGAAGGCTCAAAACTCGGCCAGAACCCTGTTTCACTTTTCTGCCTTCCTCCTCTTCCTTCAGCTGCAACTGAAGTGTCTCAGCAGAACCCAGGACTCCACAAACTGGATTTTTCAAATTGCAGAAATAGGTGATTTATTTTAGAAACATTATTTGAGCATCTACCATGTGCCACTAAGTGGAGATGCAACAGTGAGAAAATAAACCAAAACAAAGTTGCAGCTCTCCTGGAGCTTATATTCTGGCAGGAAATGACCAAAAAGGCAAATAAATAAGCAAACAAGATAATTTTGAAAAGTGATGAATAGGGTGCCACGATGGCATTTTTGGTGAGTCTGGGGACTTCACTGTCCAATGAGGGCAGACAGGAAGGTATCACTTAGTAGGTGACTTTCAAGCTGGCTCCTAAAAGATCTAGAGGGAGGAACAAGCTGGCTTGTTCCAGGAATAGAAGAAAGGCCAATGTGGCTGGAGTGTGAGGAGGGGGATATGCAAAGACCATGTCAACTCCAGGCTTTACATCATGTTGAAGTTTGAATTCCATAATAAAAAAAAATGAGAAACAATTTGATTATTCCAAAGAGGAAATGATAAGTTCTGATAGTCATTAAAATGCTTCCTCTGGTTGCTGATTGGAGGATGGAAAGAGAAACCAGTTAAGAGAGTTTCCCGGGGGTCCAGTAAGAGCTGATCCTGATTTGCACAAGGGTGATGACAGTGTAGATGCAAAGCAAAGGGGGAAAAATAAAGTATATTGTGTAAATTGATTCAACAGGACTTCCTGATGGACTAAATATGTGGAATGAGGGATTAAAGAGGAAACATAGTTTTATATTTGAGACACTGGGTAAATGGGGTGACTTTACTGAAATCACTGGGGTTTAGGGAGAAAGAGGCTACAGTCATGGAAATAAAAAGTTTTGTTTAAGATTTATAAAGTTCGAGTTACCTTTTAGACAGCTAATTGGAGATGTCAAGTGGGCAATTTGATATATAAATCAGTGGAAAGTTCAGGGTGATATAAATTTTGGAGTCATTGACATGCAGATGATATTTAACGCAAATGGAGGGGATGAGATCACCTAGGGAGAAGGAGTGGAGATAGAGAAAAGGAGAGTGCTGAGGCCTGAGATGTAAGACATTTTAACATTTAGACCTTTCTAAGAAAATCTCTCAGGTCTTTCTTAGTGCAAAAATATCTAATTATAATTGTAAGAAATGTTAAATCTCCTTTACTGTATTTATTAAGCTCTTTTCACCTGCAACATTCTGTTATTGCCTCAGACTTCATTTCTCTGTCTTTTGCTTCTCTCTTTCCTCTTAATTGGAAATATGTGAAAGTCACTGCTTAGCATGACATCATAGATCTATTTGTTACATATATTGTGATAGTAAGTTGGCATCTTCTTTTGTTGAAGTTATGGGCTAGTGGCTCTTAGTTATGGGACTAAATGGCTTCCAGCTACTGGCTGTCAAACATTTACATGACTGTTGATTTGCGGCCCATGGAGAACTCACCAGCAACCAGGACTCATCTTGGATACTGGAAACAACAGAATAAGTCCAGTTTGGATAGTCACTTCTGAGGAGTCAACACTCAAAATCTTGCCTCCATTTTCTGTGCCAGCTGAGAGGTCCATTGGTGAGTATTTTATCCACTAATGGGGAAGCAGGTGGGTAGCCTACTGGGCAGAAATAAATTTTACCTCTGTGTGCCAAGGTGGGTGGGCTAATTCATAACCTACGGTAGGCTGGGCTATCCATTGTCAAAAAGACATGATATTCTATGAAGATTCTTACTCATGGCTTTCAGGCTTGTTCAGTTGAAAAGAGTATCCTAAGCACAAACCATTGTAAACAGAAATTGCCTATGCTGAAACTCACCCAAATCCAAAGATTTCCCTCACAGCACTTTTTTTTTTTTTTTTTTTTTTTTTTTTTTTTTTTTTGAGACAGAGTCTCACTCTATTGCCCAGGCTGGAGTGCAGTGGTGCAATCTTGGCTCACTGCAGCTTCTGCCTCCTGGGTTCAAGCGATTGTCCTGCCTCAGCCTCTTGAGTAGCTGGGATTACAGGTGTCCACTACTGCGACTGGCTAATTTTTGTATTTTTAGTAGAGACAGGGTTTCACCATGTTGAGCAGGCTGGTCTCGATCTCCTGACCTCAAGTGATCTGCCCGCCTGGGCCTCCCAATTTGCTGGGATTACAGGCGTGAGCTACTGCACCCGGCCAGCACTTTCAATTAATTAGAAAATTCTGAGGATTCTACTTTTAAGGTCTGTTTCAACTCTCACGGTATCTTCTCTTTTCCATGGCCATTACTCCTATCTATCCACTGTGATGTTTCCTCAGTACTAGTCATCTGTTGTTTACTGTATTGGTTAGCTATTACCACAGTAATACTGTGCAACAAACTATCTCAAATATCAGTGGCTTACAACAACAAATATTTATTCTTAGGCAGGTGAGTGGTTAGAGCCTGTCATTTCTGATGATTGATGGTTCCACCATCTATTTGTATCCTTTATTTGTAATGGTCCTCTGATGCCCTGGGTTAATACACCATTCTACTTTTTTCAGACCCACAGGTCATTTGGTTTGACAACATTTCTCATCTCCTTGATTATGGGGATTAGTTCAGAGATGGCCATGCATGCTGTGTAATGAATCTTAGGCCTGGGTTGTGATTAGCAGAAGAGAATCCTCCCTTCCCTCAGACAATGTGGGGAGATGCGGCATGTGCCCGGAAGAAGTGCACATTGTATTTTCAAATGAGGGGAAGTTTGGACCTGCTGGGTGACCCCTTGTGAAGTCTAAAGAAGTAACTGGCAGACAGGAAGGCAGAGAGGAGAGACAGAAAGAGCAGCTTCCTAATGGCATCATTTGTTTAAACCTTGCCTGAAACCAACAGTAGTTCTGAAGTTTTTGGTTAGAGAAGCCATACATTTATTTATTATTTAAGCCAGTTTGCACTGGGTTTTCTCTCCCTTGAAATTGAAAATATCCTGACTGATAGAAGACCTTAGATCACAGCATCATCTGCATTTGAGGGAATGCCAGCCCTGCCCTGCAGATAGAGACACTTAAGGGCAGAAGGGAAACAAATGTTCATTAAGTCCTGGTGCTATGAGCAACTTTCCATACATCACGTCATTTAATCCTCAGGCAATCCTCTGAGGTAAGGATTGTGCTGCCTAGATTTAAAGCAGTGGAATTGAGGTTCAGAGACTTTAGGGGATTTCCTAAACTTGACTCTCTCACTCTATTTCAGTGCTGTGTGAGGTGACAGAGAAAGCTGCATGTGGAAATGGTGCTGCAATTTATAATGCCTGCATTTTAGCCTTTGACTAATCAGTGCCTCATGTTATCCTCATTTTTGTCTCCACCTTTCCTATTGATTTCTCACTTTAATACATCTAAGCTTCAGTGTATATGCTGCCATATTATTACTGGTCCTTGTAGCCATCCTGACAAGAATGCAGACATACTGCTTGATACTTAATGTTCCAGCATAAACGTATCCACATTCTTGTTGAAGGTGGAGATGAAAGCATGTATTTAACAGCTCTGATCAATAAGACATTTGCCAAAATGAGCAGATTGATTTTATTTACACCTGCAGCAATGGGTTCTCTGCACTTCTCCTCCTTTGACTGCATATTGTTCAGGGCATTGACAGTGACAAGATGCCAAGGATCAATGCGAACAGAAGCCACATTTAGCAATGGTCGGCAGCATGTGGAGATTTAGCTACTTGTAATTAAAAGAGTTGAAAGAGAAACAGTTGAATTTTTGCAGCCAACTCTTTAAACTCATTAAAGAGCATTTCTTACCAGGTGGAAGGTTTACATGTTAACCATGATGTTCTGGAAAGAAACCATTAAATTGATTCTCTAAAGGAAAAGGAGGCTGAAACAGAAGCCGACTTCATCTGTGGAGGTGACACTGCAACAAGCTTATTTGTTCCATTGTCAGTGAGTTCTGGATCAGAAATTCTAGTCCCAGCTTCTGACAATCTGGGTAACTTTGACAAGTCATTTCTCCCCGTGACAGCTAAGCATGCTTCTAGGACTTTGATGGTGAAATCAATCTGTAAGTTCTTTATGCTTTTTTTTTTTTTTTGAATTGGTTTTTACTATACTCTGCAGTTCGCAAATAATGGCCCCAACTCCAGTACTGGATTTTTCTCTTCTTACCTTGTTATTCTTAAAAAATCTATAATTTTTGTCCACAGTGACTGTTTTCCCTAACAGCACATACAGTTTAATCCTTGGTAAATGTAGCCCTCAAAAATCCTGGATTTCAGTCTGAATGTGCCGGGTCTCTCTCCTGGTCCTATCATCCCTGAGTGGTACTTAGGCCAGAAATGCCAGACAGGCTCCATGTCAACTGTGAAAAAAAGGCCCTTGGGTTGGGATTTGCAAACCTAGCTATGCCTGGGCTCATTGAAAAGAATGATGTGATTGATTAGCAGTATCTGCCATGGCTGCCCCAGAGAAGGAGGAGTGGCACAATATCCTTTACAAGTCCCTGAAATGGGGTATTAGGACCTGATATGTTTAAGTGTTAGGCATGGACACGGAAAGGGACAGGGCAATACTTTTCACCCTGAGTTAGGCAGTTCTTTGCTTCTCAAGTTGTGGCTGCCACATTGGCGAGATAGATGGGGAGACATTCTGAAAACAATGAAGCTGGGAGTAGTTTCTCAGATCCTGGATAGCACAGTATAAGCCTTAAGGTGAAGAGAGCTTGCAAAGGAATCCCAGTCAGGGTCCTGAGGCAGGGCTTCTCAGTGTGTGCACTTAGCCTCTGGAATCAACTTCATCTAGATATCTGGCTGCAGGTCCTCAGAGGGTTAAACACAACTTGGATAATGCTAGACAAAGCCTTTTTTACATGAATCTTACTATGTACAATAACTATAATCTCTGGATAAACTTTTCAAAATTGATTTTTGCCAGGATCATCAACTCTTATTATTATTTTTTAACCACAATTATGCTTTTACTAGGGGTAGTTTTTTTGAGTGCCATCTCACCTTGAATAATTGAAGCAGTAGTTTTCAGAAAAGCTCTTGTTCAGCTTCTAATTACGACCCTTAAGGTAATAGATCGTAGTCTTAGAATAATTGGGCTATGTCAAATTAGGGCCCCCAAATTGGTCTACTTATTGGCCATTCAACAAATCATGCTCAGATCTCACATATTTCATGAAATATTCTGTTATGTCTTATCCACCCATTAATATGGATAAATTAAATTAATATGTATTTCAATTACATATACCAAATTATTTAGAATTACATCATGTTTACCTTCTTATTTTATATCATCCTCATTAAGAGAGTGATGGAGCTTGGTTTTATAAACTAACTTTTACCCTTACAAAAACCAGCACAATGCTGGATACAGCCAAATGTGTTCAAACATGTAAAATATTAATGTCAATATCTTGTTATTGTTTTTATTAAATAAGTCTCTTCCTTTGCTAGTCTGGCAAGAAAAGATTAATAGATCTGGTAAAGGGGAACCCATTATCTGATTCTTTTATTTACCGATATTTAGAAAAACCTCTATAGATCCAGGGTATGAGTTTGTCAAATGCTACCTTGTTCCATGTATTTAAATCACTTGTACCCAAGATGTAAAGAATATCCAAAAAAATGAAATGCATCTTTGGCAATATATAATACAACTCACTGTAGAAAAATCTATTTGAGCTACAGATGATATTGTCATGTTAGAATCACAAAAACTTTCTCATTTTTCCAGAGTGTTCTACTAATCAAATTTATGAAATCAACTTTTCATTTTAGAGGACACATTTTATGCCACATATACAATGCAGACTTCTTCTGAGTAAACTCTGAGATGTATGTAATAACTTATTTTAGAAAAATAAGAAAGCAAAAGCTTATCTTAAAGGGAAATACTTCAGAATGTTTGCATGACATCTGAAGAACTGCTGAGTATATATACATCCTTCAAACTTTTAAAAGTAGGAATTGTTACTATTGCTCCACACCCAACCTCCCTTTTCTAAATTTGATGTCATATGGAAGAGAGATAATTTTCTTTATGGTTTGAATTAGGCAAACAATTTGTGATGCATTGCATCTGGCCCTCTCAATAAAAAAGGACTAAAAAAATAGTTTGAATTCCATTGTGAATTAAACTAAAAATTCTGTTTTTCCAGATGTTTGTCTCTTGAGTGGGGATTATCTCGGGGGAAAGAATATTAATTTATAAAGTTTAAATCTTTAGGTTTTTGGTGGTGTTGTTTTATTTCCCTTACTTTCAGAATGAAAATATAGAGTCTCATAAGCAGTATATTATAAGTAAAGGCCAAAATTAACTGACTGAGGTATCTAACTTCTACCAAGGATTCATTACTTTGCTTCTAAAAGCCTTTTTATTCTCCCAGAGTCTTCCATTAAGACACAAATACTCAAGGACACTTGCAATTACCTTCACAGACTAACATAGGAGAGTGAAAGGTAGATTACTTGACACCTTATTAAATTTAGGCTCCTAAGAGAATAGGCTCCAGGAAAGGGAAATAGGTTCTGGAAAGGAGATGTAGCTATAGGAGAGAGAGGTAGGATATAGAAAGGAAATGTTGCCCGTGGAATGGGGATTTGGCAATGGAAAGAAGATGTAGGAAGCAGAGAGAGATTTGGATACAACAAGGAATAGCCAGCTAAGAGGAGGTGTTAGGACTGGGAAAATGCTGCCTCAAAGTACTTTGAATTGAAGGAGATTGAGAGGGCTTCAGAAACAAGAAGGTCATGTTGACCTTTCCCACCTTTCTGTTGAAAGCTAGCCCTAAAGTTCTTTGACCCACCTTGCCTGAAAGTAGGTCAAAAGACCCCCGCTTTCCAGAGGGTTCCTGCCTTATACCCAGGAGGAAGGAATGCTACACAGAGAGGCCAAGAAGAATATGAACTGATAGGGTTTGCTGGGTTTCAGAGCTTACTCCATTACCATTGGATCAGACCCTTTTGTCCAATCACGTTGTAGCAGGACGAGCGGCAGACAAAACTCCTCAGACACCGAGTTAAAGAAGGAAGGGGTTTATTTGGCCGGGGCATTGGCAAGACTCCTGTCTCAAGAGCCAAGCCCCCCCCCCCGAGTAAGCAATTCCTGTCCCTTTTAAGAGCTCACAACACTAAGGGGGTGCACGTGAGAGGGTCGTGATCGATTGAGCAAGCAGGGGGTACATGACTTGGGGCTGCATGCACCGGTAATTAGATAGGAACAAAACAGGATAGGGATTTTCACAGTGCTGGTCTATACAATGTCTAATCTATAGATAACATAACCGATTAGGTCAGGGGTCGATCTTTACCTACCGGGCCCAGGGTGTGGCGCCGGGCTGTCTGCTTGTGGATTTCATTTCTGCCTTTTAGTTTTTACTTTTTCTTTCTTTGGAGGCAGAAATTGGGCATAAGACAATATGAGGGATGGTCTCCTCCCTTAACGTGTCTACATGACTGTCCATTCTTCATTGAACCTCAGCATAAAAATAGACTGCTTTTCCAGGGTCTTTGGGTCTTCATTTCTAAAGGCTCCCATGTGACATAAAACTTGATTAAGTAAATTTGTTGTGTCTTTCTCTTATTAGCCTATCTTTTTTATGGAGTGTAGGCCATAGCCCTGATGATGAGTGAGGAAAGGTGTCATACCTTTCTTCCCCTACAAGGGGTTTTAAAATTTGCCTGATTATTAGAACCACCTGAAGAGGCTTAAGCAGGATAATTCTGTTGTTTTTTTTCTTATCATTCAGGGAAAAAGTAATAAATTATTCTCTTTTTACAATTTTTTTTTCAAACTATGGAAAAATCACAGGGCAATCAAATTTATAAAGGAAACTTATGCAGAGATGAGCATTACTATATGAAGAAAAGGAATGAATAGCCTTTCATTCTCGTTCTTGGTTCTATGCATTTAAAATGTAAGTTAAAAGTATTTTTCATTCTATAAACTGAAATGAATTGTTATCCCAGATATTTCATAGATGGAATTAAGTAGTTATATCTCTTTGTGGGCCTTAAAGAGATGTAATTATGATTTTTCTTTTTTTAGATCATTAAATACATTTTAGAATATAGGCACTGATGACTAGAAAGTATGGCTACTGATAAGAGAAGATAACTATAGTACCTTAAGTAACTATTCCTCCCTAAAGCTCATGTTTTTTTAGATAGAAAATAAGGTATTGTCTCAGATAATTAAATATTCAATGATTTTCTTTTCTCTTTTGCCTCTAAAACCAACAAATATATGGTATGTGTGTTCATCATCTTGATATTTTTTAAAGCTAGTAGGTAATATTTTTTCTGGTAAATTATGTATTTCAGTTGCTTGTCATACAATGATTTTTTACATGGAAAAACTTATAAAAGACTAAAGGCTTTTTTTCATTAAAAATTGGAAAGTTTTTTTTCCCAATTCTGTGTTCTGTTCAGTACTATTCAGTGATTTGAATCTTAACTAGAAGGAATAATACAGAATTGAATCATGTGCATTCCTTTGTGCATAACAATTTAGAACAGACTAGAGTGGTGAGTCTCAGTTTTGATCTTCTTTTTAGGTGAAGAGTCTTCTGGATCAGAACTGTGACTACTGCCTCCACTGTGTAAAGCATAGGTCTCCTAAAACATCAGCCCATCTATGATCTTTCTTTATGCCCCACACGACTTAATGACCCCATGACTTGGCAGAGTCGTCAGAGACAAGGCCCTGATTTGAAGCCTGTTTCTTAGCAGTGAACCAAAGAAATGTAAAGATGATAAGCGATTTTCAGTTCTCATTCAATGGTGATTTGAAAGTACAGGAAACCGTCGGGCACAGTGGCTCATGCCTGTAATCCCAGCACTTTGGGAGGCCGAGGTGGGTGGATCACAAGGTCAAGAGATGGAGACCATCCTGGCTAGCATGGTGAAAACCCGTCTCTACTAAAAATACAAAAAAAATTAGCTGGGCCTGGTGGCAGGTGCCTGTAGTCCCAGCTACTCAGGAGGCTGAGGCCGGAGAATGGCGTGAACCCGGGAGGCAGAGCTTGCAGTGAGCCAAGATCTCACCACTGCACTCCATCCTGGGTGACAAAGCTAGACTACATCTCAAAAAAAAAAAAAAAAAAAAAAAAGGTACAGGAAACATATTTCAATAAATTCTAGCAATTCAATTTTATAATAAAGTGATAGTTAATAATCTATGATCATGTGACTCTAGGTCTTTTTAAGCAGACAGATTCTGCAGGCAAAACTGCCAATAGAATGAGGTATTAAGTGCTGTGTCAAATAATTGGCATTACATGTGCCTAGTGTGGAATCTGCTGATTTTGCCTTTTGAGAAGGAAGAAGCTTCTATTTCCTGTATTTGTTATGTTAAAAGAATACCTTTACTCAAATTAAATGTAATAGAGTTAAATTAAGTAAGGAATGATTCATGAATTGGGCAGCCTCCTGAGCCAGAATAGAATCAGAGAGACTCCAGTGCAGCCACATGGTGGAAGATTTATGGACAGAAAAAGGAAAATGATGTACAGAAAACTGAAGTGAGGTGCAGAAACAGCTGGATTGGTTACAGCTTGACATCTGCCTTATTTGAACACAGTTTGAACATTTGATTCCCTTTGATTGGCCAAATTCGGTGACTGGTCCAAGAGTAGGTTACATACAGCCTCTATACACCTCCATTTAGGTTACAGTTTGCTACATACAAAGAATCTTTTAGGCTGAATTTAAAATGTATGAAGAGGCAGCTTTAGGCTAAACTTGATTTAACAGTTATCTACAAAACATTTCAACCCCAGGAAATCATATCGTTCTTACAAGGACACTAAGATGCAGAAAGAACATGTATTACACCTTCTCTTTTACAGAGAGAAACGAAGAATCAGAAAAGGTTAAGTGACTTACCCAGGAAGATATCATTAGAAAGTATTCAAAAAGTAGAGAATAAAATAATGGCCTAAATTAGAACCCAGAAGTCTGGACTCTGAATCTTCTGATTCAAAGTCACATGCTGACCTCCAGCTAAAAGATCTACTGCATTGAAGTGTGAGAAAAAGTTAGAGGAATCACTTTTACAGCCCAGAAGCTTATCACCCCAGGACAGAGAAAAGTGATTACCTAATCTCTGGAGCAAGACAATATGCTTGAAAACAAGGTAGAGTTAGGATGGGGATGGGGAAGGGCAAATGGAAGGAAGAAATAACTTGATACATTATTTTGAGCTCTCCTGTAACTTATTAAGGGCTTGCCTGAGAGACTTCTATACTGGAGAAAAGATTTCTTTCCTCAACCCTCGCTAGACTCAGGGCTGAGCCCCCTATATCTTGTTAAAGAATAGATTAACAAGAGGAAAGCATACACATTTATTTTATTTTATTTTATTTTATTTTATTTTATTTTATTTTATTTTATTTTATTTATTTGTTAGTTTTTGAGACGGAGTTTCTCTCTTTTTGCCCGGGCTGGAGTGCAATGGCGCGATTTTGGCTCACTGCAACCTCTGCTTCCCAGGTTCAAGCAATTCTCCTGCCTCAGCCTCCCGAGTAGCTGGGATTACAGGTGCCCGCCACCAGGCCCAGCTAATTTTTTGTATTTTTAGTAGAGACAGGGTTTCACCATTTTGGTCAGGCTGGTCTCAAACTCCTGACCTCAGGTGATCTGCCCGCCTCAGCCTCCCAAAGTGCTGGGATTACAGTCCTGAGCCACTGCACCCTGCCTACACATTTATTTAATATAAGTTTTAGGTGACGTGGGAGTCTTCAGAAATTAAGACTCAAAGAAACAGGAAAAACTGTATTTTTATGCTTAGGTTTGATAAAGAGTGGACAGTTGTACAGAAGCATGATAGGATAAAAGGGGGTATGATCTAATGGTAATAAACTGGGTTGAGGGGAAACTCAACAAGGCCTCTTTGTTTAGATTCTTACTTGTGTCTCTGTGTCTTCATTCTTTTCTTCTGGGTAGGGGAAGGACCACTCTGGAATGAGGGTCTTATCTACTTTCGAGGAAGGTTAGAGAATTCTTTTATGGCCTGCTACAGGGAAGAATGTTGAGAGAAGGTCAGAAAGATCTCCTGCTTCTGCTGTTTTCTCAAATGCCAAGGTACCATATTTTGAGGTAGCATGTTCTGAACTGGGTCATTCTGATTATAGAGATGTCCCATTGTGAAGAGAAAATGCCCCTAACTATCAGTGTCATTAAGACAAGCGTGGAGTTGAAGTCCAGGAGAAGCAGGTTATGAGGCAGAGAATGTTTTCTTCTACTCTCAGGGGATTATGGGAAGGAGAGTCCAGAATACCTCATGACAGGTAAGCGAGGTGAATCATGATAGGTAAGTGAGGCAGTCTCATGGCCCTTTTTCAGTTCCTGTGTGGCATAGCAAGGACACGTGAGTCCTTATTCCCCGTGAACATGTCCAGGAATGTAGCTGAGTTGGAAGCAAGAAGTTTGTCATGGAGACTGAATTGGTTAAAGCATTGTGATCCTATAGCCAAGGCAGAGAGTGGAACACTCACTTGGGAGAGTCAGTGGAGATTTTGTGAGTCTCTGTATATATGAGGGCCTAGGTTAGACACTGTGTGCCAGTAACTGCTGCCAGGCCCTCACCAAACAAGAGAAGGAAGCAGTACAACTAGCTAGTGTTGTCCAAAAGATGGGAGGAACTAAGGACCCTGACTGAGTAAGTCTTCTCTTCTCTTTATAATCATATTTTAGAAGTCACATCTTTTATTCATTCCCCATATCTCAGACATGCCAAGTATTGCTGATGAGAGGTTCAAAGATAGAGCATTTCAAAATGGGCTGAGCAATATTATTTTAAAAGGTTTTTAAATGATTGGGCCAAACTATATTTTAAGTTGAATAGCTACTCAACTAAATTATCCCATTAACTACTCAGCAGGGGCTCTGTGAGAAAATCAGATTATTTATCGACAAATTAAGAGATCTATATAAATTGTGGTGTGAGTGAGTGAATTTTGGACTCCACTACACTTGTATATTACAGAGAAATTGTGCATTGAAAGCTACTCAGTTATTCATTCAAAATAACTGTTCCCAAATTATGAGTTTTAGACTTTTATGTGGACCAACAGGTCAAACCTGGAAATGTTTAAAATTACTATAGCTTTTTATTTTACCAGTATTCATGAAGAACTGGATAAAAAAAAATTATAAAATAGCCCATAAAAAGCGCTTCCCTTAAATGGAAAGTGTTACTGTAAAGAAAAAAAAGGGAAATGAAAACGTTAGCCTGAGGCACTAGAGTCATGAATATCTAGAGACCTAAGGAATTCCATTTTCTCACCCATATGTGAATTGAAGGGAAAAGAGTGGAACATTTTCCCACCACCACTTTTGGACATGATATAAGCTGTCAACATTTCTAAATGTTCTATGGATATGAAAATGCAAATAACTCCATTCTGGTACTAGGGATGATGTTTGAGTTTATGCTGCATTTGATCCGGAGTCAAGTGCATCTGATCATTCAGCACAACTATTTCTTGACTTCTCTGGGTCAGATGTTTGATTATACCATTGTTTTAGCGGAAACCGTAAGTTCTGTGAATTGCCTCTTTTTTCCCCATGTTTGGAAGGTTCTCATTGTTAATATGTTAAATCTTTAATTGCCCACAGCTGGAAGTTTCCTTCAGTAATTATGAGATTCTTTCTGCATTTACATTGTTGATCATCCAGTGTGAAACTCTGTAATAGCCCTTATTTAACTCTTCTCGAGTGCTTGAAAAATCACCACTTTGGAGACAGGAACAAGATCTGATTAGATTCTTTTTTCCCCCTTTTGTCGTTTGAGTGGGTTCCTTTTGTTAAAAGCAGGCAGGTTTAAAATATTTAAAAATCATTCTCAATTGCTTTGGGGATTTAAATTTTTTTCTAGATTCAAACCTGGAAGCCTTGATCCCAATCTAAAAATTACCTTTTCTCCCTACTTTTATGAAGAAAAAAAGCTACTTCATCCATTTTTAATTTTTAGAAGCATAAAATGCTATGTATGTGCTGGAGAATTTTCATTCTTTTCCCATTTGAAAAGTGGTAAGTTAGCTGGTTTTCTTCCAAGACAGATTTATGAAATTATTATTACTTCACCTATTGTTATTTCATCCATTTTGAAATAAATTCTTTAAAATCATTTTTTGAATCTGCCTTTGGCTTAGTTTAATGTAAAGCTTTTAAAAAGCTTCAAGGAGAGCCACTGAGTTGAAAATGACAGCCCTCTACAGAGATTTATTCACCATCACCACTTAGAATCGATATTCTTTTGGTTGAGAGGCATGATTGTAATTTACATTATCACAGTACTCAATAAACATATATTAATTTCCTCTTCTCAAAAGAGAGATGAGGTTTCCCTCTAGGGTATGAGACCTTAGCACAGGAGTTGATACATACATTTTACATTTTAACTTTTCCATTTTAAACTTTGCCATAGCTTCTTATGTGGGTGACTAAAAACAATTCAGTAACTGCTCACCATAACTGTTTCATATCCACACAGAATCTCTGGGGGGTTTTCTGCATTTTTTGCATTTCCCACTGTGTATGTGTTCTTCAAATTCTCTCCTTCTGTGCAAAGGACACTTTCCTCAAGACCCATGTGTTCCCGGCTGGTTCACTGGACCTGAGTGAGGTTTATTGTGTAGCTGTGTGAAATCAAGTGTTCATTAACCAGTCTTCACCCTGGAAACATTTGCTGAGGGAAGCATAACTGTAGGGATTCAAGCGATACTGATGTGCACCCTTGACACAGGCACAACGTCTCTTCTTGGCTTATCTGGGTGAGAGAGATTACGCATGTACATTATTTTGCAGTAATAATTTTTACTAATGTCAATAACTTCTCAATAAGTAACTTCTCACAACATGTAAATGCTGTGCATGGATCATGCTACTTCATCCTTATCATGTCTTTGTGAAGTTGGTGCCATTATTTACAATTTTGGAAACTGAGGAACAGAAAACTGTAGTTAATACTTTTCCAAGTTCCAACAGCCAGCAAATGATAAAGGCAATGTGTGAATCCAGGCATTCTAACTCTAGAACTTCGGTATTTAATTTCTCTCCTGCACTTTATCAAGTGAGACTCCCATATCTTCATAATGTCAACTTGCTGGATGATGCCAGTGTGGTTCAGGTCCTAAAATTAGTGTTGCCTGCAATAACTACAGGTGGAACTATAGTATATTTGATTCTACCTTACAGATTTGTGTTTTGCACTTAATTCTTTATGATGTGTCACTTTTTAGATTTATTAAACATATGCATTCATATTACTTGTTGTGTTATTTAGGCCATGAGCTCAATCAGAATAGGGTCCCTATTTCTCTCCATCCATCCATCCATCCATCCATCCATCCATCCATCCATCCTATATATATATTGAGCTAATACCAAATACCAGGCCTTGGTATATCCTTTATCTACTAAATACATCTTGTTTCCTAAAACAAGTGGGTTAAATAACTTGTCAAGAGAGGAGAAAAATATCAGGGAAAGTGAGTACTATGAGGAGAAAAAGGAGAAGAAGAAGATAAGAAAGAGTATCACAGAACCATGGGAGATGGAGAGGTGGGAGCAGCAGGCTGACCACAGACAAAAGGACCTGGCCTGGAGGTTGACAAAGATTCTTTGCTTGGCCAAACTTTAGTCAGACCCTTGAGCCTTCTCTTAGGCTCATTTGTGTATCTCCTTGTAAAACCCAGTTTTACCAAGACTCCTTCTAAGTCAGTTTAGAAAGAACCTCCCACCTTCAATAACAAGTCACCCTCAATATCTGATGGGGCCCTTATCTTCCACCACCACTCAGGTGATGTCTAATTACCCTGGCCTGTCTTTAGCATGAATCTCCATTACCCTAATATTTCCTCACAGTAACTTTCCATCCTCCAACACCCACCCTGCTCCTTGGCTATAAATTCCCAGATGCCCATGCTGTATTTGGAGTTGAGCCCAATCTCTCCTCTCTACGGCAAAATCCCATTGCAGTGGTCTCTGCACCTATAGTGATGGTGCAAAATAAAGTCATTCTGACTGTGCTAGTATCACTGAATAATTTTTTTCTTCAGTGGGCATATATATGTGGTGGGTTATCTATTTGTGTGATAAGGCACATTTCTGCTTTTGATTCAAGTGATTATTTTTTGCATCTCTCACTGCCTCTAGTTCAGTAACCTGCACATTATGGATACTTCATTAACAGTCACTTTAAGAATAAATGAATCATGTAAATGCAAACTGGAAACATTAAATAAGAATGTAAATTAATCAGATAATCTGAAAATAAATTTTAGTAAACACATAAGATGGAGATCCTGGGTACACTGAAAGAATCTTCTTTGAGACTTGGGGTCTCTGATATGAGACTGATGAGTCATTGGCTTAGCTTAGCGTCACTTCTCCTTGGGAACAATACTGTGAGGAAGAGCTGTTTAAACCTGAAAATCTGATTGCTTCATTCTCTTGTTCATCTCGATACTGGTTTAATATCTTACTCATCCAAGATACCAGGGGTAATGGTTCTATCTAAGTGACTGCATTTTAAATTTTAAGAATTCCTTATAAATTGTTCTTGAATCTGTTTTGTTGTTTCCTTCCCTTGGTGGCAAAGTGGATCTGCGGAAGCATAAAATGTGCTTTACTCAATGACCTAAAAAAATTACTATTTGAATGTATGTTTCAGTTTAAAAGAGGCTTAAAGAAACAATTATGGAGTTGGGCAGAGAGGGGGAACATTAATCTACTATATTTTTTAAAGTACCTAATGGCTTTCAATTTATTCACGATATGTGACACAAACTCGTATATTTGGAAACCTGCAAGTATATGTAAATCGCATGTTTAAATTCCTTATGTCCTGAGCTGTTCAGGCCATAGAGTGATTCTGAAACGTAGCTGGAGGAAAGTTTACCAGTTGGCTGTGAGCTTGACTTAAGGTGCAGGTGTGACACATGAACTGTTATAGTCTCTGCCCAACCACAACTTCAAAAGGCATTCTCCCTATTCATTCCTAAGTGCATTCAATGGGCATGGATACCTGCTATGTGGACACCCAAGAGCAGAGATAAGCCTTGTATTATGGTTTCAGAGTTGTTTGTGGGCAATATGAGAGGTGTACAGTCAGTATTTTAAAGTGCTGCAAAGAGTTCTTTCTGGGTATATCAAGGGCTAGCCATCACGGGAGAGAAATGTGACAGATGCCCTTCAAGTTACCTTGCTGAGCGGATTTGTGGACTCGTGCTGCTGTTTGATGTGGCTTCCAGCAGACCTTTCATTAAATCCATGCCTTGGGCTGACCCACAGCACTCTGCCCCTGCTCCAGTGCCCTTCTCTGCATAGGCAAACAGCCAGGACCACAGAAGGTTGTGCTGATGGGCCCGGAGCCTCTTGGGGGCAAGAACTGCCCTGCCCCTGTCTCCACAGGCCCTGGCAGATGGGGCAGTGCCCTGCCTGGAAGAGCCATTAGTGTGACCAGATGTGCCCTTGGAGAGCCTGGACCACAATGAACCACACAGAAATAACAACTAGCAACAAGGGCTGATTACGTCTCCAAAATTTCAGTGATTTCAAATGGAAACAACTTAGAAAATGGTTGATTTCATGTGCGTCCGTGTGAAGAGACCACCAAACAGGCTTTGTGTGAGCAATAAAGCTGTTTATTTCACCTGGGTGCAGGTGGGCTGAGTCCAAAAAGAGAGTCAGCGAAGGGAGATGGGGTGGGGCCGTTTTACAGGATTTGGGAAGGTAATGGAAAATTACAGTCAAAGGGGGTTGTTCTCTGGTGGGCAGGGGCCGGGGGGTGGTCACAAGGTGCTCAGTGGGGGAGCTTCTGAGCCAGGAGAAGTAAATTGACAGGATTAATCACTCAGTTAAGGCGGGGCAGGAACAAATCGCAATGGTGGAATGTCATCAGTTAAGGCAGGGCAGGGCCTTTTCACTTCTTTTGTGATTCTTCAGGTACTTCAGGCCATCTGGGCCTATACGTGCAAGTCACAGGGGATGCGATGGCTTGGCTTGGGCTCAGAGGCCTGACATTCCTGCCTCCTTATATTAATAAGAAAAATAAAACAAAATAGTGTTGAAGTGTTGGGGAGGCGAAAATTTTTGGGGTGTGGTATGGAGAGAGAATGGGCGATGTTTCTCAGAGCTGCTTCAAGTGGGATTAGGGGCGGTGTGGGAACCTAGAGTGGGAGAGATTAAGCTGGAGGGAGGTCTTGTGGTAAGGGGTGATACTGTGGGGTTGTTAGAAGAAACATTTGTCGTATAGAATGATTGGTGATGGCCTGGATACGGTTTCGTATGAATTGAAAAACTAAATGGAATAAGAGAAGGAGAAAAACAGGTATAAAAGGACTAAGAATTGGGAGGACCTAGGACATCTAATTAGAGAGTGCCTACGGAGGTTCAGCATAGTCCTGCCAGCAAAGATTATTTATTTACTTCAAGAGTTAAGAGTGGCAGTTTGGGGATAGCACGAGGAGATATCAGCTGTGATGGCTTGGAGAAACAGTGTAAACCGGCAGTGTAAACCAGAGCAGGGCATGTATGAGTAGTTGAGAACGGTGAATAGGAGTATGACTAGACAGAAGATAGTAGGGATGACAAGTTATTTGGGGGCACAGTCTAAGTTAGTCTGGTGTCTGGAATGAGACTGGGGCCTAAAAAAAAGGAGTGTCTATACAGGAGCTTAAATGGGCTGTACCTTGTAGCATTCTGAGGACATGTCTGACTTCTGAGAAGGGAAAGTGGTGAAAGTATTGTCCAGTGCTTTTTAAGTTGGTGGCTGAGCTTGGCGAGGTGTGTTTTTAATAGACCATTAGTCTGTCACTGAATACTAAGAGCCTGAAAAAATGCTTGGCTGATTTGACTAATAAAGCCTGGTCTGTTATCAGACTGTATAGAGGTGGGAAGGCTAAACTGAGGAATCATGTCTGACAGAAGGGAAGAAATGACTGCGGTGGCCTTCTCAGACCCTGTAGGAAAGGCCTCTACCTATCTAGTGAAAGTGTCTACTTAGACTAAGAGGTATTTTAGTTTTTGCAACTCAGGGCATGTTGAGTAAAGCTAATTTGCCAGTCCTGGGCGGGGGCAAATCTTCAAGCTTGATGTGTAGGGAAGGGAGGGGGCCTGAATAATCCCTGAGGGGTAGTAGAATAGCAGATGGAACACTGAGAAGTGATCTCCTTGAGGATAGATTTCCATGATGGAAAGGAAATGAGAGGTTCTGAGAGGCGGGCTAGTGGCTTGTACTATAGCATAGCCTGCCTTTGCTGGTGTGTGGCGATTAGGCCTGGTGGAACTGCCATCAATAAACTAAGTGTGATCAGGGTGAGAAACAGGGAAGAAGGAAATGTGGGGAAATGGGGTGAACGTCAGGTGGATCAGAGAGATGCAGTCATGGAGGTCAGGTGTGGTATCCGGAATAATATGGGAGGCCGGATTGAAGTCCCGGCCAGGAACAATGGTAATTGTGGAGACTTAACAAAGAGTGAGTACAGCTGAAGGAGCCGGGGAGCAGAAAGTATATGCGTCAGGTGTGAGTAAGAAAATAGATTTTGCAAATTATGAGCGCTGTAGAGAGTGATTGAGCATAGTTTGTGATTTTGAGGGCCTATTAAAGTATTAAAGCCGCAGCAGCCGCTGCACGCAGACATGAGGGCTAGGCTAAAACAGTAAGGTCAAGTTATTTGGACAGAAAGGCTACAGGGTGTGGTCCTGGCTCTTGTGTAAGAATTCTGACCTCACTAACCATGGCTAGGAAGGAAAGGAGTTGTTGTTTTGTAAGGGATTGAGGTTTGGGAGATTAATCACACACGATCGCAGGGAAAGCACGTGTGTTTTTATGAGAATTATGCCGAGATAGGTAACAGATGAGGATGAAATTTGGGCTTGACCGAAGTAATGGGGGCTGTCTGTGAAGCCTTGCGGCAGTACTGCCCAGGTAATTTGCTGAGCCTAATGGGTGTCAGGGTCAGTCTAAGTGAAAGCAAAGAGACGCTGGAATGAGGGGTGCAGTGGAATAGTGAAAAAAGCATCTTTAAGATGGAGAATGGAATAGTGAGTTGTGGCGGAAGGTATTTTGAGGACAAAAGAGTGTACGGGTTGGGCACCACAGGATGGATAGGCAAAACAAATTGGTTGATAAGGCGCAGATCCTGAACTAATCTGTAAGACTTGTCCGGTTTTTGGACAGGTAAAATGGGGGAATTGTAAGGAGAGTTTATAGGTTTTAGAAGCCCATGCTGTAGCAGGTGAGTGATAACAGGCTTTAATCCTTTTAAAGCGTGCTGTGGGATGGGATATTGGCATTGAGCGGGGTAAGGGTGATTAGGTCTTAATGGGATGGTAACGGGCATGTGATCAGTTGCCAGGGTAGGAGTAGAGATGTCCCATACTTGTGAGTTAAGGTTGGGGGATACAAGAGGAAGACGCGAAGGAGGCTTTGGGTTGGGGAGAAGGGCAGCAATGAGATGCAGCTGTAGTCCAGGAATAGTCAGGGAAGCAGATAATTTCGTTAAAATATCTCGGCCTAATAAGGGAACTGGGCAGGTGGGGATAACTAAAAAAGAGTGCATAAAAGAGTGTTGTCCAAGTTGGCACCAGAGTGGGGGAGTTTTCAGGGGTTTAGAAGCCTGGCCATCAATACCCACAACAGTTATGGAGGCAAGGGAAACAGGCCCTTGAAAAGAAAGTAATGTGGAGTGGGTAGCCTCCGTATTGACTAAGAGGACGGACTTAACTTCCACTGTGAGAGTTACCCGAAGCTGGGCGTCCGTGATGGTCTACGGAGCTTCTGAGGTGATTGGGCAGTGTCAGTCTTCAGCTGCTAAGCCGAGAAGCAGTCCGTCAGAGAGCCTCGGGCCAGAGTTCCAGGGGCTCTGGGAGTTGCTGCCAGGTGAGTCGAACAGTCCGATTTCCCGTGGGGTCCCGCACAGATGGGACATGGCTTAGGAGGAATCCTGGGCTGCAGGCATTCCTTGGCCTGGTGGTCAGATTTCTGGCACTTGTAGCAAGCTCCTGTGGGAGGAGGTTCTGGAGGAACGCCTGGCCGCTGCGGTTCAGGCGTTTGGAAGTTCTTGTGTGCTGGAGATGTGGCTGGGGTTTGTCTCACAGTGGAGGCAAGGAATTGCAACTTTTTTTCTATTATTGTACACCTTGAAGGCGAGGTTAATTAAATCCTGTTGTGGGGTTTGAGGGCCGGAATTTAACTTTTGTAGTTTTATTTAATGTCGGGAGCAGATTGGGTAATAAAAAGTATTTTGAGAATAAGACGGCCTTTTGACCTTTTAGGGTCTAGGGCTGTAAAGTGTCTCAGGGTTGCTGCCAAACAAGTGATGAACTGGGCTGGATTTTTATATTTGATAAAAAAGATCCTAAACGCTATCCGATTTGGGATAAAGAAGAAGGAGCATTAACCTTGACTATGCCTTTAGCTCCAGCCACCTTTTTAAGAGTCAATTGCTGGGCAGGTGGGGGAGGGCTAGTCACGGAACGAAACTGTAAGCCGGACCAGGTGTGAGGCGGGGAGGTGATAAAAAGATTATAGGGTGGGGGAGCGGAGGCTGAGGAAGAATTGGGACCTAGCTCGGCCTGGCGAGGAGCAGCCTGGGGAGGAGGGGAGAGGTCAGATGGGTCTGTAGAAAAGGAAGATTAGAAAGACTCAGCAACACTTCGAGTTGGTACTGTGGGGACAGGTGGGAGGGAAAGAAGGAAGATTTGGGACGAGTTGCACTGGGCACAGAGACTAGGGAGGGACTGATGTGTAAAAGAATGCCTGGACGTCAGGCACCTCAGACCGTTTGCCCATTTTACGACAATTACTTAGATCTTGCAGGATGGAAAAATTTAAAGTGTCATTTTCTGGCTATTTGGAACTACTATCGAGTTTGTACTGGGGTCAAGCGGCATTGCAGAAGAAAATAAGGCATTTAGGTTTTAGGTCAGGTGTGAGTTGAAGAGATTTTAAGTTTTTGACAACACAGGCCAAGGGAGAAGGAGGAATGGAGGGTGGAAGGTTGCCCATAGTGAAGGAAGCAAGCCTAGAGAAAAGAGAGAGTAGAGACACGGAGGGAAGGGGTTCCGGGGTTCTTACATTCCAGAAAAGTGGGAAAGGGGTTGAGGCACGGATATAAGGGGCTGGGGCACAGAGATAAGAGGTCAGGGGGTGGAAATAAGGGATGGGGAGCAGAGATAAGTCAGGTTGTGGAAATAAGGGGTCGGGGTGCAGAGATGAGGTCAGGGTGTGGAAATAAGGAGTCGGGGTGCAGAGATGAGGTCGGGGCATGGAAATAAGGGATTGGGGCACAGAGATAAGATGTCGGGGTGTGGAAATAAGGGATTGGGGCACAGAGATATAAGAGGTTGGGGTGCAGAAATAAGGGATTGGGGCGCAGAGATATGAGGTTGGGGTACTTGCCCCTCCTCCAGAAAAGCGGGACTTGCCACTAAGAGTGAAGGAGAAGGGGTTGGGGGTTTCTTGCCCCCCAGAAAGGTGGAGAAGGGGTAGAGACACAGAGAGAAGGGGTTGGGGTACTTGCCCCTTCCCTAGAAAAGTGGGACTTGCCGCTAACCAAGGCAGGCGTCCCTGCGTGGTCTGACACTTCTGAAACGTGGGTGAATAATCAGAGCGGTGTCCCTGCAAGGATCAAACACCAAGGGAAGGCTGCCTTCCCTAGTCCATGACCGGCGCTGGAGTTTGGGTCCACGGATAAAACGTGTCTCCTTTGTCTCTACCAGAAAATGAAAGGAATTGAAATTAAGAGAAGGGAGAGATTGAAGAGTGGAAAGGAGAAAGTGGTTGAGGGACAGTGAGAGAGGTTGGAGAAGAGAGTAAGAAGAGGCCGCTTACCCGGTTTAAAATTGGTGAGATGTTCCTTGGGCTGGCGGGTCTGAGGACCTGAGGTCGTAGGTGGATCTTTTTCATGGAGCAAGGAACAAGACGACAGGGGATTGATCTCCCAAGGGAGGTCCCCCGATCCAAGTCACGGCACCAAATTTCATGTGCGTCCATGTGAAGAGACCACCAAACAGGCTTTGTGTGAGCAATAAAGCTGTTTGTTTCACCTGGGTGCAGGTGGGCTGAGTCCGAAAAGAGAGTCAGCGAAGGGAGATAGGGGTGGGGCTGTTTTACAGGATTTGGGAAGGTAATGGAAAATTATAGTCAAAGGGGGTTGTTCTCTGGTGGGCAGGGGAGGGGGTCACAAGGTGCTCAGTGGGGGAGCTTCTGAGCCAGAAGAAGGAAATTGACAGGGGTAATCACTCAGTTAAGGTGGGGCAGGAACAAATCACAATGGTGGAATGTCATCATTTAAGGTGGGGCAGGGCCTTTTCACTTCTTTTGTGATTCTTCGGTTACTTCAGGCCATCTGGGCCTATACGTGCAAGTCACAGGGGATGCGATGGCTTGGCTTGGGCTCAGAGGCCTGACAGTTGAACCATGGTAGCCTCTGGTATTATCTTTTGCCCATTTCTCATCATTGTATTTGCTCAGCCTGCCTGAGAGCTGCACAGCAAGATGGAATTTTATGATTCCATTTACTCAACTTTTGCTGTGCAAGGCACATGAGGGGCATGTGGTTCATGCACAACTAAAATTTAAGTAATGGTTGATTAGTGAAAAAATGAGCCCTGACTGGTAAGGAATTCCTTCCATGTAAATGAATCCTTGTGTTTGTAACATGAGGGAATTTCTTGTTTTGCTATGCTGGAGACATTTTAAAAGGTTTTACTGATTCGCAAAGCACACCTTCAGGGTTTATAGGAAGCAAACCTTTTACTATTAAAGGCAGCAACAACTTGGTGTTATGTATTTTGGGGAAATGGCTTCTATAAAGACACCATTAGAGTTTTTGTAAGATAACATTGTTACATAACTTCTCTTTGCCCACCTCACTTTGGTCCTCTTTGCCCACCTCACTCAGCATTCGTGTCCACCACTAACAGGGGAATTGATTGCTGTTGGGATGATTATTTCAGCCCTTTGGAATACTCAGAGCACCAGGCCCTATGTAGCTTAGAATAGGATTTTGCCCTTTTGTGGCCTACATATGCAAAGGATGCAAAGGTAGACCACTTTAAGGTAGGCACTAAAAGAAACTGATGGGGGAAGCCAGTCGATTAGCATTTGCTTGCCCCATACCCCAGGTTTAGATTTTGAACATAATAGTGCCTGACATCACTGGGCTGCTTTCGCATATCTCACTTTGCTTGAGTTAAGAGTGCCAATTCTAAGAGAATGGTGATCCTAATAAACGTACATTCGGAATCTCTTAAGCCTTGAGCAGAAAACTTTAGGTGGTGATAGGAGGGCAATTGAGTGGCTATAGAAGTGCCACTTGATTACACTCCCATGATCTTTCCTTCCTTCTAGATTTCTCTTATTCATTTCCTACTGCAAGTACCTTATCTGGTTCTCAGTGTTTAATTCTCCCTTTTTACAACTGTTTTTTTCAAAAACAACCACAGCGCCTTCCTTATTTTCTTCCTTAGGGATAAAGTATGCTGAAGTTTTCTAAAGGAACTTTAATTTAATCCAAAAGTATGGACCAACTACTATGTGCAGGTGCCAGATATTTAATAATGAACAAAACATTGTTCCTACCTTGAGGCTAACATTACACTTTTTATGGATTTCCCACTTTGAGAAATCTGTGCATTGAAACATTCAGTCTTATTTTCTTCATGAATTATATCCTGTAAACACACCCAGTACAAATATTTTATTAAAATATTTAATTAATATAAAAACACAAATAACAGCATTAAAGTTTATTGGCATAGTTTGCCAGATTCTCAACCTTTTGTCTGCTTTCCCTCCTTTAAGGCTTCTTAAGGTCTTAAGGCCTTCTTTTCCTCCTTCAAGGTCATCTCTGGACCATGGCTTTCTGACAGTCTTGTAACTTGCTGTCAACTGTGTTAAATAAGCTCTCTATTTCTTGGCTCTAGAGACTCGGATACATGATGGAGGTCTTCTCTAGACATGGTTGACTTCTTTGATGACAACCTAGTAGTCACATAAACTGCCCAGGAATCTCAAAGAAAGGTCATGATGTACCCCTGAAGAACGCCATCTTCTCTTATGTCTATTCATCTCTCTCTTTGGTATTCCATGTTCCTCTACCTCCCTCCAAAATTCTATCTCTGAAGCAGGCCTCTTACAGGTGGAGGGAGATGGGTAGTACATTTATAATTCACCTGTCCACATGGATGTGCACTTCCAGGAATTAGACTCTTTTTCCTCCCTTTTTGTGCATTTTCCTAAAGTTTTCTAAAGGGGAAAACATCCACAGAGTACAACCAGCATACCAGTGATCAAATTTCTCAATATGTGTTTGGTTCTGAGAGTCATAGCAAAAGCAGCCAAACTTTTTACCTTGCTCTTGTTTTGGACTAGGCCACTAAGTGACTCTGAGAAAGTCAAATAACTCCCAAGGGTTTCTGTTTTATAACTTGTTAATTGAGGGGGGTTATAGTTAGAGATTCCTAATGCTAACGTCCCATTCAGCTGTAAAATTCAGTGTCCTTGAAGGCTTTCTCTTCCTGTCTGCATCTCAAAGGCTTTCTCTTCCTGTCTCTGCTTTTCTGGAATTCCTACTTTCTTACCTTTATTGCTTTATAGTCTACAACAGCAGCATCACTCTGGCTTGGCAAATCATTAGAAAATACATTCTTGGGCCCCCTCAGACTTACTGAATCAGAAATCCTGTAGCCAGAAATGTGTGCTAATTCTGATGCACAGTCTGAGGATGACTGTTCTAGGGCTCTGTTGATTTATATGGTATTTTGGGCAGGAGTGAAGTCCAATGTGCTTTGCATCTCCTTTGGTTCAGAAAATACAATGAGTGCTAAAAATCTCCATTAATTTATTAAGTGTATGAGCATGATATTGAATACTACTTTATGTAAATTTATCTAAATTTCAACAGTGACTTCTACCAAGAGCTACATATCATGTGGTGAGAGAAAATAGTTCCTTTTTGGCTCACAAAGTGCCTTTTGTCTCATTCTTTCTCCCTTAGTTGACCTCTTTCTTCTGCAAAACTATTCCCCCATCTTGCATTTTGCTCTGTATGACTTATTGTTTTAATAGCCAATGTCATATTTTATGGAACAAGGAGACAAGGAGACTGAAGATTTGTTTAAATATATCATGATGCAAAGCTCCCCTACCATGGCCAAGTGGAGGACCAGTGTTTACTTTAGTATCTGAGGCCATGATTTAAAGCCTGTTTACATGGCTAATTATTAAAGCGTGATAAACACACTTTTTAAAAGACACGGGGAAAAGTGTATTTTTAAGTCTACCTTCTGTTTCTATTGGGCTACATTTCCAACAGATGGCAGGAGCATCTGGGAAGCAAGCCAGTTAGACTCGCTGATGGACCCTGTACTTACTTAGCAATTGCTCCTGGTCATTTCCTTGAGTCAAGAGTGCGGATGAGAGAGGCATTAGCACTGAGCTTAAACATAAAACCTGAATGGTCTACCAGACTTAAACCGGAAATAAAAGGATCATAAATTTGATAGAACTGGGAAGAATGTTGACTTCCTTGTATTTTAGAAATGATATATGTTGGAAAGAATTAATATGTGTGTGTGTATGTTTAATTATCAAAGGTTATCTCTTTAGTTTAAAGGACCGTAGCCAGCAGTAATTAAGTGTGCCATTCACTGCTGGCAACTACTTAGTTTACGTGCTGTTTTTTATTCCCATTTAGCTGTTTTCTGCTTAAAATACTCTAGAATTAATAAGGACATATATGTGACAGGGAAAACATCAACGTCTTACAATTAGTATCTCATAAAACTATGAATGGCAATATCTGAGAATGCAGTTACAAAGCGTGCAAAATTTATTCATGAATAGATCTGCAAGGAAACTTGGGTAAATACTGCAAAACAGTCACAAGACACTGAATAACTTTGCAATTCTGATGACATTTGTTGGAGACCATGTGTGACATAATGAAGGAATGTTAACATTTTGTAAAATGAGATGGAAGCAGCAGGATAAAAGGAGGAAAATATATTTTCTTTAAAAAGTAAAACAAATTTGACTTTAAAAAGGCAGTGATGAGATGACAATTCTGAAGTATAATAGAAAGAGTATTATTCTCAGCCTCAAATACCCCCACAAGAATTTCCTAATACACAATTGAAATTGTAAGTAAAATCGAGTAACAGAATTGTTGGGAATATCCAGACCATTTCACTTAAAAGCAAGGTTCAGTAAAAAGAAGAAGCTTTCAGGGGCTATTCTCCTCTCTGCTCTTTCACTGCTAGTCAGCATTTGTCTGCACCTGTTATGGGGCCCAGCCATTCTCCCCTCCAGTTCTGCCGTTGGGCTGAGGAATGATTTCACTAGGCTTTGAACAACTGAAAAACATTTTATCTTTTCATTTTGTGCCTCCACTTCCTGGTGTATAAGGTCTTCATTAGTGCTGAATGCTCCACGACTGAAGGAATCCATAGGGAGCCTCTGGCTCAACAAACTGCTGGCTTGATATCAAGCCCTATCCTCTCTTTATGTTCTACTTGTGCCCTCTGCCCATCTCAGGACCCTTGTTCAGATTCTGACCCCCCATTAGCTTGGTTGTCTGAAACGTGGCTTTCTGATGCTTCTTAGCCCAAGAGGGAAGTAGAGGGGGGAAGGAAGAATCTCTTGTGGGGAGGTTCTATTAAGAAGAAGGAAAATTGCATGGTAGCGGATTAATCACTTTATTTCCCTTCTTCATTCTATAAAGACATCTTAGGGTGGAGTGAAAATGCACACTCCCCTAATATGAATATTTTGCGGTCCTTTTGCAAAAACAATCAGCTAGGTCTTTGTCATTCTGAAAAGGCAATCCAGTGAGTTGTGATGCGTGTGAAAACAGGATAGGAGAGTAAATCCTTGGTGTTATTTGTGAGGAATATGGCAACTGGCCCCTTTTTTATCTTCCAAATCAATCTTTTCACTACTAGCAGGCCTGTAATTTTGTAGTTGGCATTTTTTTTCCCCACTGAATAGAAAAAACCATGCAAATACACTCATGCATTGATTAACAACATTTTGGTCAAAGACAGACTACATATGGGATAGTGGTCCCATAAGATTATAACGGAGCTGAAAAATTCTTATTGCCTAATGTTGTAGCCATCACTACATTGAAGCACAATGCATTACTCCAGTGTTTGTGATGATGCTGGTGTAAATAAATGTATTGAACTGTCAGTCCTATAAAAGTATAGGACAGGCAATTGGGTACAGTATATAATATTTGATAATGATAATAAATGACTATGTTGCTGATTTATGTATTTACTATGCTATACTTAATTGCTATCTTAGACTATCTCCTTCTATTTATATATTTTTAAAAGTTAACAGCCTCAGGCAGGTCCTTCAGGAGGCATTCCAGAAGAAGGCTCTGTTATCATAGGAGATGACAGCGTCATGTCATGTTATTGCCCCTGAAAATCTTCCAGTGGGACAAATTCTGGAGGAAGAATGATATTCTGACCTTGACCCTGTGTAGACCTAGGCTAATTTGTATGCTTGTGTCTTAGTTTTTAACAAGAAAGATTAAAAATTACAAATAAAATAAATTAAAACACAGAAAAATAATTATAGACTATGGATATAAAGGAAGAAAATATTTATAGCTGTACAAGGTGTATTTTAAGCTAAGTGTTATTACAAAAGAGTCAAATGTTAAAAAAATCAAAGTTTAGAAAGTAGTTACAATAAGCTAAGGCAACTTTATTATTGAAGAAAATTTAAAAAAAATAAATTTAGTGTAGCATAAGTGTACAGTGTTTATAATAGGTACAGTAATACTAGTACTATAATACTATAATAGTGTACAGTAATGTCCTAGACCAGCACATTCACTCACTACTCACTCACCAATTTACCCAGAGCAACTTCTAGTCCTGCAAGCTACATTCATCATAAGTGCCCTATATAGGTATACCATTTTTTATTTTTATACTGTATTTTTACTGTACCTTTTCAATATTTAAATGCACAATATTTACCTTTTGTGTTACAATTGCCCACAGGATTCAGTGTAGTAACATGCAGTACAGATTTGTAGCTGAGGAGCAATAGGCTGTACCATATATCCTAGGTGTGTAGTAGCCCATACCATCTAGGTTTATGTGAGTACACTCTATGATGTTCACAGGATGAAGAACTCACCTAAGCACATGTTTCTCAGAATGTATTGGCACCATTAAGCATGACTACATTTCTGGGAGATGTAATAATTTACCCTTTGTGCAATACATTAGTATTAGAGGGCTACAACATTAGAATATCTAATCATAAATTTATGCCACTATAGATGAATTTACCAGATCCTTAATCAAAAAAGGATAAGAAAAGAAGGTCTTTGGGTTAAGGGGAGACAAATTCCTACAGAGGAAAAAGGCAAGGGTGCTTAATAGTCGTTGCTATTTATCCATGAGAATGCTTGCACTGCCTAATAATGTCCTTGCCAGCTCCACCAAGGATCCCCCATGGCAAAAAGTGACTGTAGATGTGGGTGTTGAGTGTGTAAAGCCTCTTGAATACTCTGGGCTTGTCTCCAGTGTCTGGAAAGTTGTTTATGAAATGGTAGAGACAAGAACATTATTATTTAATTCTGGATATGTGAACCTAGTACATGCCTTATATTTCATAGGCATTCTGGAAAATCCCCACACTATTCAAAAAGGTGAAAACTATTTCAAATCAATTTATTTTAACAAATAACTTCATTTTCAGATTTGATGAGCCATCTCTGAAGTTAAAGAAATAAATATCCTACATATTTGATACCTTTGAGGAATGAAGTTCATGCTTACCCTTCCATTTTTTTTCTCAGTGGTTCAGTTTACAATATTTTATTTCTGAGTAAAATCCTGGAGTTACTTCCCATATACCTAGTCTCACCTACAAGGAATTACATGTGCCATTCATGACTGCTTGCCTTAGTTGGGGTCTTTGTGCTTTTTTTATGCAATGGTTAAGTTCTAGGTTCACTGCAGTTACTTCCACAGGAGAGGTGATTCATACTTTACTGAAATGCCTGGAACTGATGGCACTGGTAGGGCCTGTAGATCAGACTGTGAAATGCTTATCTGCACTGAGAGCCCTGACTGTTTCCATTACTGTTCTGGTCTCCTATGCTTGGTTAAGTTAGAAATTTCAATATTGTTTCCTGTTGCCTTCTTTCATTTTCATTTATATTACTCTTATTAGCCAATCTATTTGGAAACTAGAATATGTTTTTTGAGGCTTCTCTTTAGAATGTGCCAGAATTCTTACACATGATATATTCCAACACATTGAAATCATGAAAACAAATATTCCAGGATAGGAAAGCCATTTTCAAGCCCAAGACCAGCAACATAGGGAAATCAAAAAGCAGTAAACTCAACAGGATAGCAGTGAAGCAAAGGAACTTGGAAGGACCTTTGTTGGCCTGTAGTAATAGGATTTGACTGTTAATGATATTCTTGAGAGGGGAAATTGTCATGCCACTTCTGTGGGGCAGTTGCTTTTAGAAAGCACGTTGTTTTGTTTATTAGAACCACAGAATTTTAAATGTGGAAAGTAATTTTGTTTTATTTAGTCCAACCTTCCTTTAGGAGAGTATTTTGGTTTGGGGTTCCCCTGGAAGCAGAGCCCGAGGCAAAGGCTTCTGTAAAACTCCTTCACTAGAGGGTACAACCCTATAGACTGGAGTAAGGGACAAAGAGTGAGGAAGGAAAGAGGTCGGAGGAGGTGTTGTCAAGCAGGCTGCTGCTAAATACAACAGTTTGCTATGATCTACAGCACTCTCTTCCAAGAATCCATATAAACTGCGGCTCCTGACAGTGAATTCCAGTGAGAAATGGTCAAGAACACGTTTATTTTCCAGAATAATTTATTCTTTCTCTCTTTATTGCCTGATTTTTTCTTACTTGCAAACATTCTTGCTCGTCCACTTTTATTTCCAAATTGTCTCATATCTATTCAAAGCTATCTTCATCATGGCCTCACCCGCGTTTGGAATTGCATTATCTCTTACCTAGATAATTATAATCATCTACTAACTTACTTCTCCTATCCACTTTCATCCTAACTGAATCCATCTCAAACACCATGCCCAGATTAATCTAATACTTATACTCTACTTATAAGTATCTGTACTTCTTCATTATCTGCTCTGATATAGGTAAGTTCAAATTCCCTAGCCTGACTCTATCAGTTAAGATGCTTTAAGATGCAAATAATTTAAAAACCTACAATTCTAAATGAATTAAGCAACACTGGATCTTATTATGTCACAAATATTAAGACATTTCATAGATAGGCCCCTACCTTTGCTTCTTAGCAGTTCTCTTGGATCCATGTTCTCTTTCTCTTGTTGGCTTCATCCTCAGGTTGATGACAAAACAGCTATAAAAATTTCAAGTATCATATGCAGATCCAACATTGGAAGGAGTGGGAACATTTCTTTCTAATGTTTAATAGCAAGATGACATTTGCCAGTAGGCTCACAGCAGACAACTCTCTCATCTAATTGGCCATGTGCTTCTCCTAAACTAATCCCTAATAATGGGAAGATAATGCTGCCATGACTTACATGGGATGCTGAGAATTCAGCCTTGGGTCTGAGGATTAAATATCACTGGGTTATGCAAGACGGGGCAGACAACCAACTCTACCTATTCCATGCACTCAAGATCTGCCAGTTCTAATAAACTTTCAACTTGATTTCCCATTATTTACTTTTACCTGCATTGTATAATAGCCATGTCCCACTACTTGCTATAGTTCAATCTTTCCTACCTCTTCATCCTGTAAAATATTATTTCCTCATTGCTCCCTCCCTCTGGACTATTTTCAGTGAAACTTCCTTTTTTTTTTTTTTTTTTTTTTTTTTTTTTTTTTTTTGAGACGGAGTCTTGCTCTGTCACCCAGGCTGGAGTGCGGTGGCGCGATCTCGGCTCACTGCAAGCTCCATCTCCCGGGTTCACGTTATTCTCCTGTCTTAGCCTCCTAAGTAGCTGGGACTACAGGGGCCTGCCACCATGCCCAGCTAATTTTTTGTATTTTTAGTAGAGACGGAGTTTCGCTGTGTTAGCCAGGATGGTCTGCATCTCCTGACCTGGTGATCCACCCACCTAGGCCTCCCAAGGTGCTGGGATTACAGGCGTGAGCCGCCGCACCGGCTGGTGCATCTTTGTTAATGAATCTATGTCTTATCAATGAATGAAAAATGATTTTTCTCTTATCTAACAGCACGTTTTTGAACTCACATTATTTATCTGTCATGTCAGATTGTAGTCTTCTTAAAGGGAGACCCTGAAATATATTTTTACATTTATCCTATCCAAACAAGTAAGCACCTGTCCTTATACTTAATGGTTAGCATTTATTTTATGAAAAAGTAAGTTAAACCTCAAAACATGTCAGTTGAACCTGAGGGTTTTCAACTTAAGAATTTTCTTGCTAGTGGAGAAGTTCTTTTTTTCCCAGCTTCCTTGTGTAAGCCCACCACACAAATGGTCTAACTTCTTGAGCAGAATACTGCAGAAGGACCAGATTTTCTACAACTGAAACAAAGGGGTCACATTCACTCACTTAATATAATCCAGGAAAAAAGAAAATTACCAATCTATGGTGATCCATTGGAAATGCTCTGACTTATCAGATCTTGTCTGGATTTAGATCTTATATATTTAAAACATTTTTTCTCTATAGAAAAAAACTAATCATCACTTAAAGGACAAAAGCATGTTAACTTTTCAATGGGTGAATCTTTAAAATGTGAATTTGAGATAGTGAGAAAATGGTTAGAGGTTAAACATTATCATGCGAGAGACTTCCGGAGTAGACATATCTTGGTTAATGGAGTGTTAAAAATTGGCATGAATTTCCAGCAAAGAAAATCATTAATTTAAACTGCAGAGACCATGGGCTCATTCCTAGATTCAATAAAAAAAGATCTGACAACCCTTATGAAGAGAGAATTTAGCAATTCCGCTGTACCCCTAACTCCTTCACAGCCATTATGAGTGTGGAAAATCTGTTTCTAGCTATAAATCTCATGTCACTAAAAAAAATTCCAAAGAAGGTGCTCACTTCGGCAGCACATATACTAAAAAAAAATTCCAAAGAAGAAAACATTACTGGTTTGTAACTCAGAAATTCACAAGTACATATACATAAAACATATTTTACAAAATACTTACAATGTTGCTCCAGTTACTTGTACCTTCCCCTCACCCTCTATATCTCTGCCTATCATTCTCTACAGCCTTAACCTATTTTATTTTTCTTTATAATATGTGTCATTTCTTGATACGTTATTTATTTAATTGTCTATTTATTGTCTGCTTCCATTCACTGTAAAAAAAACTCCTTGAAAAACATGGATTTTGTTGAAAAAGTTTATTTAGTGAAAAATCATGCAAATGTCCACTGGACTCTACTATATTAACAAAATGTAATTATATGCAGCCAAACTAGGCTGCTAAATGTTACTAACGGCTTAAAAAGGTGTTTCATTATCAACAGTTCTCTCCTGCACACACAAACTTATTTTATCTCTGCCTCTTCCACTCTTTATACATTTTATTGACTTTGGGAAAAATTATAAAAATATGTATTTATTATTAAAAAGTCAAGCAATACAAAAAGAACAGAACAGAATAAAGAATATATGCTGATAAATATAGAAATGAAAAAGAAAAAATAAGCCAAAAAATAACAGATGCTGATAAGGTTGTGGAGAAAGAGGAACACTTATATAATGTTGGTGGGAGTATAAATTAGTTCAACCATTGTGGAAGATGGTGTGGCAATTCCTCAAAGATCTAGAATCAGAAATACCATTTGATCCAGCAATCTCATTACTGGGCATATACCCAAAGGAATATAAATCATTCTATTACAAAGATACATGCACATGTATGTTCATTGCAGCACTATTCACAAGAGCAAGGACATGGAATCAACCCAAATGACCATCAGTGATAGACTGGATGAAGAAAATGTGTACATATACACCATGGAATACTGTGTAGCCATTAAAAGGAATGAGATCATGTTCTTTGCAAGGACATGGATGAAGCTGGAAGCCATTATCCTCAGCAAACTAATGCAAGAACAGAAAACCAAACACTGCATGTTCTCACTTATAAGTGGGAGCTGAACAATGAGAACACATGGACACAGGGATGGGAACAACACACACTGGGGCCTGTTAGGGGGCTGGTGGGGAGGGAGAGTATTAGGAAAAATAGCTAACGCATGCTGTGCTTAATATCTAGGCGATGGTTTGATAGGTGCAGCAAACCACTATGGCACATGTCTACATGTAACAAACCTGCACATCCTACACATGTACCCCGGAACTAAAAATAAAAATAAAAAAAAATATATAAATATAGATAAATATAGGTACATAGTGATAGTGGAAGAGTTAAAATAAAAAAGATACAGAAGAATTTTTGTTCAGCAGCATTCTTTCAGCAAATATTTCTTGAACAATTACTACGTGCTGGTCAACTGAGTTACATGGGAAGTCATTTCAAATTAGTGTTGGATTGAGTTGAAACAACTGTTGAACAGGAATATTTCATGCCTCATAAAATTTACATTCTAGCAAAATAAACAGTAAGCATAATAAAGAATAATAACATGTTAAAAAGTAACAAGTGCTATGAAAAATGAAAAACTAGAGTGGGGTTAGGGGTATGGGTGGCTATGTGAGCAGTATAAAATACAGTGGCCAAGGTAGGCTGCCTTGAGAAACAAGAACTAAATACAAGTTGTAGGGGATAAAGGAGCTGGCTGAAGGAATCTTTGAGGGAATGAAGTCCCTGGAAAAGGGACAGTTAAAATATAGCTTGAGCCTAGAATATGCCTTAGGCTAGGAGAATACTTGGTGTGTTCAAGGGACAGTGAAGAGGCCAATGTGGATAGAGCATTGAGCCAAGGCAGTAGTGAGAGAGGAGGTAAAAAAGTAACAGGGGACCAGTTTATGCTGGGCTTTACAGAACACAGTAAGAACTCTGGCTTTTACTTTGAGTTAAATGGAGAGCCATTGCAGTCAACTGAGTTAAATGGGAAGTCATTTAAACCCAGTGTTAGAATGAGTTGAAATAATAACTCCCGAACAGGAAAATTTTCTGATTAAACTATGTTATATATATATATGTAAGTTCAATGCAAGTTGCTGTCTGTCTTTAAGAAAATAAATAATGCCAAATGCCTGAATTTCATCAAGCCAGAACTTAACCTTAATTCCTGTAGTGCCTATCTGATTTAAGGATACATAATCTCTTTTCAGAAAGCATCATTCATATAAAGCAGATCTATAGGACTTCTAATAGTTTTACATAATTATGTAACTATTGTCATATTTTTTTTTTCGGAGACAGAGTCTCACTCTATCACCCAGCCTGGAGTGCAGTGGTACAATCACAGCTCACTGCAGCCTCAATCTCCTGGGCTCAAGCAATCCTCCCAACTCAGCCTTCTTAGTAGCTGGGACTATAGTTGCATGTCACCATGCCCAGCTAACTTTTAAATTTTTTGTTGAGGCTGTCTCGCTATGTTGCCCAGGCTGGTCTTGAGCTCCTAGGCTCAAGTGATCCTGCGGCCTCTGCCTCCCAAAGTGTTGACATTACAGGTGTGAACCACTGGGCACAGCTGGTTAGGAAATTTTAATGATTTAATCTAGAATATCACTAATAAAGTAATAGTGGTCAACCATCATAAAGAATAAAAATATTCCTTATGTGTTTCTATTAGATATCTCAAAATTTTAAACTGTGTCCCACAATAAGGGGTATATACTACACAAATAATATAAAATTAATACCAAGATTCAATGTATGTAACTGAGAGTTGATTTATGGAACAATTCATATCTATGTATTCTGCTATTTTTAATTCTATTCAATTTCACTCTGTGCATGTTGTGCTCTTCCACCCCAATGTTTATTCCCCCTTTCTATAATAATATCTTGCAGCTCACCCTGGACCTGCTTTCTATAATCTCACCATGACATTTAGCTAAAGCACATACAGAAATAAATTTGTAATCAAAAGCAAATGGCTGACATCAGTTCAAGTGCTGTCTTTCCTGGAATACTCCCCAGGAAAAGAGTGGAGATTTGTCTGGAAAATGATCTGACAGAGATTCCAGACAAAGGAAAACTGGTAAGCATTGCTTTGACCAGGAAGCCTTTGCAGGAGGGGTCAGAAGTCCTACCCTGTAGGCAGCAGCTGCAGGTGCCACAGGCCAGATGAATTGGAACTTATGCCTGTAAAAATTCAGCTGTTGCCTCTGCTTCTCAATTCAAGGTCAGCTAACCTTATTTCTGTCATGAAATCCAGAATTTGAGGAGGTCCCAGCAACCAGGAAAACAACTCTTAGAAAGATACAAGCCACCCCCCTCTACCTGAGCATATGCCCTGCAGTTAGACAGCTGCACAGACTCTGGCACTCTCATGTCTGATTTTTCTAGGCAGTCCCCAGAATTCAAGGAACATTCCAGAGTTAGAGTATTTATTTTTAATTTTTAACTAAACCTCATATTCACTAGCACATTCTCCTATGACCAATTAAATTTTCCCATGAGTCAACTATTGTCAAGTAAAGTAAACTGCCCAAAAGAATATAGAACATTTTTATTTGTTCAAAGAAAATTGGTAATAAAAGCACGCAGGGGAGCTGCTTAAACATGGAACTGTGGATCTATACCAAAAAAGAAAAAAAACAAAAGCCAAAAGAGTAGTTGATAATTTATTTATAAGCATGAGCACATGGAATTGCTTCCTGAAAGTGCTAGGGGATCCAATTCCGATATTACTGTGTGACTCCAAGTAAGTTATCTACCTCTTTGAATCTGAGTTTGCTCATCTGAAACAAAAACAAAAACAACAACAAAAATGAAACAAAGAGGCATCTGGCTGGATATGGCTTTGCAAATTGCTTTTCTTCTTTCCATTTCCAAAATTCTGTTACTGAACTTGATTTCACATAATGGTAGCATTTCTGAGATTTTCTTTTCTCCTGTCTGATCAATCCAAGTGGGTAAAATCCAGACAGAAAAAGTCCCTAGATGAAGAAACACACCCTGCTTTCTCCATGACTGACCATTTATCTTTCCATTTATTATGGAAAGATAAAACTATCATAAATCTTTCCGTTTATTAGATTAAGCTGCTTGTCTGTGGAGGCTGTTAGACCATGAGGTAAATTTACCAAACTCATCTGTACAGTAGTATGCATTTGACAATGAAACACTTCTAGAATAACAGGGAAAGTCAGAGAGAGGACAAAATGGCTGGTTTTTGTCCCCCTGGTCAGTGTTGGCATGTAGAATCAACTTTGTGACTTGAATAAATTTAATGCTTTGTAAATTTGTGTTACTTATAAAAATACATGTAAAAGTTGTTATATTTTGAGATTTGAAGGCTGAGAGAACAAGAAAATCAAGTAATCAGAAATTTTGATTCCAAAGGCATGAAATTATTCATAATTTCACTTTTTTTCCTCTGGCATATACTTGGTCATTATTAACATTTCCAGTTGGCTGGGCGTGGTGGCTCGCGCCTGTAATCCCAGCACTTTGGAAGGCCGAGGCGGGCAGATCACGAGGTCAGGAGATCGAGACCATCCTGGCTAACACAGTGAAACCCCGTCTCTACTAAAAATACAAAAAAGTGGGCGGGCGTGGTGGCTCACGCCTGTAACCCCAGCACTTTGGGAGGCCCAGGCGGGCGGATCACGAGGTCAGGAGATGGAGACCATCCTGGCTAATATGGTGAAACCCCATCTCTACTAAAAAATACAAAAAATTAGCCGGGCGTGGTGGCGGGCACCTGTAGTCCCAGCTGCTCGGGAGGCTGAAGCAGGAGAATGGCTTGAACCCAGGAGACAGAGCTTGCAGTGAGCCGAGAAATACAAAAAATTAGTCGGGCATCGTGGCGGGTGCTGTAGTCCCAGCTACTCGGGAGGCTGAGGCAGGAAAATGACGTGAACCCGGGAGGCGGAGCTTGTAGTGAGCAGAGATCGCGCCACTGCACTCCAGCCTGGGAGACAGAGCGAGACTCCATCTCAAAAAAAAAAAAAAAAAAAAAAAAAAAAAATTCCAGTTGTAGAGAGAATGAAGAAGCAGAAAAGTAGAAGGATATTTTTCACTGAGTCAATTTATTTTGAGGATATTATTTAGCTAGTTTTCCCTTGAGAAGAATCACAACGTGTAAACTTTTTGTTTGAGGCTATGTGGTATACAATATGTTTTCTTCATCTACACAAATAGCTTTATAGATATTTTATCTTTTAAATTCATCTAATTTTCAATATGATGGTTATTGCCATTTGTGGCAGACTTATTTTCCTCCAATGTTTGTTTCCCCATTCTTTCATGGTAACAGAGTTTTGCTGGGCAACATATCAGCCCAGATGAAGGCTATGTTTTCCATCCTTACTTGTAGCTAGAGGAGGTCATAGGCCTACGTTATGGCCAGTAAGGTATGAGTAGAAGAACTTTTGAGTCTTGGTTTTAAAAGGGTTGCACATGCATTTTCCTACCTTCATGCCTCTTACTGTTTGTTAAGAGATGGTGACACTGAAATCACCTCCCTGGGTCCAGGGAGGAAACTCATCTGTTAAAAATGGCAGAAGTATGCTTGTAGTCCCAGATATTTACCTTGGATCTTTACACAAGAAAGGGAGAAGCTTCTGTCTTGCATTTTGTAATATCTTTGTTGCAGAAATTTAGCATGTACCTTAACTAATATGCTTCTCCTATTTTGAGGTCTGAGTGAGAAGAAAAGACATGAAAACAACAGAGAAAACGCTTCACACATAAAACTGCCTCTTGCTTCCGGATGTCACTCCTTTCTCGCATTGTTGCTGTCTATGGTTGTCTCTTCTTTCATTTCCATCTAAGCAGCACCCTTGCAAGAGGAGATATCTTATCTCTAGGCTCTGAATGGTTCTTTCACTTTCAAATAAAAACACAACACGTCTCCTAAATAATTGAAATATAGTTTAGGGCTTCTTGCTGTGTGTTTTCTTAAAGAACTTGCCATAGGGACTTCATAGAGACTTACTGTAGATCTCTCAAATTCTGCTTTAGACTTTGCTCACTCCTTTCAAAATTTTTATTCATTGCACATCTTAACACAGATTCTTCATGTGATTTTTGTACTATAGTTAGAACTGTTTCATGCTTTCTTTCCCAAAATACATATGTACATACATATATATAAATAAGCATTTTGTTTGATTTTTTAATAAATAACTTCATACTAAAAGTATTGTTGTGGAACTTAATTTTTTTCTCCTTACAATATGTTTTGAAGATAATTAATTCAGTACATCTTGATTTCCTAATTCTTTTTAATTGCCCCATAGTACTTCCTAGAAAATATGTACCAAAGTTTATTAGACTTAGTTTTCTATAATTTGTATGATAAAGCACTTTACTTTTACAAAATAAGTATGATTAAACATTTTATTTTGTTAGATGAAAACGTTTTACATTATTACTATATATTGAGAATTAAAATGATACGAGAAATAACCCAGGTATCTAACCCTTAGCTTCAGAATTGGAACATTACTCATATCATTGTAGCCCCTGGGTATTTCCTTCTCAATAAATTTCTCCACTCCATGCTCATCCCCATATATATTTATTCTAAACAATTCATTTTGGATTCACAAGTTTTTGAAATTTAAAGAAGTTGTATTACACTGAATATATTATTTATGACTTGTTTTTTTTCCCATCAACTTTGTTTTTGAGGTGCATTCGTATTGAATCACAGGAAATTTGTTTTCATGGCTTGGAGTTTTAATTTTTAATAATATTAGCTATCTTATATAGCTCTGCATCTCAGAGGCTGTCCTAAGTGCGCTCTCTCTCTCTCTCTCTCTCTCTCTCTCTCTCTCTCTCTCTATATATATATATATATATATATACACATACATATATATACACACATATACACACACATATATAAATTCATTTAATTTTCATACAAATAAGATAGCATAAATAATCCTATTTTGCACATGAGAAAAGTAAGGCACTGTTTGGTTGAATAATTAGTAAAAGGCAAAAGATTTATATGATCTGAAGAGAACCAGGGTATAGGGGTTAATTAATTAGGTCACACAGCTGGTAAGAAGTGGAACTGGAATTCAAACCTAGGTGTGGTGACCCTGGAGCCTGTGCTCTTAACTACATTATACTCTGCTATTTTCCTCTCCTTCTCTTTCTTATAGCCACTCTCCTGTTGATGGACATTAGGTTTGTTCAGTTTTTGCTGTTTCAAGTAATGCTGCTAGGAATATTTTTGTCATGTTACTTGGTACATTTATGTATTAACTTATAGGTGGAAAATTGCTGGATTATGGTGTATGTATATTAGTTTCCTATGATTGCTGTAACAAATTACTACTAATTTAATTACTTAAAACAACACAAACTTATGATCTTACAGTTTTGGAGGTCAGAAGTCTGAAATGGGTATTACTAGGCTTAAGTCAAAGTATCAGTAGGGGAATAAGCCTTCTGGACACTCTAGAGGAGAATCTGGTTTCTTGCTAGCTTATGGCCCCTTTCTATCTTCAAAGCCAGCAGCAGTGGGTTGAGTCCTTACATAGAATCATTCCAACCTTGCTTCTGTTTTCAAATCTGTGTTTCTGACCCTGAATCTTCTGTCTCCTTCTTTCACATTTAAAGATCTCCTATGATTACATCGGGCCTTCCAGGATAATCCCTTCATTTTAGTGTTAGCTGATGTTAAAATGTAATGTAACAGAATATAGTAACGTGAATTCCACCTGCAACCTTAACTCCCCTTAATGTGTAACATGACATATTCACTGGTGCTTGAGATCAGAACATGGACATCTTTGGTGGGGACATTATTCTGTCTCCTATAGGATGCATATTGTCAAATTGTCAGGTTTCCCATGTAGAAAGAAAAACTGCTTTCTAAAATGCTTTTTTTTTTTTTAATCAATTTACACTTCTACAAGCAATGCATAAGAAAGTCTGTTGTGCTATATCCTCATTATATTTTATTTAAAAATTTTGTAATCTAGTGGATGTGAAATATTTCATTGTAATGTAAGTTTGTATGTCTCTCATTCCTTGTGAAGTTGAACATATTTTCAAATAATTATGGGCAGTTTTGTTTCATCTTTTAAAAAATTAGCATTTTAAATTGACAATTTGTAATAGTATATATTTTGGGGGTACAATATGATGTTTTGATATGCATATACAATGTGAAATGATTTAATCAATATAATTAACATATCCATCACTTGATTTACTTATCATTTTTGTGGAGAGACTTTTGAAATTTACTCTTTTTTTTTTTGAAATATACAATACAGCCATGTGGTAGTTCTGTTGTTAGTCTTCTGATGAACCTCCATACAAATTTCATGATGGTTGTAACAAATTAGTCCCACCAATAATGTACAAGAGTTCCCTTTTCCTTGCATCCTTGTCAATATTTTTTTTCCTTTTGCTTTTTTGATCACAGCCGTTCTAAAAGGTGTGAGATAATATTTTACTGTGGCTTTAATCAGCATTTTCCTAATGATTAGTGATGCTAAGCATTTTTCAATGTACCTGTTGGCCATTTGTAGTCTTATATTGAGAAATGTCTGTTCAAGTCCTTTGCCATTTTAAAAATTAGCTTGTGTTCTTGCTGTTGACTAGTTTGATTTCCTTATATATTTTGAATATTAGCCTTTTATCAGATGTGTTGTTTGAAAATATTTTCTCCCATTTTGTGGGTTATCTCTTCACTTTGTTAATTGTTTCATTTACTGTGCAGAAATTTGTTAGTTTGATGCCATCGCATTTACCCATTTTTGCTTCTGTTGCCTGTGTTTTCAGGATCATATCCAAAAAATTGTTGCCCAATATCATGAAGCTTTTCTTATATTTTTTATTCTAGTGGTTTTACAGTTTCAGGTCTTTCATTTGAGTTGATTTTTGTATATGATGTGAGATAAGTATCCAATTTCGTTCCATGGCATCAAGTTTTCCCAGCATCATTTATTGAAAAGACTATTTTTTCCCTACTGTGTGTCCTTAGTACCTTCATCAAAAACCATCGACTATAAATGTGTGAGTTTATTTCTAGGCTTTGTATCCTGTTTCATTGGCCAATGTACCTGTTTTTATGCCAATACTATGCTGTTTTGGTTGCAACCACTTTATAATATATTTTTAAATCAGGGAATGTGATGTTTACAGCTTTTTCTTTTTGCTCAAGATTGTCTTGGCTATTCAGGTCTTCTGTAGTTCCATATGAATTTAAAGGCTGTTTTTTCTATGACTGTGAAGGATGACACTGGAACTTTGATAGCGATTGCATTAAATCACAGATCACTTTGGATAGTATAGACATTATTACAATATTAATTCTTGGTTGGCAGTTTTATTTTTCTTTCAGCGTTTTGAATATATCATCTCACTCTCTCTGGGTGTGCAGGGTTTCTTCTGAGAGATCTGCTGAGGGCTGTATTGGGGCTCTTGAGTATATTATGCTTCTTTTGCAGCTTTCAATATTCTTGCTTTGTCTTTGATGTTTCTTAATTTGATTATCACGTGTCTTAATGAAATCGTTAGGTTGAATTTTACTGAAGACCTCTGAGTTTATGTACCTGGATGTTGTCATATTTCTGTAGACTTGGGAAAGTTTTAGCCATTATTTCCTTAAATATGTTCCTGGGCCTTTTAATTTCTCTTCTACTTCTGGAACTCCTATCATGTGAAGATTAGTTCACTCGCTGGTGTCCCATCATTTTATTGGCCTTTTTCATTCTTTTTTCGTCTCTGACAGAGTAATTTCAAATGTTTTATCTTTGAGCTCATTGATTCTTTCTTCTGGTTGATCAAGTCTACTCTTGAAGCTTTATGTTGAATTTTTCAGTTCAGTTATTTTATTCTTTATCTCTAGGATTTCTATTTGATTTCCAAAAAAGTTCCTATTTCTTTGTCAGATTTCTCATTTTGTTGATGAATTATTTGCCACATTAAAAAAAAATGTCCTACCTGCATGTCCTTGGAATTTCCTGAACTTTAAGAGGATTGTTCTGGATTATTTGTCAGTTATTTCATAGATCTCTATTTCTTCTGGGTCCATTGTTGAAGCTTTATTATCTCTTTTGATGGTGTCATATTTCCCTGATTTTAAAATAATTCCTATTTCCTTGCATTGGTTCCTGCATATTTGAGGAAACAGACAGCTCTTCTGAGATTTGCAGGTATTATTTGGCAGCAAAAGACCAGTTTAGTTTATTATTTAGTTTTACTGGGGCTTCTGGTAGGTCAGGTTGTAGTAACCATGAACAGGCAGGGCTTGGTTTTGGGTTCTTTCTTTGGGTTGGGCCACTTTCTATTCTCTAAGGTCAAATGGTACTGCTAGCTGTGCTTTGCAGTCTGGTGAGACAAGTGACTGGACTCTGTGGTCAGGTAGAGCCGTGGCTGGGCTTTGCAATCACCTCTGTTCAAGCAAGGTTCCAGATTGTCTTCCCTGGCCAGGTGGTACTGTTCTGTGGAATCCACAGTTTAACAGAGCTGCATGCTGGGCTGTGAGGCTGGCAAAGTTGCCAGCATTGCTACTCAGCTGCAAGGCATAGGCAGGGCCACAAGCTATGCTCCACAGATATGTGTGAACTTCTCAGCCTAGAGTAGCCTTAAGCAGAGCACTGAAGCTTGGTGGAGTCTCCCTTTAGCTACTGGTTTTGAATGGGGCCAGATGCTTTCTCAGCTTATAGTTACAGAACTTCATTTGCTTCCTGGCCTGGGGATGGCTTAGGAAAGCACCAAGGCTTGGTGGAGTTGCCTCTTAGCAGCTGGGTTTGAATAGGACCGGATGCTCCTTCTTTGTATTATTACTGATGTGTATTTGCCTTTCACCCCAGGGAAGGCTTAAGGAAAGCACTGGGGCCGGGTTGGGTCACTGCTTAGCCTCTGGGCTTGACATTTTTGTTTCTTCTGTTGTGAAATGGCTGCTTATTTCCCCTGCCTCTATTTTTCTATTAACTTATCTTTTTGTTATTTATTTCATAAAATTACATATTCTTATCACTCCTTTGCCAGTCACATAAAATTCAAATGCTTTTTTCCTGTTTTGATTTGTCTTCTATTTATTTATGGTGAATTTTGATACACAGAAGTTTGAAAGTTTAATGAAATCATATTGAAAACACTTTTTCTTTATGGATTTTAATTTCCATGTCTTATGTGGAGCATCTTTTTCTTCTCCAAATTATGTCTTTTCCAATATTTTCTTACGAGAATTTCAACATTTTTCTCTAAGTCTTTGGTCCACTAAAGACCGAACTTATGTGTATGGTGAGTATAAGGTACCAATATTTTTAATTTTATAGCATTATTTATTGAATACTCTGTAGTTGTTCTAGAATTCCAACTCTGTCACATGCAAAGTTTCCTTGTATATATTCAATTTTGCACCAAAGGTACACTATCCTGCTTACTATCTCAATATAATTAGACTCAATAATTCTTATTTTTCTTCTCAGGAGTGGTTTTGCCAACTTGCACCTTTGTTCTTTTATATCAGTTTGAGAATCAGATTTTAAGTTTCAACAAAAATAAGCCTGTTTCAATCTTTATTGGAATTGTATAATAATAATAATTTAATTTGAACAGAATGGACCTATTTCAGTGACTGAGTCTTACTATTCATGAGGATAGCCTTTTTTGTTTATATTTAATATCTTTCAATAAAGTTTTGTAAGTTTGTTTAAATATTCTCCTGTTGGTTATCATTTAACCTTTCCCTATTTTTTCCAACAATTCTGATTATTCTTTGCATACATATATATATTTTTCTCACAGAAACGTAATTCTTGGTAAAGCCCCTTGCTGGGGCTAAGGTTATGTCTGTGTCAAATTTGGATACATTCTGCTAAAGTTGTTCTTTAAAAAATTTGTGCCAATTAACATTACCACCAAGAAGCCCATATCAACATACCCACTGCCCAATGTAGTAAAATGGTCACTATTACCTTACTTTTAATATCTTTAATTTCTAATATAATTAAATGAATTTGCTGACAATTTTTACTTTCTGTAAACTGTTCTAGCCATTTCCCTTTGCTCTCATTAACACATTTTTACTTCTATTCTTTATTAAAAATAAATTTGGCTATAATCTTTCTTATTTGCTATACATAATAAATATTTCAACATAAACCATTGCTTTTCTTTTCATTTTAATTGCAATACATCCATATAATCTTCAAAATTTTCAAAGGTTTTAATCTTCATTTATAGTATCTGATTTTGAGCCTTAGTTAAGAATATCTTCTTTATTATGTCCTTTTAATCTTCATCATTTCTTTATACTTTATTAAATTTCTTAAATGCAATTTTGAAATATGTCTAGAATTTATTTTTTATGTATTATATGAGAAATGTAATAATTTTACACTTTTCTAAATATGTGACTTAAGCATAGCCATTTATTTAACAGTGCATCCCTTTCCTATTGTTTTGAAGTGCATTTTTTTTGCAAAACTGTATTTTATTATTGTTATTATTTTATTTACTTATTTATTTTTGAGACAGTCTGTTGCTGTGTTGCCCAGTCTGGAGTGCTTTGGCACAATCTCAGTTCACTCAGCCTCCACCTCTCAGGTTCAAGCAATTCTCCCACCTAAGCCTCCCCAGTAGCTGGAACTACAGGTGCCCACCATCACACCTAGCTAATTTTTGTATTTTTAGTAGAGACAGGGTTTCACTATGTTGGCCAGGCTGGTCTCGAACTCTTGACCTCAAGTGATCTGCCCACCTTGGCTTCTCAAAGTGCTGGGATTACAGGCATAAGCCACCACGCCCAGCCTGTATTTTATTATTATTTCTTAATGTTAATAAGCTTTATTTTTTAGAACAGTTTTAACTTCATAGCACAATTGAGCAGAAGATACAGACATTTTCCATATTTTAAAATATATACTAAATTCCCATATATAAATGAAACTATGTCTGGACTCAGTTCTGTTCCATTTATTTAATTATTTAATTTTTCTATTTCATTTCCATAACATTTTAATCACTGTAGTTTCATGCTGTATTTTGATGTCTGGTAGGGCAAATCCTGCTCTCAAGATTCAATGTTTTCTTTTTCTTGAGTATTTTCTTGTCCTAATAAATATAAGAATCAACATTTTATATTCTGTAACATTTCTTGATTATATTTTTATTAGAATTGAATGGTTTTATGCATTAATTTTGAAAGAATTGGCATTTTTATAATGCTCAGATTTCTTATTCTGTAATATTGAACATTGCATATTTTTCCGTTTTCTCATGTTTTTAAAAATTCTGTCAGGAAAATTTTGTAATTTTTATTGCATAGTTTTTTAGATTTTACTTTTTGTTATTAAGTAGTGATTTATTGTATGAGTATTCCACAGTTTGGATGTCTGTCCACCTGTTGACTGACATTTGGACTGATTGACATTTTAGTTTTTGATTATTTCAAATAAAGTTGCTATGAACATTTGTTGTATTTTCATTGTAATTCATTTCAAAATGTTTTAAAATTTGTCTTGTGATTTTTTCTTGAACCAAGAATTATCTAGAAGTCTGCTGTTTAAGTTACAGATATTTGAGGTTGTTCTAGATATCTTACTATTAGTGATTTCTAATTTAATTCTGTTGTAATCAGATAATATGCTCCATATGATTTTAGTTCTTTTAAATATATTGAGGCTTACTTTATGATAGTATATATTCTTCTCTAGTGAACAAGTTATATTTATATTTACCATATAAATATGCACTGTAAAATAGCATTTATTCTGCTATTGTTGGGTATAATGTTCTTTAAATAATCCATTAGAACTTGGTGGTTGATAATGTTCGACCATTCGGTCTTTACTGATTATTTTTGTTTACTGGCTCTATTAATTGCTAATTTTAAATAATTATGTAATTGCTTATTTCTCTCTTTAATTCTGTTAATTTTTGCTTCATGTATTTTACATTTCTGCATATACACAAGTCTGTGTCTTGACTCCATTTCTGCTTCATGTATTTTAAATTTCCATAATGGTGCACACACGTTTATAATTTTTACTTCTTCCCAATGAATTGTTCATTTTATCATTATGAATTGTCTTTCTTTATCTCTAGTAATACTATTTTTGTTGAAGTTTGTGTTATTTGATATAATAATAACCACTCCAGAATTCTTATGCTTACTGTTTATGTCAAATATCTTTTTCCATTCATTTATTTAAAGAGTGTCTGTTGTAGGCAGCATGCAACCAAGTCTTATGTTTTTATCCACACTGATAATCTCTGTCTTTTTGTTGGAGTGTTTACACCAGTACCATTTATTTTAATTATTATAATGATAAGAATTTTGGTTTACCGCTTCATTATTTGTTTTATTTGTCCCCATGGTTTCTTGTTCCTCTGTGCTTCCTTTCTCACTTCATTTAGATTTTTTCAATATTATTTATATTCCACTGAAAAATATCTATTAATTTTAGCTACATTGTTTTGTTTTCAGAGTAGTTCCAGTGATTATAATATACATAACAAATTTATTAACTTATTAATTTGTTAATATAACTAACTTATTCACTAATTTAACAACCCATTTAGCATTAATATTATATCAATTTATATAAAATATAAAAACTTCATCATCATTGAAATACCCTTACCTCACACGCTTTATGTTGTCATATATATTACATCTATGATATTGAAAACCCCTGCTAACCCTGTCCAGAGAGCACACCTTTATTTTCTCATTTAACTTTCCAAATCCTTCATTAGAAGTAAGTTTTTCAATTGTTTAATATGCATAATTTCATTCTATTTCTATGCAGTATGTATTTATATATAATTGATTTAGATATTACTATATATGTATGTGTATGCAAACGTTTACTATATACATGCATATATAGTAATATCTAAATCAATTTTATATATAATACTTTCCTTAATATTCTCCCTTTGTGTTGACTTCTCTATAGTACATACACACACATACATACATATATAGTATGACACACAAATGGCATGTGGCTGTAGAGAAGGCAGCACCAGGGGAGATTATTAAGGAATGCTATCAGAGAAGTAACAGGGAGTCAGACCATGTATGTCTTTGTAGGCCAGAGTAAGGATTTTGGCATTTAATCTTAGAGAAATTAAAAAAGAAATGTTCTGAGCAGAAGAGTGGCAAATGTTTTAAAAAGCTACTATACTAAGAATAGACTTTATTGGGTCAAGGGAAGAGGCAAGGAGGCCACGTGGAAGGCTATTAGATAAATCCAGATAGAAAGTGTTAGTGGCTCAGACCAGGAGCTAGTGATCACTCATTGAATTCCTGATATATTTAGATAGTAATGCCGGCAAGATTTTCTGATGGATTGGATGTGGAACATGTATAAAAGAGAGGAGTAAAAGATGACTCCACAATTTTTGAATTGAGCAATTGAAAGTTTTGGGTTGCCATTCAGCGAGATGGGAGAACCACTAGGTGGAGTAGTTTGAGGTAGAAAAACATGAGTTCAATTTTGGAGATGTCATATATGCAGTTATATATGTGAATATAATTTGCCAACTTCTCTGGGCAGAAGATATAAATTTGGGAACTACCTTGCATAGATGTAACATAAAGTGATGAGATGAATGAGATTCCCTGGAAAGTAAGTGTACATATAGAAGAAGAAAAAAAAGACCAAGTCCCAGGGTCCTTGCTATGGTTTGAATGTTTTTGTCTCCTCCAATATTCATGTTGAAACTTAATCTTCAATGCAACAGTATTAGGTGTGGCCTTTGAAACGTGATTGAGTTGTGATGACTCTGCCTTCACGAATGAAATTAGGTACCCTTATAAAAGGGAGTTCACCCTTCTCGTCCTTCTGCCTTTGGCCATGTTATGACATAGCTTTCTTTACCTCTGGAAGATGCAGCATTCAAGATGTCATCTTGGAAGCAGACAGCAGCCTTCACCAGATAATCAAACCTGCTGATACCTTGATCTTGGGCTTCCCACTTCCCAGAACTGTGAGAAAATAAATTTCTCTTTGTAAATTGCCCAGTCTGTGATATTTTGTTACAGCAGCACAAGACAGACTAAGAGAGGACTCTAAGAAACAAACAAAAGAAAGATCTAGAAGAAAGGGAGAGGAGTAAGGAGTTTGAAAGGAGCAACTATTTAAACAGAAGGTAAACAAAGGATGAATATTTTCTGAAGCCAAATGACAAAGTATATGAAGGAGGATAAATTAACGTTTTGTGTCAAATGCTACTGATAGGTCAAATAAGATGAGCACTGAGAATAATCCTTTAGATTTAGTAACCTGGTAAAATTGGCATCCTTGAAAAGATCCATTTTGTAGTGGTTATGATGGTAGGAGGAAGTCTGATTGGAATATGATTAAGAATGGAAAAAAAAAATGCAAAGAAAGGAGGGAGGAGAATCAGAGTCAAGGCATACAAATAATCTTTTCAAGCAGATTTGCCATAAAGGGAGTAAAGAAGTAATGAAGTAGTGGTAGCTTATGGGTAAAGTAGGGTCAAGAGAAGACTTTTTTGACTTGGAAGTGATGAGAGTGTATTTGTATACTGATAGGAGCGGTCAACTAGAGAAGGATATTCTGAGCAAGAAAGAAAAAGAGGTGCGCTCATTTGAACCACGTCTTTTAGTATGCAAGAGTGGATGGGCTCAAAAACATAGAGAAAAATTAATTTAAGTAAGAGCATAGATAAATCCTCTAACAGGTTAGAAACCTGAGGTTCTAGGCATTGATGTTGGTAGTAAGTAGGTGAGTTTGGTACAGTTTGTTAAAGTTGTCTTCTGATTGCTTCAATTTGATTTGTGAAGTAAAACAAGGTCAACATCTGTGAATGAATCTGAGGAAGAGAAGTTGAAGATTTGAGGAGTAAAAACTTATGAAACAGTCACCTAGGGGCATGAGAGAGTTAATGGTCTCTGGAGTTTTTTCAGTTTTTTTGAATGTTCTGAAATTTCACCAGTGTATGTTTTGGTGTGTTTTTGTTTTTTTGTTTTTGTTTTTTTCATCCTGCTAGGTACTTCGTGGGCTTTTTTGATCTGATGACCCATCCTTTCTTCAGTTCCAGGGAAGGAAAACACCACAAAGAAACATAGGGGACTTCATGAAGAAGACTTCTAATGGAAAGTAAAGTTGAAGTGGTAGTTTTGTGATCAGATAAAGTAGGGTCTTAGATGCCATGCTAAGTATATTGGTTTATTCAGTAGGTAATGAGAAAATATTAAATATTTTTAAGATGAGGAGTCACATGTTTCTGGCACATCTAAGAAAACATATCTTGCCTTGTCTCTAGTCCTTTAAAATGCAGTTGACTTACCTAAGTCAACATAATGTTGAGTACCTGAAAACCAGGCTTATTGGCAACAGCATTCATTCCACTTATTTCCTATTCTCCTATAACTGCTGTAAGACCTTGACTCCTTGATTCTTAGCTTTCTTGCTTTTGATTTCTGCTTTTGGATTCCTTGATTTAGGAACACATTAATACTGCTCTCTTGAAATTGCTAGCTTTGTGTTTTTCTCTCAGTTTGGCCTCTCCTTGGTTACAATATCCCTGAAACTTTGGTGGCTCATTTCCTTCCGTGATCATTTGCTTTGTGTGACTG